>NC_000006.12:117495032-117798062 GCF_000001405.40 Homo sapiens
GCAGCTCTTTTGAGGAGGGTGAGGGCATAACCCCCTGGTAAACCACCCAGACTAGTACCACAGTATCTACTTCAGGACATGCTGACATAGCAGTAAGTGGGCATTAGATAAATACTGGGAAATGCATTCTAATTAGACTTTCTCAGCCGATTAAAGCACACACACACAGCCTTATTCATCTTCACCACACCCAGTTATGGTTGGTAATTTTACAGATGAGGAAAATTGATATACACTAAATGGGGGATTTCTTAGGATCATACAGCCAATGGGTGATGGAATTTGGACAAAGTCAGCTAATTCAAAGCAATATTTTTGATACTTTAATAATGTGTAGAATTTTAAGATAAAAATAGTAGCAGTTAACATATTGAATTTTTACTATATGGTTGCCTCTGTGCTTGATACTTTGTTTTTATTAGCATTCTCCCTTTTAATGCTCATGAAATTGGGCACTATTGTTGTCTTTAGATTATGGATGATGGAATTCAGTTTTACCTTAGAGAGGTAAAAAGACTCACCCAAGGCCACAAAGCCAGTGTTAGGCAGGGCTGTGCCAGAATCCAGGTTGTAACCATTATGCTCTGTCACCTCCCAAGTATATGGAAATAATTTATGAATTAGGAAATGATAGGTGTGTCAACTCTCCTCCCCCACATCCACAAGCCTTCTAATAATCTTTTGCTTTTCAGCAGAAGTCTCAAGACTGGAGAGTGACCAAAAACTGCAGTGTTCACTGATTTTATGTATAGCACATTAAAGAATAGCATTGGCTAGATTTTGAGATTTTTTTCCTTTGGCAGCAAATTATGAATCTTTTAAATATCTTAACATGGTAATTATTGATGTCTTTGGACACTGATGGAAGTAATCCCACATTATATAGGGAATCATAGAGGAATCGTAGATAGGATCTCTTTAAATGATTTGATTCATTTTCATACATTCAGACTGATTTATTTTAAGTGACACTTTTAGCTGATAGGAATGTTGAAAGTTTCCACAGAGAGACTTTTGACATATTCCTTGTGTTTCCTTTTATTTTACTTTCAAATGTTTCATCTGCTGAGTCAACAGCATTATCATCCTTATTAGATCACTAGTCATATCATTAGCATCTATTTTATATGTGGTGAGAATAAAGTTGAAAGAGATTGTCAGTTTTATAAAACATGGTCATGTGTTTCTAGTCGATAGCTGTAACTTCTTTCAGCATAGTATTATTATCCATATTCCTTTCAGAAAAACTGAAGATTTTGAATAATTATTTTGTTTTATCATTACAAGTTCTGTTTTGCCTTTGTTCATTCTCACATAGCAACTGAGGCCCTTTTGCTCCTGTTTTTCTTTTGCTTCTGGCGGCCTACAAGGTAAAAAGCTAAGCACAATTGAAGAAGAGCAAAGTTTCTAAGAGAGTAAGGCTGAGAATGGAATTAATGATATCTTGGAAAATCTGTTTGCCCTACCATCAGACAAAACTCTGTAATAATTGCAAGCTCTCCTTTGTGGTTGAAAAGATTGTAGTCATCAAGAGCTCACTTGATCTTAGACATGGGAAGAAATTTTCTCACACCCACACATGGATGATTGTATATGTGTTGAGACCTGTTGTAACTTGAATATTAGAAGAGCAAGGATACAACTAATGAAATCATGTTTTTAGAAATGGTTTTACTTTTGTGATATTTTAGAGCACTCTTTCCCAAGTTGCAGGTTAGGACCCATTAATAGGTAATGAAATCACTTCAGTAGGCACAACCAGTATGCTTTGACAAAAACAAAAATGAAACTGAATAGAATAGGAAATAATCACAGTGCATTACATGTAATAAAATAGTGGTATCATTTAACTTTTGTTCATTGTTTATGCATGTGTATGCATATGTGATTACTTGAGGTGTGATAAAAAAATCTGTGTTCTAACTCTAGGCCATAATAATAATTTTAAAAAAGCTTGAGGTTTCTGTCTTACTCTAAGGACTAGTTAATAATCAATCTAAAAAGTATATGTGATTAGCCGGGCTTGGTGGTACATGCCTGTAATCCCAGCTAATCGGGATGCTGAGGCAGGAGAATTGCTTGAACCTGGGAGGCGGAGGTCAGTAAGCCGAGACTGCGCCACTGCACTCCAGCCTGGGCGACAGAGCAAGACTCCGTCTCAAAAAAAATTTAAAAAAAGTATATTTGCACTGTTCAATTTACTCCACCCAAATCATTTTCCAACAAGTGCAATTCAGTTACAAGTTTTCTTTTAAAGTCTAATCATACTTTCTAGTATTGCAGAACTTAGTCCATACCAGGTATATCTTATTTTGCTTTTCTTTTAGTGGAACATGATTTCTTATCAAAGGGAAATAGTCTTTTAAGGAAGTTATTGTTTTCCTTTTGTAGTGGATGGAATTAAAGTAGACTAAATAAAGGATTGGCTTGTGTATACAAGCATCTAGGATTTGTTCTAAGCTTATTTAGAAAGTAGCTTGTATATCGACAACTCTTGAATAGCTGATGTTAAAAGCTAAAAGGTAGAGACCTATCCATTAATTTCAGGCATTTGGAGAATAGATACTGAGTCCATATCTCTGTAACTCTGTCAAGTTAGTCTCAAGAATTTACTTGTTAATATATCTTTCTTCTCTTGACTGGACTTCTTGAAGTGAGAACTACAGTATACTAAGTTCCTAGTTGTTTGTTTCCTGAATTTTTAATGACAGTCCGTGACTTCTTCCTATCTGTATTATGAGGCTAATGTTGAAAGTAGCCTTTAGTGTTACAAAGAATGTTAGGTGAATTTGGTAGTTTTAATTATATTATTTTTCTCCTTTATATGTATTCATATTATAGAATATTTAGAGGAAAAATGTATAAATAAAATGAAAATCACTTGTAAACTTATACCATAGAAGTAAACACTTTAAATATTACACATCTATGTGTGTACAATATATTCTGTATTAAAGTGTTTTCATGTTAAATATTCTTCTAAAACATGAGTAACTTCCTTAACATCACATTGCTTGGAGATATCAGTTTGGCTGTTCATTTCTAATTTAGATTGTTTCCAAATGTTCAGAATTAAAATCTGTATACTTAAATTCTGTACATAGATCACTTTGGGAGTTCTGAAATATTCATGAATACTTGCACCTTTTTCCAGAATCTAAACTTCATACATCTAGTTTTGTTCTTGTAAATTGTTTTGAGGAAGTGGTGGTCAGTGTCACAAACCAGCTGTGGCTCCAAACAGACACCAGGATTTAGGCCCATTACAGAGAGACCACCCTGGAAATATTCTACAGTTGAGAGGAGCTTTCAGTCTAGAAGAGGAGGAAATGATACTTAGTTTAGTCATCATGTGCTTTGGCAAGAAATTACAGTCGAAAGGAAGGAACAGATAAACATTGTGTGGTGTAGCCACTTTGAAGAGTGGTCAAATTCCCTGTGGCAAAACTTCCTCCTCCCCTCTTCATTCCCCATTCCCCCTATTTTGATGTTAGATAGGTGGCACTTTACTGTGTCACTCCCGGCCTATCCTCCCCACAACACTACTTGGAGTTTAATCATAAGATCGTGGTTTTATTTTTTTCCCTTAAAGATGGATCTTTATTTCTTTTAATTTTTAATATTCTTAGAACTGTGAGCCCTCATCATCCATCTATAGCAACCATCAACATTTCTCCGTATTTTTTCATTTATTCTGCATCACCTCTTTTTTGCCAGGTATTTTAAGGCAAATCCCAGACCTTATGTCATTTCAGCCCTGCATATGTCAGTAGGCATCCCTCAAAAAAATGGCATTTTCTTATGTAGCCTCAATGCCATTATCTCACCTAATAAAATTATAATTATCTGAAATTATTTAATATCTCAATTATCTATTTAAAAGATTTTATAAGGTTGGTTTTTCAAATCAGGATTCAAGCAAGTCTCACTTAATTGCTATGGCACATAAGTGTCTTTTAAATCTAAAATAAACACTTTTTTGTGTGTGCCTCTTCATTTAATTCATTGCTGAAGAAACTGGGTCAACTGTATTTCATAGAGAGCTTTTTTTTGCAGATCTGTTTAATGCTTTAATTAAAAGAATTTTAGGCTAGGTGCAGTGGTGCACACCTGTAATCCCAGCATTTGGGAGGCCAAGGCGGGAAGATCGCTTGAGCCTAGGAGTTCCAGACCAGCCTGGGCGACATAGTGTGGCCCCCATCTCTACCAAAAAAAAAAAAAAAAATCTGCCAGGTGTGGTGGTGTGTGCCTGTAGTTCCAGCTACTTGGGAGGCTGACGTGGGAAGATTGCTTGAGCCTCAGAGGTCGAGGGTGCAGTGAGCTGTGATTGTGCCACTGTATTCCAGCCTGGGTGATGGAATGAGACCGTCTCAAAAAGAAAAAGAAAAAAAAAAGAGAAAAAGCATACAGGATAACAAAATGCAAAGAGTATAAAAAAGTATAAAATAGAAAAAGTAAAAGCCTCCTCACTTCCATCCCCAGCCAGGCAAACTTGATTGACATTATTTTTTCAATTATTTAATTAACCTTTTTATTTTCAGATCATTGTAGATCACATGCAATTGGAAGAACTAATACAGAGAGATATTGTATACATTTTACCTAGTTTCCCTCAATTATAACATCTTTGCAAACTACAATACCATATCACAACCAGGATACTGACATTGATACCTAAGACAAAGAAGATAAACTGATAGATTTTTAAGTAACTTTTGTCTTCTTTGTCAGTGATTGTCAATTAGAGAGAGTCAGGCTATGAGAGGTAGGCTACCTGAGTGTCAGAATGAGGTAATAAGAATAATGCTTCTCCTCATCTCTACTAAAAATACAAAATTAGCTGGGTGTGGTAGCGCATGCCTGTAATCGCAGCTACTCAGGAGGCTGAGGCAGGACAATCGCTTGAACCTGGGAGGCGGAGGTTGCGGTGAGCTGAGATCGCACCACTGCACTCCAGCCTAGGCAACAAAAGCGAAAGTCCGTCTCAAAAATAAATAAATAATACTTGTCTATTGGTTTTCATGTGTACGCATCTGCCTTCTTCAACACATGACATTGTAGGCATTTTCTCTCCCTAGCAGTTTTTCATTTTACCCTTTGGCATCTTTCTACTTAATCCTTTGAAATCACCCAAACTGTGGAAGCACAAGAGAGTGAAAATTCCTGATGTAGTTAATACCCATGGAATAAACTTATTATATTAGTCTTGCCACAGAAAACTCCATAAATAGTCTACTTCCATAGGTTAGAGTGATACTAGAACTTCTGATGACAGTTCGCTTTTTAATAAATTAGGACTCAGCACTTCCTTTGCGATTCAGGTTCTTTGGCAGAACAAAGACTCATGGGGTTTTGTTCTGATAGTTAATGGAAGAGAGAAATTTTCCCAAGGAGGTAGAGATCCCCAGGCAAAGTAACGATGGGAATGTTGACGATTTGAACTTGCCTGCATTGTGCCAGCATTGCTGGGTGAAAGAAGTTTCCTCTTAGGCCTTACAGTGGAAGTGGTCGGAAAGAAATACAATTACAGGGCTGAATAAAAGTGATACCCTGGCCGGGTGCGGTGGCTCACGCCTGTAATCCCAGCACTTTGGGAGGCCGAGGTGGGTGGATCATGAGGTCAGGAGATCGAGACCATCCTGGCTAACACGGTGAAACCCCGTCTCTACTAAAAATACAAAAAAATTAGCCGTACGTAAATGCACCTGTCGTCCCACCTACTCGGGAGGCTGAGGCAGGAGAATCGCTTGAACCCAGGAGGCAGAGGCTGCAGTAAGCCAAGATCCTGCCACTGCACTCCAGCCTGGGCGACAGAGTGAGACTTCGTCTCAAAAAAAACAGTGACACCCTAAGATTTTCTTTTGCTGACACATGTCACTTTAAAAAAATAAAATTTAGAATATGATAGTCACATGTAGGTTGACTCATATAATTGCTCCTTATTTCATATTTAACTGTTTTCTGAAAAAAAAAAAGTTTTTCTCTTCCTCTTTTATGAAAGGAGAATTTCATAGTCCTAAGAAAAGTGACATTTAAATATTTGATCAGGAGATTTTTTGGTGGCTTGGAGAGGTTGTGTTGTGTTTATATTGAGATGCATATTTGTTTGTACTAATTACCCTAGGATTGCTTTATGAGGGTGCTCAAAATAAATGCTTACAAAGGTAGGGCAGGTAACAGAAATGAGTAACAAGGACCTGGTGAAGAACTAGGGTGTTTGGCTCCTTTCAAGGGACAGCCACTGTGTCACTAGCCCTGTGAGAATGCCTGATCATGTGGTTGTCACGTCTTTCAGTTGTCATTGTTGTTGTTGTTGTTGTTGAGACGGAATCTCACTCTTGCCCAGGCTGGAGTTCAGTGGCATGATCTCAGCTCACTGCAACCTCTGCCTCCTGGGTTCAAGCGATTCTCCTGCCTCAGCTTCCCGAGTAGCTGAGATTACAGGCTCGCGCTACCATGCCCAGCTAATTTTTGTATTTTTAGTAGACACAGGGTTTCACCATGTTGGTCAGGCTGGTCTCGAACTCCTGACTTCAGGTGATCCGCTGCCTTGGCCTCCCAAAATGCTGGAATTACAGGCATGAGCCACCACTCCCAGTTTGTCCTTCAGTTTTAAAGAGAAACTATAAATTGGATATTTTATTAAAGCCCTTTAAAGCCGACAAATAATTCAGATTTCAAATCAAAGCCCCGTGCACTGTGTGCTCCTGCACACTATGCTTCTCTCTTGTATCATTTTCATTTAATTCTTGGCAATTTTGTGTTTACCAACTGCCAGGGAGCCCAAGGAATTTAGCCGTCACCTCAAACTTAACCAAACTTACAACCTTTGGGCCCAAACCTGCTCCCTCTCTGGACTCTTTTTGCTGTCTATATTGGCCTCTGTGTTGCAATCATTTCTGGACTGAACAAGGCCTTGGTGTTTTTTCTCCTTTGTTCTTCTCACCATAGTTCCCCCAAACCTGAGTCTGTTGATTTTGTCTCAAGAATTTGCCTGTTTTCTGTTCCCTTCCTTCCTGTTCCAGCTACCCCCATTGCTAGCCTGCCTACTGCTCCTCTGATCCAGATTCTGTCCCCATTCTAGTTCCTGTAGCGTTGTCCAGCCAGGTTGATCATCTTTTTCTAATACCTGTTTCGTTATCTTCCTACTCAAAAAATTCTATGTGTCTTTGTTGCCTACCATGTAAATTTCACTAATTCTGCCTAGATCTCAGGGCTTCATAGTAGTTTTATCTTGGCTGTCTAAAGTTCCCCCCGGCACTTCTTAACCCATTGGTCCATTAAAGCCAACTCTATTTCCCCAATTCAGCCCTCTGTCAGGGGCTGCCAGGAATCTCGTGGGAGTTTCTGGATAATGGGTAGATCCTTTCCCTAGGCCTTGGCTGTTGAGATGATGTAGATTCTGGAGTTTTCAAATCTTTTTCTTTTTTCTTTTTATTTTTTAATAAACCTCTATTACCATTTGGCCCCAACACCTCAAGGCAAGAAGGAAGTGGAATAAAGGAAGACTCCTGAATCCACCTCTAACTGGGGAAGAGGCTGGGAGGGAAGAGGGCTGCTTTGAGGTCCTCAGATTCACAGTATACCCAAGGTGAGGCTTCTCCATCAGAGACTTTGGGATGGAGAGGCCTTCTTTTACTACCTTTGAGAGTTCCTTCTTCAACAGCTTTCTGCTTCTCTCCCTCCAGCTGAGACCAGAAATTTTTGCTTCATTTATGTGAAGCTGTGCTAACCACAGACATTTTGCAATCTGAATGCAGTGTATGCTCATTCTCCTTGCAGCCCACCCAGTTGTGCATGTCCTTGGATAGTTGTGTGATTGACTAAGTCACTTCAATCAACTAGAGCAACTTGTAGGTTAATAGGTGAACTTCCCTATTCAGAAAAGTCTTCAGATAATTTCTTGTTTTGATGAAATGCTGGTAATTCGCTGCAACATTCTTTCTTGCCTCTCTCCTTTGCATTTTGTTTAGACCCCTGATGTATATATAACACATAGCACCTAGAATTATAGTTATTTGAATGTGTGACTATTTGCCATTTTACTCTGAGTTCTATGAGACAGCAAGTGCTGCTTTTGTGTTTCCAGCTTTTAATACCATGTCTGGTTATGAAAAGCACTCAACATAGTAGATCCTTGACATTTTCTGATTGTACATCCCAAGTCTATGAGGAACTTTAGAATCTGTGAGTGTCATTAACTAAGACATACATTTCAAATGATTATTAGGCTCAGTCCCCAGCTAAATGACTTGTAGCTAAACAAAGTTACATCAGCTTAAGCCTCAGATTCTAACAGGAGCATTTTCTGTACATTATCTCATTTAATCAGCACAACCACCTTCTAAAGTGAGTAATATTTTTTCTCCATTGTGAATTATTACATGACATTTGGCTTGGCAAATGCATGCAAGGCCTGCTGAGCAAGTTTGGACGGGTGGAGAGATAGATGATTAGAAAAAATAATGATTAAATGATTTGTTTCCTAAGGGCTTTCCGTTCTAATGTGTGAAATGTTTTGATCAACAAGAAGATAAAACTGGAAAACAAGAGATGAAATAACCTGAAACAATAGATATTGTTTAATAATTCAGTCTTCTTTTTTTGTTTTTTGGTTTTCCTTCTGCCCAAAAACAATAAAATACATAACTTGGAGATTGTATTGGACTCTCAATCCTCAGTAAGAATTAATGACCCCTTCTTCTTTTATTCCCCCCTTCTTTTTCTTTACCAGGTGATGGCTGTGGACACCTAGTGACTTATCAGGATAGTGGCACAATGACATCTAAGAATTATCCCGGGACCTACCCCAATCACACTGTTTGCGAAAAGACAATTACAGTACCAAAGGGGAAAAGACTGATTCTGAGGTTGGGAGATTTGGATATCGAATCCCAGACCTGTGCTTCTGACTATCTTCTCTTCACCAGCTCTTCAGATCAATATGGTAAGAAAAGAGAACTAGGTTTCTCTGAGCATCAAAATTTTTGATATTTGCAGAGAAGGGCAAGTGGTGTGTTAATTAACGCTATATCATGAGAAGATTAGAAGAGAAACTTGCTTCTGTAAATTCTTGGGGGTAACTTAGAAGGATACATTTGCTTCATAAGCTGAAACAGCAAAAGACATCTAAGGAGATGTGAGCCTTGTGTGTGTGTCTCAGAACCTTTGTTAGAGTTTCAGTGCTGCTAGGAAGAGAATTAGAGATACGTGACATTTGGTAAACCATCTATACAGTTCATTATTCATTTGACAAATATTTATTGAATAGAACAGTGACCATGTTTCAGGTACTCTGTCAGGAACTGGGATGTAACAGTGAAAAAACAAAGTTCCTCTATGAAACTTGCATCTGTGGGGAGAGGAAGGCAGAAAATAAGCAAATGCATCTGTAGTATGAGAGATGGTGAGAAAGAAAAGGAATAATGAAAACGAAGGCATCCAAAGGTGATGTAGAGCCTGCGTTTGAGTGTTTTTGTGCCACTTCAAATGGGATGGTAGGGAGGCATCATCAGTAAGTGGACATTTGAGCAGAGACCCAAAACGAGGTAAGGGAATGGACTGTTCCGTTACGACTGAGGTCAGAATTTTCTGGGGAAGAAAACAGCAAGTGCAAAGGTCAGTTTCCTAAATAGCCTTTGAAATTTAGTGTTTTGTGCTTTGAGATGTGCTGTTAGCGCACTGCAACCTGAAATCACAGTAACAATGACCCTTTGATCCTAAGCCCAAGGAAATAGCTCAGGTTGGACAATTTGAAAACGATAACAAAATCTTACATACATTCTTTTGAGTATAGAGATTTTCTGAAATTCTCTGTGCACACAACTTTTAAAATGATATAGGTTTTAGGTAAAATCCTGTCTGCCTGGTAGCTCTACTGATAATTTCTCAAACACACACAGCTTTCTCACCTGTCTTGACCTTTGCACCCAGAGTTGCTTCCTCATTCCTGCTGCCTCTTCCCACAGTTTAGAAGCCCAGATCAGCCCTGAGACGATTCAGAAATCTAAACTAGCTCCCATGGGATAAAAAGATCTAAGATTGTTTTTTAATCCCTAGGAGCATTGATTGTTTTTTAATCCCTAGGAGCATTGTCTATTTAATGATGGTTGAGTTCCTCCGACAAAGTCAAGATGGTAGTTTCCATATAATTGTTGGTAACTTTTTAACTGTAGTTTGACTCAAATGGGCAGGATGACACTTCCAGGGATGCTGAAGGCCCCTGGGAACATTTATTGTTCCATTACCTCTGGTAATCTAATGTGTATTAACTTATGGAGGCATTTGTCAGGGAGTCCCTCATTAGCCAGGAGATTTCTCTCAGATTCTGAGGAGGGGGTAAGTGTCAGAGCTGCAGTGTGAAAAGTGATGCAAAGTGCTGCAGGGCCGGAAGCAGCTTTTCCACACGGGTCTCTTGGGGGAAGCATCTGCCTTGCCTGGAAGATGAGCATTTCATTCCACCTGCTGACATAACAGTGGAGGAATCATTTTGTTGCATAAGACTCTGTCACGTCAGAGGCTGAAGTGACAGCAACTAAGGGAAGCAAATCTTCCCAAAGCAGGATGTGGAGAATGGATGTGGCTTTCCCACACCAGGGAGTTTCCTCCATCATCTTTGAGGTATATTCATAAATATACACAAAGGCAGAAAAGGTCAGGGGCGGTGGCTTATGCCTGTAATCCTAACACTGGGAGGCCTAGGAGGAATGATCGCTTGAGCTCAGGAGTTCAAGCGATACAGCCTGGGCAACACAGTGAGACCCCCATCTCTACATTGTAAGAGAAAAAAGGCAGAAAAGAATGGAATTAGCTACGTATCTCAAGCTAGCTTGCAAGGTGATCATGGTCTGCCTCAGGGTGTTATCCTCCCCATTTCTAGGTTCTTGAGCTTTCAAGCTTAGATGCATCACTAGAAGATGAATAATGAGTTGCAATTCATTCGCAGCAATAAAGCCAATTAATTTTTCTCCTTGAATTTTTTTCTGTATAAATTGAACGTTTGTCTTTTGAAAATAAAATGTATGCTCATCTGTATTATTATTATCATTCATTATTATAGAAATAAACATATTCAGTGCCTATTGTATGCCAGGCACCTGCTTGGCTCTTACATATATTTTCTAGAATCCCCTAATCCACCTTCCAAGGTAAATATTATCAATGCCTTTCCACAGGTGGGGAAACCGAGGCACAGTGTGATTAGGTGAACATGCCCAAGATCCCAAGAGTGTACAATTAGGGGTGAAAGAGAGATTTATATCTGTGTCTCTGTGGCTGCAAGACACCTACTCCCACTGCTGTTGTCTCCTGGTTTCACCATCACCAAAAAAACCACATTGCACTATCATCCTTCCCAGGTGGACTGGCCCATTATTACATTATACAGCAATTTCGTCTAAAACACAAGAAGTAGGTAGTATTTTTGATTGAGGATGTGCTTAAGATAAACTATGTAGTGATGCTCAGAATTTGTGTTGTGGCTACTTTAAAGATTTCCTTTGACCAAAAACACTAACCAGACCTATATTTTAACTTAGTTAAATAAACCCCTGGTCTGTTTGAACATCCTCCAGGAATGCAGAAGGAGGAGGAGACAGAAGTGCTTTGTCTTTCAGTGGCTGGCGCTCAGAGAGTGGACATTCCTGTGCAGCTGTTGCCCAGCTTCCTGGAAGGGTGGAAGGGTGGGAGGCACCTCTGCAAGCTGATGTGGCCACAGGATCTGGCATGGCTGCAGAGGCAAGGCCCTAGTGCCCTTGCAGTGTCCCAAGGATCCAGAGCTATATTGCCTGAACCAGTAAAAGAAGGGAATGTCTGCTGAAATTCAGCAGGGAGAGAATGCATGTTCTGGAATACCACATTTAATTCCAAAATATGGTGGCTTCTAATGATTCTGTGTGTGGCTGAAACAGAAGAATCGTTTTAGTTTATCCTGCCCGATATTTTTTATTAACCAACTAATTGTTAAAACCCACTGCCAAAGGATTTTAAAACTTAAAACTATCAGAATTTGAATGTGGAGTTAATGTTTTGAAAAAGAATAATGTTTTCTGGCATTAATGTTTGCAGTGTCTGCCAAGAGTGGACATACTTGGAATGTGATTACATTAACCATTGTGAATATGCTAAAGTTGTATAGTGTTCATCATTATGCAGTTAATTTTTAATGGTTCCCCACCATGTCAATTTTGTTTTAAATATTTGGTTTATATACTTTGGGTATTTTGGTAATTCACATTCTTGCTAACAAAAATGCATTGTAAACAAGTGTAAACACCCACAACAACTTTCACAGTAATCCAGCAAAATATGCACTTGATCTCACTGTTTCCTAATACAGACAAAATGGGATTATTCTTCTTCTGTTTGTCATATATTATAATTACGGCTGATCTTTCAGATTCAAGAATCCATTAGAAGAATGTACTTGTATGCCTGTGGCTGAATTAAGACACTGAGATATGTGTGCTATTAATATTATCCTGGCCAAAACAAAACAAAAAATCTTTAAGAAGTATCATACTTTTCTTAGTAGATATCATTTTCACTATAGCTAAGGGAATTCTAGGTTTTTGTTTAACAGACCAAAGTAACTGAGACTCCCTTTGAAAAAATGCTAATATCCCTTTTCCAGTCTGTGATCCAATTCAGGATCATAAAGCAGTTACTTGTCCTGACTTCTCAGTCTTCCTTCATCTTTTGAGAATACTGACCAGTTATTTTACAGAATGTCTGTCAGTTGAGTTGGTTTGATGTTTCCTTGTGATTGAATTCAGATTATATATTCTGGGCAGACATAATACTACTACTTTTTAAAGTAATCTTTAAAAGGCTTGCTTATAACAGTTTCTAACATTAGAAATTATGAGGTCATGTGTCCCTTCAAGAATGAGAACTAAATCTGCATTACATTTCTTTGCTTCCCTCTTGACTGTTTGATTAAATGACTCTTCTTTTTTTCTATCAAAACTGCATTGATTTTTAGGTTATTTCAAGCTGAAGTGTCTTCCTGGAGCAGTTCTTTGTTCTTCAAAGAGGCCCATGTAATATGAAACTTTGAAAGGACTCAAATATAAGGTGTTGCCTTTTTGTAGAAGACAATTTTGGAGAAATTTGGACACATAAGATAATAGAAAGTTGATTAAGGTAGCCTACCCAGGCTGTTCTAGGATTGAACACACTTTGAAACCTGGAATTTGGAGATTCAGACAAGTGGTTTATTAAATAACATCTCTTTAAATTTAAACATATTGTGTAAGACATTTAAGATGACTGCCTTGGTCCTGTTCTCAGTTCCCCCCTCCCTCATTTTACATATATGTGGTAAAATAACAGGAGGTTAGTTATATAAAACACTGAAATATCTTACACTCTGAGGAAAAATAGCTGCTGATTCAGGCATTGTGTCACACTAATATACACAAATTTAAAATATTAAATATATAATGTTGTATTTATTTATAACACTGAAGAGGGAAGACTTTGCATTCATACTAAAGATACTACTCTTAACTTTACAGCTCTTTAGTGACCATGTAACCTTGACTTGCCCTCTGGGTAAATTCCATTTCCAGTCTTGCTGACCAGAATGGACTTAGAGATTTGAATTTACTCAGAGGTTTGTTTTTGCCCCCACTGCCTGTAGGGACCTCAGAGGAGGTCATTTCTGTTTTCCTGATCTTTCAATAAGGTTGGGTCCGAGTTTTCCCTTGAAAGGTGACCTCCACACTGGATGGAGTTTGGGGTGGGTCCGGGACTGCCTGAAGAGCTGTTGGAGCAGTCTTGGTAGGAACCAGACGCTGGCCAGTCTTCATAGGCATCTCAGGGTCTCAAAGGAGGTTGTTCTGATGGAGACTTCTAGACGTTACCACCTGGATCAGTGTAGATCAATAAAACCAGGCTGGCCTTGAAAATGGATTGAAATTTTTGTTGCTGCATAGATATTACACGTGTGTTTAAGAGCACAAACTCTGTAATTAGACTCCCTTGCCTCAAATTCCTGCCTACTCACAAGTGTGAGCCACCGCGCCTGGCCCTGACTGCTTATTTCTAAATTGGTTGACCTTGAGCAAATTATTTAAACTTTCTGTGTCTCTATTCCCTCATATTTAAAATGGGCAGGCCAGGTGCGACATCTCATACCTGTAATCTCAGCAGTTTGCGAGGCTGAGGTGGATGAATCACTTGAGCTTAGGAATTTGAGACTAGGTTGGACAACATGGCAACCCCCCATCTCTACAAAAAATACAAAGATTAGCTGGGCATGGTGATACATGCCCGTAGTCCCAGCTACTTGGGAGGTTGAGGCAAGAGGATCACTTGAATTCAGATGGTCAAGGCTACAGTGAGCCATGTCGTGCCACAACACTCCAACCTGAGTGACAGACGGAGACACTGTCTCAAAATAAAATAAAACAAAATGGGCAAAATAATAGTATCTACCACATATAGGTGACTGGCACACTTATATATGACTTTAAAGGATGACACCTGGTACATAGTAAGCACTTAGTCAACGTTAGCCATTATTTTTCCTCCTCCTTCCCTATCCTCTGCCCCTCTACTTTACTCTTCCCCTCCCTCTTCCCAGCCGCCTCTTCTTCTTCCTCCTCCTGAGTTGTCTTGCCTACTGTTAATATTGTTTGTCTAAGATGTGCCCTTGTTCCCCTCGTAATACCCTGAGCACTCTCTGTTCACCAGGCAGAGGCTGAGCTCCAGCAGCACACCCTACCCTACTCCTCCTGGTGGATTCCTGGTAATCCAAGAGTTTGCCCAAATCATGCCAAGCTGGTGGCAAGGGTTCACTGAACCAGAACTAGCTCCATATACAGGTTTTCCCAGCCTCATGAGATGAACAGAGAACACATATTCTCCAAGCCACAGTATATTCAATTTGGTTGTTTTATTTACTTCACTGCCACTGCCAGTCTACGTCTTTGCATCTTTTTCTCCTTGAAGAACCTCTTGATTTTTCTCCTCTCTCTTTTCACCAGTCTCAGTTCCTTCCAGGCCATCTAATGTTGTGTAATTAAAAATAGTTGCAATAATTTCTTTCCTTAGTTCAAAAATTGTTAATTGTGCCCCACTTCTACAGAAACTTGCTAGCTTAGCGTTGATGCATCATCTTGCTTTCTTCTTCACTCTCACTTCTAGCCTCATCTCTGAGTCCTTCATCTCCATGCCATTTCCCAAATGCATCATACGGTTTCATGGCCTAGTACATTTTTACAGTCGTTGATGTTATTCCTTCCATGTCCCCCTCTTTTTCTTCTTTTCCTGCTTTTTCTGTCCCTTCTAACACACACAGACACAGACACACACACAGACACAGACACACACACACACACACACACGTAAAAGTAAACCCTTCAAGTTTCAAATTCAGGGCTGCCTACCCTAGAACCTTCTCTGATGTTCATCAGTTTGTCCCTTTTCTGTGCTCATGTTCTCTTTCTAAAGTTTCAGTAGAGCATCAGTTTCGGGTTGGGATAATTATTTTAGCTTCTCTGTCAGATACGGGATGCCCTGAGCCAGGAATTACGTTTTATTCATGCTCTTTTATTCACCTAATATTTAGCATCGTCTTACAATTGCAGATGTTCAGTCAGTGTTTTAGGACTGAGATTATAAGTAGCTTGATTTTGGCAAACATATTAAAAAATCTGGATTTTTACAAAAGAGAAATTGGAGTGTCATTATTCACACTGTAGGGAAATTTACACTAAGATTCCTCTATAAACATTCCCTCTGCATTTAAAGAAAGCTTTGGTTTACATAAAATTTTAAAACTATGCTTATTATGTGGAAAAGACCATGTAATAATGTGGAAGGTGCCTGTGAGTGAGCATTCAACTATGTGCGATGCACTGGGCTTAGTAAACCTTAGCGTTACTACCTCATTTAACCCTTATAACAGCCCTGTGAGATAGGTCCTGTTACCAACCTTTACACCTAAGGAAACTGAAGCTCAAAGAAGGCCAACTAACATGCTTGTAAGATCACTTAGCGGGACCTGGGATTCAAGTCTGGGCATTTGAGGCCCTGCTCAAATGCCCAGAGGCCCTACTCTTTAGCTCTGCACCATCCGATTCAGTGTTTGTGTTGAAAGCCATCTGTTCCTGTGGCTTGTGCATAAGAAGACCTGAGGTGTAGTTCTTGTTCGTCACTTGCTGGAAGAAATGGAAACTTCTCCAGGCCTCTCCACAGGAGTATCCGGAGAATAAAGTGGGAGTCTGAGAAATCACTTACGTAGAGTTCCAGTATAAGTTGAAAGTTCAAAAAATGTTTTTTAGTCAAAATGCTAAGAGGAGGCATGGTGGCCAGTGATAGAAAGAAACTCTTTACTATAGGATCCTAATGGAAGTTAAATTGGTTGTGTTCTGCATAATGATTTGCACCAGGAAGTTCAAAAATTGTTCTCCTACGTTTTCTGTACCTCCACTTCCAATCACAATATTTTTTTAAGCATTGTCAGTGACTTAGAAGCACAATCATGTGAAGTCAACTGTTAATGTTTATGTTACACTAGGAATGAGAGAAATAGGAATAGTTGGAAATAATGCGAAGTGGTTAGACTCATAATCACAACAGGTTTCTGCATGTCATTTTTTAGAATGATACATATCTGACATATTGCAATAAGATCTAATAATTACAACTTATCTGTTGAAGTTTTTTAAATCCCAAAGAGGGGAAAGCGCAAGATTGACAGTCTCTGTTTTACAAATGGTTTATATGTCTCTCAGACATATTATGAAGTAGAAGGAAAAATTTTTATGGCTTTTAAAGATAAAACAAATAGACTTCAAGGAAATTTCCAGCTCACAGAGAGCTGTTTTGGGCTGCAGACACCCTAGAAGTGCGTCCTCCTCTATGGTTGAGGCTACTTTGGTGGAAATTATTGAGAAGGACTGCTTTTTCTTTGTTTGTTTTATTTTGCCTTTTATGCCAAGATAGAATTCAGAAAGAATCTTGAACATATAAAACGTTATATCAGCCAGAATGCTGTACTCTAGGTATTTTTTTTAACACAACCATAAGCCTCAAGGAGAAAAAGCTATTGGGTTCCTCCTCCTCTTTCCCCATAAATACTTCCCTGGAGACTCACTGTGATTCAGTTTCAGTAATTGCCATCTTTCATTGGGAGAGAAGTAATGGCTTAAGTGGGTTGTGAACTCCCAGCGTTGACACACTTCTTGACCTGGGTCCTGTAGCCCCAAGGAAAGCCACACCTTTGTCTAAGAATCCGCCTGCTTCATTTATCATCTGTCACTGATTTTTGTGTGGGAATGAGAGACCAAAATTCTCCAGGGATACCACTTACTGTTACGTGACTATGGTTTTAATGGCACAGTCCAGGAATATCCCTTTTTTATGCTAATTTCTCTCCTTTTCAAAGAAAATGGCCTTGAAAATTCTGTAATGTTGTACAATGACCCTACTGCAATTAGCAAGCAAGGACAAATCTGCGATTTGACTGCATCAAAAACAAATTGAAAATGGACACAAATCTAATGGTGTTTGCAGCTTCAGCATTTCTGGAGATTGTTTTATCAGCATACCTCTGAGCACAGATCTGGGCCACGAGAAGTACCACTCGCCTGGCAGCCAAATATTCCATGTGGCTGTCTCCACCCACATGTACTCCCAGGGAGGGTCACTTAGGTCAATCAGGCATGTTCTTATCTGTCATAAGAAAGAATTGTGTGCTTCAGATGATGCTCCAGAAGGTTAATGAGGGTTTTTTGGAGGTTTTATGTTGTTGTTGTTGTCGATTTATGACAGACCTTTCAGGAGTTAGGTTTTTATTTGATCTCTCAGTGGTTTTTCCCACTGACAGTATGGTAGTTAAAAAAAAAATCAGAAATAATACTACTAAGGGAAAGAGGTTTCTTTGTTTCTCTAATGACATGCATACTATTTTTCAAACATGTCCCTTCTATATATAAAACAATAACTTAGTTTTATTAGTTTTAAGATCAAAACCTTATATCCATCTGAAGTGACTTGGAACAAACAGTTTTTAACCAAACCATCATTGCCTTGTAATGCCCAGAGTCTTGGGCACACAGTCCAGGAGAATAGAGAAGTACTATACATTGCTGTACAGATTGTCAGATTGCCAGAGAATCAAGAGGATTTCAGACTTGGCTTGTAGCAGACAGTTTATTCTTCCTTATAGGACAGCTTTCTTTTATTCACACATGGAAAGATAAAGGGTTTCCCTTGCAGCTGCTAATGAAATAGTAGCCCGAAACAGGGAATGTGCTGAGAGGAACTGACCTACTGTGCTCAAAGAAGGCAACTCCTACAGTTCCTGGCCCTTTATTCCCTTTGTCCAAGGAATCAGCCCATTGTCTGCTGGAGTCTCATGTCTGGTGCCAAATGCCACAGTGCTGTTCCATTTGGTATCTCTGATAGCTCTTCCCACAATATAGGGCCGCCAGTTACATTCCACAAAAGATAAAAGTTTTTCTTTTTTCCTGATTTTTCTGCCTACTTGATTAACTGCTGCACTCCAGTGTGATGGGAATTTGTGACTGCAAAGTAAGATGGAACCTGCCTTGCAGACAGGGATAGATAGAAGTGAGAGAATAGTAGGAAGTTAGGTGGCAAGTCCAAGTGCTATAAAACACGTAGCACTGCTGGTTCTGAAGCAAACATCCATGCAAAACTGTGCATCCTATTTTTAGGAAGGGGTTGGATTTCAGTCTGACTGAATTGAAGTATTTTTGCCAATCTAAGAACACTGCCTGAGCCCAAGAATATAACCACAATCAAAGTTAGAAGTCACCGCGCTCTCATGTGGGTTTCCAGTGAAATTGTCTTTGTAAACATTTAAATATAGGTGTAGATCCTTTTTAAAAGTCAGGAGACCTTTGGAGAGTACCAACAGTGAAGTATATCACGTGGGCAGGGGTGAGTGGAGAAAGATTTTCTTTCATAAGACAAGAGATTATCCTTAAAGGAGTCTGGCGGAGCACTGAGGACATTGCTTAGGACAGACTCCCAGGGTCTTTCCGTGGTTTCCCATTAATTATTTTTCCCTCTCAATGCTATCATATTTTTCCATTTTTCTTTCTTGCCTTTTAACTCTAGGAATGTAATTATTAACTTCTAGTCTATGAAAGGAATTTTCGTCTGTCAGACCTTGAGACAGGCAATAATTTGGATGTTTTGCCATAGGCAATACTACAGCCAGTATTCAACTCTTATCCCCCACCCTGAATTAAAACTCATTCTTGCTATTCTGATGTTTGTGATTATGATGAAATGATCAAAATAACTCTTCAGACCAGGCGCTGTGGCCCATGTTTGTAATCCCAGCACTTTGAGGAGGCTGAGATGGGAGGATTGCTTAAAGCCAGGAGCTTGAGACCAACCTGGGCAATGTAGTGAGACCTCATCTCTACAAAAAAAATCAAAAAATTAGCTGGACATGGTGGCACACACCTGTAATCCAGCTTCTTGGAAGGCTGAGGTGGAAGGATTGTTTGAGCCCAGGAGGAGCCGTGATCACGCCACTGCACTCCAACATGGGTGACAGAGAAAGACCCTGTCTCAAAAAAAAAAAAAAAAATCCTCTCAATGATGATATTTATATAGAGAGGGTATCTCCTACCCCTCTAGTTACAATTTTGCAGCACAGTAATAAAAATATGAAAGGGATTGATGTCTGTGTGGTAAGGGTAATTAAAGGGGCATGTGTTTACATTTTCCTTCTTTGATCTGCTTCCAGAAATAGTTACATGCCTATCATAACTGGGAGGATGAAACCAAATTAGAGTTTTACTATATTTACATGTTTTTGGTCTAGGAAATCATATATATTGCACAACAACTTAGTATGATGGTATACACTCTCATTTGTGTAAAATATGTATACTTTTTGCAACTTTTCCTTTCAACTGTTTCATAAAATCTAAAAAAAAAAATCTAAGCAAGTTCTCACTGATAATCAATTTAGACTTGCTTACCTTACAGTTTGTGGGTTTTTTTTTTTTTTTTTGAGACGGAGTCTTGTTCTATCACCCAGGCTGAAATGCAGTGGTGGGATCGTGGCTCACTGCAACCTCCACCCCCCAGGTTCAAGCAATTCTCCTGTCTCAGCCTCCCAAGTAGCTGGGATTACAGGCACCCACCACCATGCTCGGCTAATTTTTTTTGTATTTTTAGTAAAGATGGGGTTTCACCATGTTGACCAGGCTAGTCTCGAACTCCTGACCTCCTGACTCCGCTCACCTTGGCCTCCCACAGTGCTGGGATTACAGGCGTGAGCCACCGTGCCTGGCCACCTACAGTTTTCATTAGAACTCATTGGAATGCTATAGAAATTTAAGGAGAGATTACTATCATCATCACCATTTGGGGAGGGGTGTATTACTGGGTTAATATAAAAAAATGTGATTTGAAAATATTCTAACTTATTAAAAGCAACAAGTTACTAGTTACTTCACAATATTCATCCTTAGGTTTACAAAGCAAGTGTCTTCACCCCTCTTATCTGTGCAAAGAACAGAGGAATTTCAAACATATCTAAAACAAACAGAATAAGTTGGAAAAGGCAAGTACAGCAATCTGACTCACCTTAACTTTGCAAAAATGCTTATCATTCTACTTATTTAGTCTGAATTGCCTATCTGCTGTGCTTGTGAGCAAGAGTAAAGTTTATAAAAATCCATATTATTCATTACAGAAATTTTTTTCTTGTTTCTTTACACTTCTCTTCCTGACTTCTCCATAGTATTTAAAAGTGACACGATTAAAAATATTTTATGAATCTCTTAGTTGGATTTGGCTTTTAGAAACTGTTGTAAAAAGAGCATTTCAATTCAATTCAAACTGTTTGTGGGAGGCTGTCACCTGCCAGGTACTATGCAGTCTGTTGGAGATAAAGGGATGGATATAAAAGTTCCTTGCACTATGGAACACAGTCTGAAGAGAAAATAGGTATTACTTATTTTTTAATATATTCATTTTTAACAAGCACTTATATAGCTCTTACTATGTGCTGAGTACTATTCTAAGTAATTTGAAAGTATTGGTCGGGCGCGGTGGCTCACACCTGTAATCCCAGCACTTTCGGAGGCTGAGGCGGGCAGATCACGAGGTCCGGAGATCGAGACTATACTGGCTAACACAGTGAAACCCCATCTCTACTAAAAAAAAAAAAATACAAAAAATTAGCCAGGCGTGGTGGTGGGTGCCTGTAGTCCCAGCTACTCAGGAGGCTGAGACAGGAGAATGGTGTGAACCCAGGAGATGGAGCTTGTAGTGAGCCGAGATCATGCCACTGCACTCCAGCCTGGGGACAGAGCGAGACTCCATCTCAAAAAAAAAAAAAAGAAAGTATTAACTCATGTAAGTAATTACGTATGATGAGTGTTTCTAAAGAGGGAAGTGAACATCTTTTATTTAGATTTCACCATAATTTAGTGATAGGAAATGCTAGAAATTTGGCATGTGAGGGTAAGCATATAGCATTTCTTTCTTATTCTATCACATCTTCAGTATGTGAAACTTGAAACAGAGAGAAATTGGATCCTTTATACCAGAAGGGCAATGCTTAGTTGGGTCACGATCTTCTGACTCTTTAGCATGTGTATTGGTCCATTTTCATGCTGCTGATAAGGACATACCTGAGACTGGGCAATTTACAAAAGGTTTAATTGGACTTACAGTTCCACGTAGCTGGGGAAGCCTCAAATCATGGTGGAAGGCAAAAGGCACGTCTCACCTGGTGGCAGACAGGAGAAAAGAGCTTGTGCAGGGGAACTCCTTTTTTTAAAACCATCAGATCTCATGAGACTTATTCACTATCATGGGAACAGCATGGGAAAGACCTTCCTCCATGATTTAGTTACCTCCCACCGGGTCCCTCCCACAACACGTGGGAATTCAAGATGAGATTTGGGTGGGGACACCCAAACCATTATCATTTCGACCCTGGCCCCTCCCAAGTCTCATGTCCTCATATTTCAAAATCAATCATGCCTTCCCAACAGTCCCCCAAAGTCTTAACTCATTTCAGCATTAACTTAAAAGTCCACAGTCCAAATCTCATCTGAGACAAGGCAAGTCCCTTCTGCCTATGAGCCTGTAAAATCAAAAGCAAGTTAATTACTTCCTAGATACAATGTGGGTACTGGCATTGGGTAAATACAGCCATTCCAAATGGGGAGAAATTAGCCAAACAAAGGGGCTCAGGCCCCATGAAAGTCTGAAATCCAGTGGGGCAGTCAAATCTTAAAGCTCCAAAATGATCTCCTTTGACTCCATGTCTCACATGCAGGTCATGCTGATGCAAGAGGTGAGTTCCCATGCTTGGGCAGCTCCACCCCTGTGGCTTTGCAGGGTACAGCCTCCCTCCCCACTGCTTCCACAGGCTGGTGTTGAGTGTCTGTCGCTTTTTCAGGTGCAATGGATCTACCATTCTGGGGTCTGGTGGCCCCCTTCTCACAGCTACACTGGATGGTACCCCAGTAGGTACTCTGTGTGGGGGCTCTGACCCCACATTTCCCTTCTGCACTACCCAAGCAGAGGTTCTCTATGAGGGCCTCTGCAGCAAACATCTGCCTGGGCATCCAGACATTTCCATACGTCTTCTGAAATCTAGGTGGAGGTTCCCAAACCCCAATTCTTGACTTCCATGCACCTGCAGGCTCAACACCACATGGAAGCTGCCAAAGCTTGGGGCTTGCACCCTCTGAAGTCCTGGCCCGAGTTCTACGTTGTCCCCTTCCAGCCATAGCTGGAGCAGCTGGGACACAAGACACCAAGTTCCTAGGCTGCACACAGCACAGGGATGCTAGTCCTGGCCCAGGAAACCACTTTTTCCTCCTAGGCCTCTGGGTCTGTGATGGGAAGGGTTGCCTTGAAGACCTCTGACATGCCCTGGAGACATTTTCCACATTGTCTTGGGGATTAACATTCAGTTCTTCATTACTTATGTAAATTTCTGCAGCTGGCTTGAATTTCTCCTCAGAAAATGGGATTTTCTTTTCTATCGCACTGTCAGGCTGCAAATTTTCTGAACTTTTATGCTCTGCTTCCCTTATAAAACTGAATGCCTTTAACAGTACCCAAGTTACCTCGTGAATGCTTTCCTATTTAGAAATGTTTTCCACGTGATACCCTAAATCATCTCTCTCAAGTTCAAAGTTCCACAAATCTCTAAGGCAAGGGCAAAATGCCACCAGTCTCTTTGCTCAAACATAACAAGAGTCACCTTTGCTCCAGTTCCCAACCAGTTCTTCATTTCCATCTGAGACCACCTCAGCGTGGACATTATTGTCCATATCGCTATCAGCATTTTGGGCAAAACCATTCAACAAACCTCTAGGAAGTTCCAAACTTTCCCACATTTTCCTGTCTTCTTAGCCCTCCAAACTGTTCCAACCTCTGCCTGTTACCCAGTTCCAAAGTCACTTCCACATCTTCGGGTATCTTTTCAGCAGCACCCCACTCTACTGGCACCAACTTAACTGTATTAGTCCGTTTTCATGCTGCTGATAAGGACATACCTGAGACTGGGCAATTTACAAGAGAAAGGTTTAATTGGACTTACAGTCCCACATGGCTAGGAAAGCCTCAAATCATGGTAGAAGGCAAAAGACATGTCTCATATGGTGGCAGACAAAAGAAATGAGCTCGTGCAGGGGAACTCCTTTTTTAAAAAACCATCAGATCTCATGAGACTTATTCACTGTCATGAGAACAGCACGGGAAACACCTTCCCCCATGATTCAGTTACCTCCCACCAGGTCCCTCCCACAACACATGGGAATTCAAGATGAGATTTAGGTGGGGACACAGCAAAACCATATCAAGCAGTTTTGTCCCTATTGGTTCTGGTTAATATAACCCGGTTTTATTCGTATTGACTTGGAGCAGTCTTTTTCTTTTATTCTTCTTCCTTCATCATGATTGTTGTTGCCGCTGACTATTTCCATACTGTTTTTGAGAAAAGTTAATAAATAATACCTCTCTTCAAAATTTGCTTGCTAATCTCTATTTCATAGAGATTGTCTTGCGTATGTTACTTTCGAAATGACAAGTTAAAAGCTAAACTTCAGTTTGAGTAGTCTTAGGAAGAGTTTTCGTTATTTTAAGCTCCAAATGTAATTTTGCCCTTTGAAAGTTCATTGAGATCCCTATTGCTTTTCAAGCAACTTATTTTGGAAACAATGTTATACCCTTAATTGTATAATTTTGTACTATAATATTTCAAAATGCTTTAGAAATTATTCTGCTTTTATGTACATTTTATAAATCAAAATGAATTTTGGGGATTAACCAGAAGTTACTGTAAAGGAAAATCAGTGTGTATGCTGCATGTGAATGCTGCATGTGAATAAAATTCTTACCATGCTTTGCAAAGTCTTTTAACTTTAAAACTTCCCCGAAAAAATGATTTTTTTAGTTTATTTGAGCAAATTTAGGAGGCCCCTAGAATAACATTTTTGTAATAAAATTTTCTTTACTACCTAATGTGTTTGACCTTTGTCTTCTTTTTACAAAAAACAAAACCTATCTCTTGGGTTGCTCACAGTTAACTAGTTCCAGCCTATTGCTTGTCTAGAGTAAGCCACTTTCCCCCTTGGCTTAGTTCACAATCAGTCAGAAATTATCAGTCTGAGCGTCAAGCTAAATTTCAGTTGGTAAAGATTATAATCATACATATGTATTGTCTAGTAAATTTGGCCTTTCAAGGAAAAAAATGCCATATACCAGTCATTTGTGCTGGTATAAATTTTGAAATGTGCCACAAGTGTGCTTTGTTTTTAGGTCCATACTGTGGAAGTATGACTGTTCCCAAAGAACTCTTGTTGAACACAAGTGAAGTAACCGTCCGCTTTGAGAGTGGATCCCACATTTCTGGCCGGGGTTTTTTGCTGACCTATGCGAGCAGCGACCATCCAGGTATAACGGAAGAATCAACACAAATCTCTAAATGTTATCTGTCTAAGAATTCCTCTTGCCACTTATCCCCATCCCTGGACATAATTGTGGACTCAGATGCAGAATTAAGATATGAGGGAGAAGAGGAACATGGTATCTTTGTAAATGGTTAGGTCTGAACTGAATCATATTGCAGCACAGGTGTGTCCAATCTTTTGGCTTCCCTGGGCCACATTAGAAGAAGAATTGTCTTGGGGCCACACATAAAATACACTAACAATAGCTGATGAGCTAAAAAAAATTTGCAAAAAATTTTTATAATTATGTTTTACGAAACTTTAGGAATTTGTGTTGGGCTGCATCCAAGGCCATCCTGGGCTGCATGTGGCCCAAGGGGCATGGGTTGGACAAGCTTATTAGCATGTTAGATTGATCAGTTGACTTATATGGGATAGGATTCATCTCATTTTTCCTAAAAACCTTGGATAACACACTTTTGTGTTCCCCTCCTGACCCTTCGAAGTCTTCACTATTCTCTGGAGCCCTCCCCCATCCTCCTCCCTAGCTCAGGGGCAACGCTTTTCACCAGTGAGCCCCTCCGCAACACACGCCAGTACACCAGCACGGGAGGCATGCACAGTGTGTGTAGGATGAGGAAGTCAGTGTCACACAGTGTAATAACTTTAAAGCTGAAAACTTGTATGGGAGAGAAGGGAAGGGAAACACGAACACTGATGAGAGAGAGAAGCACGGGCTCCTGTCCTGGGCTCTTGTGCTTCAGAGTAATTCTGTGCAGCCCATACCAAATCTGCCTATGGTCATAGAGGTTTCTGCTGTCAGTCCTCTCTGGCAGAAAAGCTCTGGGAGTGAGGTGCGCCATTCATTTTCCTCTTAGCCAATCAGCTCTGACTAATCACAGCAGATGCCTGCATTGCCAGTGTTCACCATATATTGCTCCCAAAGAACTATTACAGTAAGTGTGGAATATTTTGGAAACCATACTATGTTGATCTAAATGCATCAAGGTCCACTGTATCTTAGCCTCTATTGCTGAATATTAGTTTGGTTCTGTAAATTACTCCAGAGAGCACCTTCTTTTTTAAAATGCTTTGTCCTGGTTGATGAAAGCTTATATGCTGTAGGTTTTCTTGGTAAAGATGTGCTTCTCTGTCACCAGATGCCACTGGCTAAATTGTTGAATTAAAATGTTTGTGGGAACCTTCTCTGTGAACTGTGTTGGGCTTTTGAAATTATTTTCTTCCTGCCAGGGGACATTATACACATGGTCTTCATAGGCATATAGTGGATAGCAACTAAAGAGTATTGTTTTTTTCTGTTAACTACAGATTCTGCTATCATTTACTAGGTGATTGTGTTGAAAAACTGTCATTGGTGGCAGAAAAAAGAAACGAAAGGAACTCATTAAATACTGGAGACAGTGATTCTCAGTGTTTATTTTTAAAAGGAAAATTCTGATAACTACATAGTGAATAAATGCTTTTTAAAAACTCTTTTATTTTAAAAGAAAGCTTTGCAGCATGAGTGTCCTAGTTTTTATTCATTCTATTAATTGCAATTATCTTTATTTATGACAGATTTAATAACATGTTTGGAACGAGCTAGCCATTATTTGAAGACAGAATACAGGTAAGTATAGGTATCCTAACTGTGTTGCAGTCGTGTATTGCTGAACATTTTGTTTTCTTTCACGTTAAACCAGATACGTTTGTACTTAAAGCTCTTTTTACCATTCATGTTGTAACTAATGAGGAATATTTGAAATAGTTTGTTATATAGCAGGAAGTCAGCAAACCTTTTCTGTCAAGGGGTAGATAATAAATATTTCAGGTTTTCCAGGCCATACAATCTCTGTTGCATTTATTCATATAATCTCTGTTGCTGTTGTAGCAAAAAAGCAACCATAGACACCATGTATACACTAACAGACATGCTGTGTTTCAATAAAACTGTATTTACCAAAACATCAGTAGGGCGGATTTGGCTCACAGGCCATAGTTTGCTGACCCCTGAGTTCCACTATAGGGCCAATGAATCATTACCGAGTCTAGACTGTATTTTTTTTCCTGGCTGGTATTTGGGAGTGACCTTTAAAATTCTTTCATTTGGGAGGAGGTGCATTTTGTCTTTACCACTAGAGAAAAACCTACTGCAAATAAGATGAAAATTTTCAACCCAGCTTTAGCTGGAAAAACTACTTAGTCACTTTGATGTACATTTGCTCATCTATCAAGTAAAACAGTCTAAAGCAGAATTTCTTAGCCTTGGCACTATTGATATTTTGGTCAGATAATTCTTTATATTGCAGGGCTGTCCTGTGCGTCGTTAGATACTTAGCAGCATCCCTGGCCTCTATGTCCTAGATGTCAGTTGTGATAACCAAGAATGTCTCCAGACATTGCCAAATGTCTCATGGTGGGCAGAATCGCCCCCAGTGGAGAGCCACTAGTCTAGAGATCATTGTCAACAACACTAACAAAAACTATGACTGTTTTTTTTTTTCTCTTTTTATGAAAGAGTGTCTTGCTCTTTTGCCCAGGCTGGAGTGCAGTGGTATAATTATAGCTCACTACAGCCTCAAACTCCAGGGCTCAAAGTATGCTCCTGCCTCAGCCTCCCAAGTAGCTGGGACGACAGGTGTGCACCATCATACCTGGCTAATTTTTAAATTTTTTTAGAAATGGGTGTCTTTCTATATTGTCCAAGCTGATCTCTAACTTCTGGACTCAGCTTCCCAAAGTGCTGGGATTACAAGTGTGAATCATGGCACCCAGCTATGACTCTCTAGAGTGCTTTCCTAGTGCTCGATATAGCTGTCTGCACTTAGCACAGAGTAAGTAGCTCTTGTGACCATTTCAACATGTCTGCAAGGAAGGTTCTGTTACATCCTAAAAACCAAAGTACAAACCAATTAAGACTTGCTGAGGGCTACACACCTCGTAAGTGTAGCCTGGGAGTCAGACTTAAGAGCCTGTGGTCCTATCTCAGACATTTGGACATTCTAATGAATGAGATTATTTTATGTGCAGAAACAACTCTAGTGTTAACTAATATTATGTCTAATAGGGGGAAAAATGAAAATGAGTGATAATTAAATATTGGTTTTAAAGTTACTGTTCATCCAATATACACATATGCCAGTATTATCTATTATAGCTATACCTCTACAGTCCCAGTTGGTGATAGGGCCTCTGGACATCAAATGGTCATTTCCTGTTCTCCTAAAGAAAGGGAATATATCCAAGCTTACAGGGTGGCATTATGGTGCCAGATTATCTCAGCTTTAGCCCAGCCATTTTGTAGTGTTTAGATTAAAGATAAGGCCTGGTGACTGATACAGGTCCACAAGCCCTCATCCATAATTATGAAGTATAGAAAGTTTTGAAAGCCTTTTGTAACTCATTTGGTGGTGATTCTTGATTAATGTGACCTTAAATTCGTTTGACAGCAAAATTGGACTAGATTAACATGTCTTTACATATGTTATTTAATATGATTATTAAGGCATTTGACACAAGTATTTTAATGTTTTTTATTAATGTGTGCAGACCCCACCAGCGTATTACATCATATACATCATTAGAACTGTTTTACTTTTCTAGAATCCAAGAAATTCTGAATTCTGAAATACAGCTGATTCTAAGGGAATTGGCTCTAGGGAATTGTTACCCTGTAATGGGAATTCCCATTATTTTTATTTCTTAATTCCGCGAGTACTGCTGCAATGCAGGGACTCCAAAAGGTCAATGGGAAAAAATTATGGAATATTTATTTGGATAGTTTTGATAATTAGTTGTTACATATATAATTTGCCAAGGCAGCAGGAGGACACTGAGAGGAAATGAAATAAAAACAACTTCTATTCTGGAATCTGTTTGGGCTGGTACACTCTTTTTAAACAAACCAAGTAAACATTATGTAAAGTGGTGTCTATATAGAAGTAAGGGCACATGGCATGCATCTTCAAAGCTGACAACATTTTTATAATACTTTGGCTTCCTTTTTGTGTGTTTTTTATAGATGTTTATAGCTGTCTTCATATCTTGTTGATATGTTGACACTTGAAGGGACTAGAGATGAAGAAACAATCTAAGAGAGATTATATGCAATATCAGGGTCCCACTGCTAGCTAGGTAGTGCTGGAGCCTGTGTCACTCTGCTCCTAACACTGACACCCTTCAGCTGCACCACATACTATGACATGTTTCTGGAAAGTTTCTTGAAAAATGACTGTTAAGTAAATTGAATCCTAATTTTTTTTTTTTTTTTGAGACGGAGTTTTGCTCTTGGTCCCCAGGCTGGAGTACAGTGGCGCAATCTGGTCTCACTGCAAACTCCGCCTCCCAGGTTCAAGTGATTCCCTCCTGCCTCAGCCTCCCAAGCAGCTGGGATTACAGGCGTCTGCCACCACACCGGGCTAATTTTTTTGTATTTTTAGTAGAGATGGGGTTTCACCATGTTGGCCAGTCTGATCTCAAACTCCAGACCTCAGGTTATCCACCCGCCTTGGCCTCCCAAAGTGCTGAGATTACAGGCGTGAGCCACTGTGTCCGGCCTTGGAATCCTAATTTTAAAATATATCCTTTTTTTCTGATTGCAAAAGTATTTCATAACTAATGTAGGCCAGACCATCTAATACGGTAGCCACTAGCCACGGGTACCTAATGAGCACTTGAACTGTGGTGAGTGCAAATTGAGGGGTGTTGTATAAAATGCACCCCAGATTTTGGAAGTTAAATCAAAAAAAGAGAAAATATCTTATTGGTATTTATTTCTGTTTATTACATTTAGAAATGATAAAATTTGAACATGCTGGATTAAATAGAATATATTATTAATTTTGCATATTTCTTTTTACTTTTTAAAAATGTGACTACTCGAATATTTAAATTTGTATATGTGGCTCCCATTATATTTCTATCAGACAGTGCTAATATTATGGCAATATTACAGTATGTATAACACGGAAAGTGAAAGTTCCTCACAATCCTACTCCCAGAGAGAATCTAGGGATATTCTTCTTTGTCTTTTTTATCCATAGAAAACAAAATTGTTACATATTTTAAACATTTCTTATAGAAACAAGATTATACTATATATAATGTTTAGAAATGTTCCTGTTTCTGAAAAATATTTATTGGAAGTCTTAGAATCAAGTAAAGTGCATTAGGGAAGCTCATTGTTTAATAGACTTTATGGTGAATCCTTATATAAAACTAATAATTATTGTATAAAAGTTGCCTTCAGATGAACATTATAGATCAATCTGTATTTTCACAAATCAGGTTTCTAATTTGCCATTAAAGCAAGATATTATATGGAGGGCAGAAAATACTTTAAAAATTTAAGTACAGTTTAATTTTTTTGGTTGTGTAATTTAATAAAATATAAATTATTTATTTTTCTTTTTCCAGCAAATTCTGCCCAGCTGGTTGTAGAGACGTAGCAGGAGACATTTCTGGGAATATGGTAGATGGATATAGAGATGTAAGTAATTGAGGGTAATGGCAGAGAATGAATTAAAAGGAGTAAGTGCTTTACTCTGCCTAAATTAATTACTGAGTAAAGTCAAATGAGATATAAAACTCTAGATAGATGCATGAGTCTCTCTCCTCTGAGAATAAATGAAATAAGTATAAAAACCAAGGTTACCCATGCATTCATTCCTATTAGCATTTCCAGCTAAGCTTACTATAAATGAAATGAAAAAACTTTGCCATCTCAGAGTATTATTCCATCCACTTTTTGTAAGAGGTTATAGATTTGCATCCTTTTTGTTATGGTTTATTTCTTTAACATTCCAACTGGTTCCTGTAATAGAGCAAAGGACATGAATATTCGTATCATAGAATAGTGACATTGTGTCTGGGGCCAGTGAAGCCATCCACCCTGCTCTTATTCGCCTTTCTCTTTGCAAACCAAGTTCTTATGTCCAGTAAGACTACCTGGGTTATGTAGTAATACATTGTTCCTGCATGTTGTATCTCAGATACATAATCCTCCACTTGTTTCTATTTACAGAAATCTAGTATCTGATTTTTTAAAAATTTACATTGCTATTTGAAGTAGTTGGGTTTATAGCCTAGCTTTTGGAAAGTGCCTGAGTTATTAGAAATCTATAGCAAAAACCTATTGTTGTGAAACTGTTCTTAAAGTTATTAACGTGTATTTTTATGCCTGTGGGAAAATAACCTTTATCTACTTGTTCTAGGTGATTGATAAATCCTCTGTGGCATAGGGAAAAAGTTTGACTGTGATTTTCTCTTTTAGCACATTCTGATTCTGGGAACAGCAGATTTTGTTATTTTGCCTTTCGTTCCCCTTTTCTGTTTTTTTATTTACAAGATTGACACTGGATACTCATTTGACCTATAAATTGACTCTTAAAATGTTTTACACTATTTCAGTTTGAAGATTTACTTGGCTCAGGCAATTCTTAAATGACTACAGGGAATTAAGAGAAATAAAAAGTTGACATTTTTTCCCAGCAATAGAAAGTTTTTATTTATCATTTTCCTGTTCTATGCAAGAAATGTAAGAATTATGTACAATAAGAGAAATAGCATAGTTTTTTCTTAATGTAGATATTTATCTTACCTCCTCCTGACAGAGCTATATTTTTTAGCATAACAGGTAAATGGTTTCCTGCATGGTAGATGGGAGTACATGATCCCTAAGTGCTGGCAAACAGGTTTCCTATTTGACCCACTAACTGATTTTGCACTATTTGCTTTTAGAATGATTTTATCTGCAAGGAAATTTTGTGTTTTGAAAGCTACTCTCTTCAAAGAACTCGGATTAGTGCCTTTTTTGTGTATGTCAATGTCATGGATGTATTAGATATTTATTGCTGCATAATAATATTACCATAAACTTAGAGGCTTAAAGTGGCACATATTTATTATCTCATTTTCTGTGGGTTAGGAGACTGGACATGGTTTAGCTGGGTTCTCTGCTTCAGGGTCTTATAAAGGTGCAACAAAGGTGTCAGCTGGGGCTGCAATCTCATTGGAGGCTCAGCTGGGGAAGGATCTGCTTCTAAGCTCATGTGGTGTTGACAGCATTCAGTTACTTGTGTGTTATTGGATTGAGGGCCTCGGTTTCTTCCTGGATTTTGGCTGGAGGCCATCCTCAGTTCTTGCCATGTGGACCTTCCCAACGTGGCCACTTGCATCCTCAAAGCAAACAAGGGAGAGTCTTTGAGCAAAGGGATCTCCTAGCAAGATAGATTACACTCTTATATAATGTTATCATGGGAGTGGTATCCCATCACTTTTGCCGTATTCTTATAGACTTAGAAGAAAATCTCAGCCCCCACCCACACTCAGGGGGATTCAGAGGGATTCCACAAGAGGGGATACAGGGAGCAGGGATCATGGGGGTTATCTTAGAGTCTGCCTCCACAGTGCCTTCATCTTGGGAAATGCGTTCAGTTGTAGCAAGTCTTTTCAGAAGAATCTTTGCAAAACCAAAGCATATCCTATAGGTCAGGATAACAGAATATGTAAAATAAATAACTAGAGGAGCTGTTGAAGAAGGAGGTACCCTGTCTCAGGGAAGAATATGTTGTCTTACAGAGCTATTATAGAAAAGGCATTGGTTTATTCTGTGTTGCTCCAAAAGGCAGAACTGGGATCAGTGGATAAAAGTTACAGGGATGCCAATTTCAGCTGCATATAAGGAATAATTGAACAATGCAAAATGGGATAGGCTGTCTCGAGAAACAGTGATTTCCTAGTCACTGAAAATGTCAGGTGTAGATGTTAAAACCATTTGTCAGGGATAGACTGTCTTTGTGTGGGAAAGGTGCTGTAGAGTGGAGATGGGGGTGGTCTGTCAGGAGGTGTGAGGGGGGAACTTTAAAGTCCTTTTTGAATTTTTGAGATTCTGTAATTCTGTCTCCTACTGACAAATTAAGGCATCCAAATTGGTGTATGTTTCCAATGCCAGTGAAGGAATATGGGCTTCTCTTAAGATCTGCCTCACCTGCCCCCAGAACAGTTTTTCTCTTGGCACCTTCTCCCCAGCCTGCTAACTAAACCATCTGTTTTTAAGCAGAACATATCACTTAATTAATTTGTTTCAGCAATTCTCCTCTCCCCAAAATGTTCAAGAAGTACTGTAAAATAGAGACAGTAAACATGTAGTGCGCTGCAGTTTAGGAGGAGAAGGGGAGAAACTGGGCCTCTTGTACACACCCAGAAAAAGCCAGAAGGAATACATTATAATGGCAAGTGATTATCTCTGGGTAATGACAATATGAGTGATTTTTTTTCATTATTTCCAGCATTTCTATAAAGAATGCACATTTTGTGAAGAAAACATTATTGACATGGTAATTAGGAGGACTGTAACAGCACAGAAATAATTCATATGATGGAAAGGGGAATATATTTGATAATTTAACATTTTGCTATCATTCCACCAACATTTTTAAGCATGTGTTTTATTCTACCTTACTGGTTTTGGTTCATGTTTTATTAAATGCAACCTAAAATGTTTACTTTTTTGTTACACTTCCTTTTAAAACATTGCCAACACTGTTTTAGTACAAGTTGATTTTTCCTAAAGGAAGAGTTAAGAAAATTCTGGGATGATTTGATAGTTGCTTGAAAGTTGTTTAGCCTTAGTTCACACTAATCTGTTTGGCCATCATTTATGGCTTAGTGAACTTCAGAAATGTTTATTGTAGATAATGCCATCCACCTGCAATTGCCTGAGGCATGAAGGTATTCTCTTCAGCTGGCCATTGCATTCCCTTTCCTAAAGAATTATTACATTTACATTATTCTGTTTAAGTATATTTTGTTTAAGATAATTTACTAATTAAAACCATTTGTCAGGGATAGCCGAACCTCTTAGAATCAAGTAAAATGCATTAGGGAAGCTCGTTGTTTTTTGTTTGTTTTTTGAGACAGAGTCTCGTTCTGTCACCCAGGCTGGAGTGCAGTGGTGTGATCTTGGCTCACTGCAAGCTCCACTTCCTGGGTTCACGCCATTCTCCTGCCTCAGCCTCATGAGTAGCTGGGACTACAGACGCCTGCCACCATGCCCGGCTAATTTTTTGTATTTTTAGTAGAGACGGGGTTTCACTGTGTTAGCCAGGATGGTCTCGACCTCCTGACCTTGTATCCACCTGCCTTGGCCTCCCAAAGTGCTGGGATTACAGGTGTGAGCCACTGTGCCCAGCCAGGAAGCTCATTGTTTAATAGACTTTATGGTGAATCCTTATATGAAACAAATAATTATTGTGTAAAAGTTGCCTTCAGATGAACATTGTAGATCAATCTATATTTTCACAAATCAGGTTTCTAATTTGCCGTTAAAGCAAGATATTATACGGAGGACAGAAAGTATTTAAGTACAGTTTAGTATTTTTGGTTGTGTAATTTAATAAAATATAAATTATTTATTTTTCTTTTTCCAGCAAATTCTGCCCAGCTGGTTGTAGAGACGTTCTGCTCTACAGAGCAGAATGTACATAGGCTAGGTACATATGCTAGGTAATATGTACCCATGTACATGGGTTAAGTAATATGGCTTTCCAATATTTACATTTCAGTGAGACTTAGACTTCAAAATAGCTAGAAAATAAAAGTATAAATTGTACCATCTGTTCAAAAGGGAATTTTCAAAAATCAGGTTCAATAAATGTGAATTTTAAAAATCAGTACCAAAAAAGTGACAAATAAACATCAATTTCCTTTAAGTTGGATGGATGAGGGAGTGACTATTTTAAAGAAAATAATCCTGGAAAATGCTGGTAATTTTATCATAATAATATGATAGTGAGACTTGATGGCTAGTCTTTTGGAGATGTATCCTATAGCCTACAATTAATATTAAAAGAAATGGCAAAACCCACAATTACTTTTGCATCAACCTATTATGGAAAGCCATAGCTGCAATTAAATAAAAATTTTATAAAAAAGGTATTCACCATTGAATTCCTTCAATACTGGGTACTGTGAGAAACGAGAATATTTGTTGGCCAATGATGCTGTTAGATCCTGTTGCTCGTTGGCCTGTGAACCTGTCATCTTACAGCCAAGGAGGCCCTGGGACATGCCAAGTCCAGTGAGAGCTCTCAATAGGCAGGGTTCCTAGTATGAAGACCGGGGATCCCAAGGACAGTGGGAATAGCTGCTCAGCAGACCACTGAACTGATCTGGTTTTCATTCTGGGGTTTAGCGAGGGAGACAGGCCTGCATGGGTCCTATAATATAAACGGTGTACTGGGTACCCTTTAGAATCACAAGGTGACAGACCTTCAGAAAAGACACTAGACCAGCAGTCCCGAACCTTTTTGGCAACAGGGACCACTTTTGTGAAAGACAGTTTTTCCACAGACGGGGTGGGGGATGGTTTCAGGATGAAAGTGTTCCACCTCAGATCACCAGGAATTAGATTCTCATAAGGAGCACACAGCCTAGATTCCTCACATGCGCAGTTGTCAGTAGGATTTGCACCCCTGTGAGAATCTAATGCCTTTGCTGATCTGACAAGAGGTAGAGCTCAGGCGGTAATGTGTGCTTGCCCACTCCTCACCTCCTGCTGTGTGGCCCGGTTCCTAACAGGCCACTGACCAGTACCAGTCCACAGCCTGGGGGCTTGGGGACCCATGCACTAGACAACATCCAGTCCAGGCTTGTCATTGTCCAGAGGAATGGGAAGCCAGGTCAAGAGCAGTGGAATGACTTGCATATACTTTGTGGAGTTAGAGGCAAAGCCAGGATGACAAGATAAATTGCTAAATTTAAATTCAGGACTTTTCCTCTTCAACTGGCTCCTCTGTTTTGTTTGGACCCAGGAGTCCAAACTGATGATAAGAAAGCTTTTTAATGAAAGAAAATTCAGGAACAATATACAGAAAATTCAGGAAAGATGAAAAAGCAACCTGCATTCTTATTAAAGAGTACGATCTTTACGATCTTTTTCTCTTCTAATTTTAATTCTTTTTTTCCTCCAAGATTAGGGAGGGTAGTATTTGCATCTGTTTCAGTATTCTCATTTTTTTTCTTTCTGTGGTGAAATCTTTCCTCTCTTTTGTTAGGATAGCAGTTATTGCAAAACTGACTCACTTTGCCAAACCTAATCTAGTTTGGGAAATATGAACTCTCTAAATTGAATATCACAAAATTCTCAACTTTATTGCAACTATATTGCAAAATATGATTTGTCTCATTAGTCCTTATACTGTTGTAACTTAAGTCTAAGGGAACTTTTCCATTGTAAATAAGGTAAGCAGCATTGTCATTAACAAAAAGAGAAATTCTTGAGTCCAGTTACTGAGATAAATTTCATGAGCTGCCTTTCTATGTTGGCATTAATAGTCATGAAGAAGTGGAGCATAGCTAAGGTTTATTTAGGAAATTATGTTTCTTATCCCCTCACTCCTGGGTCTGAGTGCCTTAACACTCTTCCACAGAGGTCTACACTTGGGGACCCACAGGCCTGGGCACCCCATAGAAAGTTCTAGTCGTTTCTGTAGCGCCACTTCCTGACAGAGCCGATTCCAATCCCACAACCGCCTGTAAATCAGAGCCAGTCTGCTGTTCCTGCTGCATCTGTCAGAACAGCCAGCAGCCTGCTGAGACCTCACACTGAACATCGCAGGGCTGAGCTGGCACTGGCTTTTTGATGCCTCCTGAGGGGATTCAGGAAGTGAGATGGAGGCTGTCAGCCCTGAGTTGCTCATCATCCCTCTAGGAACTTCGTTAAGCTTTCTGTTCCATTTAATGTTCTGTGGCTGTCATTACCATTGTGGTTTTGGTACCTTGATAAATCTCTAATTTAAAAATGAACATGTGGAATTGAAAGTTCAGCTTCTTAAATGATAACTTGGCATGTGTGTCTAATAGCCTAAGTATAAGAAACTGGATCTGTTATCGATTTCTGCTTAACAAGCCACTCCAAAACTTAGTGGCTTAAAGTAGCAGCCATTTTATTTACTGATGAGTTTGAGGGTGAGCAATTTGCCTCCACCCACACTGGATTGGATTAGTAAGCTCCCTTAGCCTGGAATCACTCTTGTGGCTGCCATCATATGGCAGGTTAACTGGGGCTCAAGAGTCTAAGGTGGCTTCACTCACATGTGTAGCAGTTAGCTAGGCCCTGTTATCTGCAGCAGAACAAAGCAAGTCACATGGTCCAGAGTCAGTGAGGGAGGTGACAACTCCAGGGCATGGCCATTGGAAGGCTTTATTCATTGGGGCCACTACTATAAATTACCACAGAAACAAAATAGAAAACTCCAACTATATTTTAACTGTGTTCTTTTAAGTTCTGCATAATGATGTTGCTGTGTTTCAGACCTCTTTATTGTGCAAAGCTGCCATCCATGCAGGAATAATTGCTGATGAACTAGGTGGCCAGATCAGTGTGCTTCAGCGCAAAGGGATCAGTCGATATGAAGGGATTCTGGCCAATGGTGTTCTTTCGAGGGAGTAAGTATTTTTTTTCAGTATCGTTTGTTCTGAGTAGAAGGTAACCCTGAAGGATAATTAACCAGCTCACAACTTTGAAAAGACAGCAGGGATGTGATAGCAAGGGTTTGTCAACTGGAAAAATATGCATGAGTGCTTAGAGCAGCATTTCTGGTCTCTGCATGGATGATAAATGTAGCAATCAGAAAGCTCACTGGTTATGCTGACATGTAAATTAAAATGGCACACTCTGAAGCCCTGGGGCAGAGGAGTGTTTTTACTCTCAGGTGCTTTTGTGGGAGAAAATAAAGGCTTAATCCTTTTTGGGTTTTTACAGCTTCTATAAGTTACTGGTTGTCTCCAATGTTATCATCATCTGAAACCCTTACAGAACCACTGAGCTCCCTAGAACACTCCTAGAGACAGTTGTTTAGTGATGAGTTTGGGAAGTGAAGAAAGATGGCCTTTGTTAACACTGTTTAAAAAGATGGCCTTTGTTAACGTTATATTCTTCGTTTGTTTTTATCCTGTGCTCTTTTAGCTTCATGAGAAAAAAAATGTGTTAAGTGCTTTAAATGGTTCAACTTAATCTTTTCATATTTTCAGATTTCCTCAGCCATTAGAAGGTGTAAAACTAGAGCTGTGTAGAACTCAGTGTCAGCCTACCCTGTGGTCCAGACGTCCACACATATAAACAGGCAGTTCAGAATGGCCAAGTGGGAGACACTCCTGGAGTGGAAACCTAGTGAGAGAAAAGTGCTCCTTGAGCCACTGTATTTCTCTCTCTCATTCTCTCCTTCTGCCTTCTGCAACTGTTTTTTGGACAGGTTTTCATATGGCCTGGGTTCCAAGAATAAGGCACAAGACAGAGGTTTTAGGCGTTTTGGGATCCAGAAGTGGGGGAAAAAATGTCAGGACCTATATATTCTATCACTCATTAATCTGTATGACATTCTCCCCCTGCCCTTGCTATTTTGTCCTAGCCCCCTCTTGCATCAGAAGGAACATGGTCGTATTTTGCTGTTCCATTTTCACAATGGATGATGGGCCATCTTATCTTGGATAGGTTCTCAAGTTAGTCGGCATAGATATGGTGACTCTGATGTTATTTTGATAATTGTTTAGTAGTATTTTCCTTCCCCCTCCTACTTTTTATTTAAGTGTATTTTAGTTAGCAATGTCATAGGTCAAATAGGTATCCTGACCACAAGTTATAACATTGCTTTTATTGGAAAATGTGTCTTAAGTTCTGAAGAACCGACTTACGAACTCACATATAAACTTTGGGACTAACACCCATTTTATGATTGAGGTTGTTGGCCCATGTTCATAGGCAGTGGCATTTAGAAGCAGTAACTGAAGTTAAGGGAGATTACAGGGTTAGAGTCAAGACTGAGGAGCAATGTTAGAGAGGGGTGGTGGTGGCCATCAGCACACCATGCTCACGGCCAGGAGGCTGGCTGGTGGGTGTCTGTGGAGAAAAGGCAGAGCCTCTCACTGGCAATTCTGAGTTCAGGGGTCGGGGTGAGAGTAACTAGAGAAGATGTTCCAACATAACTCTTTCACAAGCAATGCAAGTAGTACTGTACGTAATCCACAAAAGACTTCCATCCACCAAGGACAGCAGTGCATGCCGTGCACTTGGACATGCAGGCTTACCTCATGATATTTGTGTTCTCTGCCTACCATAACCCTCCCATTTACTTTCCCCTTCTGGATAGATTTTTAGCTATGAGAGGACACAAAGTATTCTTTTCATATTGCCTGAACATTCAAAGACAAATTAGTCTCTAAATTTGTGCCAAGGTTTAAGATCCAAAGGTTTAGTAACAGTATGCTATTAGAAATTAAAATCTTCACTCAATAAAATTATACATATATACACACACATATATATAACATTTTTCACATAAATATTTGCCACATACTTTTCAGAACATTAAATTTTATTTTAAAGTTTACATCCTGATTTATAGTAAAAGTGATCACTTATGCACAGTAAACCTTTAAATGCCAACTTGAACTTGACTTTTGAGAATGTATTCCTTTTTATGTTTTTTGATGGTTTCTTCTGTTGATACGAGGGTGCTACTTCAGGAAGATAACAGGCTCTAGCCTGAATTTGTCAGGTGCTACCACCTCCAAACAGGGACAAAGAACTTCCCTTTGGCTCTCAATCTGTTTTTTGGAATCGTTTGTCTGTATTTGTATATCTTTGAATGCCCCTTTTGTAGGAAAACAGGATAACAAAAAGTTTAACTTGGATTTTATCTTACTTTTGAACAAACATTATTAAAACTATTTAATAAATTAGACTTTACGTTCTCAGTTAACTTCTGCTACATCAACTGGACTTAATACATACATATATAATATATTTTATATAATTTGAAAAGTATATATTATATATTTTATATAATTTGACGTTAAACTTCCATGCAAAAAGTAGAGTACACAAATGTAAACCATTAGTGAATTAGAAAGGGTTTTGCTTCATATTCCATATAATTATTTGTACTAATTGTCTCATTTTTATTTTGGGGGGAGTAGATAGAAAGTTCAGAATTATATCAAGATCTCTTATTTCTAGATCTGTGATTTTGCACTGAGCAAATAGTTAACTGTATGTTCACACAGCCTCTTCCACTCATTTAGATTTGAAATCTTCAGGGAGCAGTTGTTTTCATCTGTGTTGTTTTACTCCTGGGGAAACACTGTACATGCGGTCATTGAACTTATGTTCCCACACATGATTGTTTGGCATTCAGGAAAAACCAGAGAAGGAAGTATTGCAGCTGAGGAAGAAGGAGTCCCTAAAGTAAATATCCAGGGGTCTTCTGGGATTCATCTCCGGTCAGGTCATTTCCTTGATTTGAAGAGACCAGAATGGTATCAGGAAGAGAGACTGACCTCATACAGAGGACGATGGTGCTAACCATCAGAAGTGAAAACCTTCTTTCTGTTTCCATCAGATTAATCTTGATTGCTTCTGTAGCCCTCTGGGAAGCCTCCTTATTCCTGTAATCTGATTGAATTCATTCACTCTAATGTGTGAATGCTTCAGAACCCTAACCTCCCTAGGGTGTTTTTAGTTTTAAAAGAGTAGGCTTATTAACCTATAGAATTCTTTAAGTGGTCTGTATTTAATTCGTTCAATGGAATGAAATGGAAAAACATTTTCCAGTTGATAACGGAGGAAAGCCAGGCAGAGAGCTGTTAGAAGTAGAGCTTTTCCTGGTTTCTTCTCAGGATTAACTCCAAAGGTATCCTTTCCATACTTTTTGGTCAACAACAAAATTAATGTTTCATGGCAAGTGAGCTTAGTTTCTTAGGGTCGCCGCAGCATTATTTAGGCTTATTTGAGCCACATTTCAAATGTAACAGCGTAGGAACGTTAGAGAAAATGGAAAAAGAGACAAAAGAGAGGCTCCACATAAATCTTAATACAATTTTAATATGATTAGCGCCTTTCTTTAAGTGTCAGGAGAGTTCTCATCCAAGCTTTTTTGCTAACTGTGAACTTAGGCAAGTCCCAGGACCCAAGTGGGTCTGAGTTTTCTCATGTAAGTAATGATTGGTGCCTGCATTATATTCAGTGCAGAGATTATAGAAGAACCTAGATGTGGAATACCAGGGTTTATGGAGTCTGCCAAGCATAGACAATGTGAAAGAGAAAATCTATTCTAGAGAGTTTTACTACCCATTACTTCTAAAAAGAGCTTTTGATGGGAAGGTACTTAGACTCTTGGCCAGAGTACTTTGGGGTTCTTTGTGGATTTCATGTTTTAGTACTCTCTGTGTCCATTATTCCCATCTATAATTCAGAATTAAACATTTAAAATAATAAGCAGCACTCTGAGATTGTAAAATAGTTGTAAAAAGTTGGACACAACAGGGGCATCTACCTTTTGGTGTTTACCTCTAGTATCTAATACTGTGCACATAAAGCTAATGTTGAGGCCCCCAGATTTTCCATTCGTTCTCTGTATTTTTCATACCACTGACTTTGTGAGGGATTATTTTAAAGGTTGATCTGGTCTTCAAAGGTAGATAAGGACATTCCTGTGGCCTTAGGAATGTCTTCTGCACTGAAGGAGACAACTGCAGAATGAGGCTGATGCAATCATTTCTCCTGTGATAGTGATAGAAGCGGCAGTAAGGCCAGCTCACTGACATGCTGTGTGTTTTCTCCAGCTGTACCTTGTCATCCAGAAGCAGGAGCTGGTTCAAGACTTGGTGCTGGTTGCTACAGTAGGTAGGAGTGTGGCCGTGGAGAGAGAGACAGGGCAGAGACTGTCCCCAGAGTAACACTGCTGAAACATCCTCAGTGAGAGTCACGAGATCTGTGGGGAAGGCAGATGGAAATGAGTGGGACACTTTAAGGTGACTGCTGAAACAAAGGGAGATTTCAGGGCAGTAATCCTTTCTGTCTTCATCATCTTGCAATAATTAATTGAGATGTAAGGTTATTCCTGAGGCTGTATATCTACACATTCCTTTCCAATAAATTCAGCATGGTGGAAATAGCACAGGATTCTGATTCAAAAGCAGCATCTCAGAGTCCTAGCCCCTTTCCTAGCCCCTTGTCACTTATATGAATTTAGGAAAGTTGCTTACCTTCCGTGGGCCTAAGTTTCCTGTTCTATAAAATACCAGTGATGAAGATAATAGCAGTAGGTTTGCAGGGGTGTTGTGAGGATCATGTAAGGAAGCACAGGTGGGAAAGTTCTGTGAGCCCTGGGATGTAGCTATATTAGTCACTAAGATGTAGGTGAGCAACTTACCTTCTCATGTTTGTCTTTATTGTTTCAGTGGTTCCCTGTCAGACAAGCGATTTCTGTTTACCTCCAATGGTAAGGATCATGCTTTCCTTAAGAATTTGATATTTTCGGTGGCTCACGCCTATAATCCCAGCACTTTGGGAGGCCGAGGCAGGCGGATCATGAGGTCAGGAGATCGAGACCATCCTGGCTAACACAGTGAAACCCCGTCTCTACTAAAAATACAAAAAATTAGCCGGGCCTGGTGGGGGGCGCCTGTAGTCCCAGCTTCTCGGGAGGCTGAGGCAGGAGAATGGCGTGAACCCGGGAGGCGGAGCTTGCAGTGAGCTGAGATTGCGCCACTGCACTCCAGCCTGGGTAACAGAGCGAGACTCCATCTCAAAAAAAAAAAAAAGAATTTGATATTTTAAAAGTCTTCAGTAGTAGTTTATTCCTCCATACCCTTCAGATTATGTAGTTTAAAAGGTTGTTTTTTTTTTTTTTCCTTTTTTCTCAGGTTACATAGCACCTTTTTTTTTTTTTTTTTTTTTTTTTTTTAAGGAGGCAGAGTCTCATTATGTTGCCCAGGCTGATCTCAAACTCCTGGGCTTAAGCGATCCTCTTACTTCAGCCACCCTCACCAAATCTTCTTGACTTAACCATCCACAGGACAATAAGCCTAATTAACATTAAGCAGAAAATATGTTTCTTTATAATCTAAACTCTCAAACTTTTGCCAAAAAGAATAAAAAGTGAAATATTTATTTTAAAATAAATCCCTTTATCTTAGATTTTAAGAGAAAAAGCTTTCAAATATTGCAATTGGTTTGTTATTATTTTGAATAAAGTTACTGAAAATGAGTATATAAAATAAAGGCTTTTGAGCTTCTCCATCATGGAATGTATTCTATGTAAATATTCTCCCTTAGCATAAACCGTTTCAAGGAAAACACTACAAATATTTCTTCTTTGCCTTTATTGCTGCCTTCACATTGGTATATTGGGCATGGTATAGTTAAGGTCCTTTGGATGAATATTGGGTACAACTTACTGATGTTCAGACGACTTAGACACATCTGCTTTTCAAGTATGTGGAAAAAATGGGGTTCCCATCTGATTCTAAATCTTTTAAAGTGAGAAGGAACACATCATTTTAAACCTTTAACACAGATTGCATTTTGTTGAAATCAGGATGAATATAGAAGGTTAGAAAATAAAATCTACAGTGGGGACGAAGAGGTGTCACTTATAAAGGATGTGACTTGGAGGTCTATTAAAAAGAAAAGCAATAACAGTTTCAAGGCATGGTAGTACAAATGAGTGAAATGCAAGTCTGGACCGTTTAAAAGCTGGTAATTAAACACTTTATTCCATATCAGAATAAAAGTCAACTAGTTGAATATTTCTAGGTGAGATGTGGTACTACTTTTTTTTTTGCTGTTATTTTATGTCTGTATCTAAAATATCTTACTGCACTCTTTTTTCAGGTTGCAGCAGATCCTTGAGTTTTGAACCTGACGGGCAAATCAGAGCTTCTTCCTCATGGCAGTCGGTCAATGAGAGTGGAGACCAAGTTCACTGGTCTCCTGGCCAAGCCCGACTTCAGGACCAAGGCCCATCATGGGCTTCGGGCGACAGTAGCAACAACCACAAACCACGAGAGTGGCTGGAGATCGATTTGGGGGAGAAAAAGAAAATAACAGGTGCAGAAAATAACACAAGTGCCAAGTGCAGGAGTAGTTTCATGACTGTAAATGACTCGTAGTTGAAAATACGCTTATTGTTTACATAGGTGCTTCTCTACCTACCTCCAAGTTCTTGAAATATTTGAAAATGTAACAAATCTTTACATTCTTTCTGTGAAAAGAATCTGTATGCAAGTTGTAAATATGGATATATGGATTAGAGAGATAATTCTTCAATGGTGAAATCTTTATATGGTGTATTGTCAGTGTGAAAACATTAATCTGTGAAGAGATTTTTAAATGCAACTAATATAAGTTGGCCTGTGAGATGATCTGAGGTTTCAAATGAGGGAGAAAAAAATGAAACTTGAAATTATAATAGATGTTATATTTAACAAACTTTTAAAAATAGCCTGTAAATATTATTTTCTTACAAGGAATTAGGACCACAGGATCTACACAGTCGAACTTCAACTTTTATGTTAAGAGTTTTGTGATGAACTTCAAAAACAATAATTCTAAGTGGAAGACCTATAAAGGAATTGTGAATAATGAAGAAAAGGTAAGAGGTAACCCTAGAGGCAAGAGAACTGAGTAGGAGAACAGGCCTCTATATATTTTCATCAATGTGTTTACATTAAATATCTCATTAATAAAAGACAGTGAGGCCAAGCATGGTGGTTCATGCCTGTAATCCCCAAGCTTTGGGAAGCCAAGGCAGGAGGATCATTTGAGACCATCCTGGGCAACATAGCAAGACCCCACCACTACAAAAAAAAATTTTTAATTACCCAAATGTGGTGGTGCACACTTGTAGTCCTAGATACTTGGAAGGCTGAGGCAGGAAGATCACTTGAGCCCAGGAGTTCAAGGTTACAGTGAATTATGGTTGTGCTATTGTACTACAGCCTGGGCAACAGAGTAAAATCCTGTCTCTAAAATAAAATAAAACTTTTAAAAAGATGATGATGGGCTGGTCGCGCTGGCTCACGCATATAATCTCAGCACTTTGGGAGGCTAAGGCAGGCGGATCACCCGAGGTCAGGAGTTCAAGACCAGCCTGGCCAACATAGTGAAACCCCATCTCTACTAAAAATACAAAAATTAGCCAGGCGTGGTGGCTGGTGCCTATAATCCCAGCTACTTGGGAGGCTGAGGCAGGAGAATCATTTGAACCTGGGAGGCGGAGGTTGTAGTGAGCCGAGATTGCACCATTGCACTCCAGCCTGGGCGACAAGAGCGAGATTCCATCTCAAAAAAAAGAAAAAGAAAAAAAGAAAGATGGGGCTTTCTTGGCATCCAAATCCAAGAATAAGAAATGTGTCAATAAAAACCTTGAGAGATCTTTGTGATTTAATTCTTTTCTACTTCAGGAATGAAATACTTGTGATTTTCTTGGGAAGTGAAAATTGGCCATTTAAAATGGCTGCTTCAGTATAAGTATGGTAGATGTTTGAGTTGGACATTTGTCTTGGGATCCTGTTAGTGACAATGAGAATTCGGAAGGAAATGGCAAAAGTGAGAGAGCTGAAGCCTTGTGCTCTTGAGGTTGCTTGTCTATAGCACCAGTTGAATGTAGGAATATTAAGGTCAAATAATACAACAAGGCAATTTTAGCTTCTTTATCCAAAATGAAATTTAAATCAGTAAACAGTTGAGCAGCACCACCTTAGTTAGATAAATTGGCCCTTGTTTGCAAAGCCTCGTATCTTCAATATCAAGAGTGTCTAGAAAAATGCAACCGACATAGAATCCTTGCCTTGGTTTCATATAACCAGGTATAAGTGGGATGATAAACACCTAAAAACTCACTAATAGAATCTTAAGGTAAACATAATTTCCTTCTATAGGTGTTTCAGGGTAACTCTAACTTTCGGGACCCAGTGCAAAACAATTTCATCCCTCCCATCGTGGCCAGATATGTGCGGGTTGTCCCCCAGACATGGCACCAGAGGATAGCCTTGAAGGTGGAGCTCATTGGTTGCCAGATTACACAAGGTAGGGCTCAGGGCAAGCCAGTGAGTTACTCAAGTTTGGTCATATTTTTTTTCGCCTATCATTGTTACTCATGTGGTTTTCCCGACATCCCTCCTCTCTCAGGTAATGATTCATTGGTGTGGCGCAAGACAAGTCAAAGCACCAGTGTTTCAACTAAGAAAGAAGATGAGACAATCACAAGGCCCATCCCCTCGGAAGAAACATCCACAGGTAGAGCCGTGATTGTCTGTGGTTTCATAAGGAGCATAACTGGTAACCCACCCAATATCAGTAACTTCAACAAAATTTCTTTTTCTCTGTCATATAAACATTGGAGGTGGATGATCCAGTGGTATTGGCACATATGTAAAATGATGTATGTTTACAGCTTTTCATTGCAGTATTATAAATAGAAAAAGATTAGGAATGAACTTATGTGCCCTTCAAACACTAGGTACATATTTTGTGGAAAAATAAAACATTAGCACATCCATGCAGTGGAACACTCTGCAGCCATACAAAAAAAAAATGGAAATATAGAAATTGGTAATATAGAAAGCTGTCTGAGATATAGTGGCAACTTAAAAAAAATAAGCAAAATATAGAACTATCTAAGTAGCACGCCACCCTTTCTGCAAAAAGGAGAAACAAAGAATAAATATTCATTCCAGTATCTCTAGAAAAATTTCAAGAAAACATAATGCGGCTTTCTGTGAAGGAGGAACAGAGGTAGGAGGGACACATTCCATTCCATACTTTTGTATACGGTTTGCATTTTGAACATATAAGTATATAATCTATTCAAATAACATTAAAAGTACATTTTTTCAGAATATAAAATAATTTGCATATCAATTTTATAAGAATTTGGAAAGATTAGAAAAACACAAATAAGAAAACAAAAATTAGTCATAAATCAGTATCCGTAGATAATCACCAAATCTCACTGTTTCTAGTCAACTATATTTATGTTTCTAACTTTAAGACAAAAATGGTAGCATATCATATTATTCTGTTCTGTAGCATATATTTTTCATTTAACATTGTATTATGAGCATTTTCCAATGTTATTGGAAGGTTGAAAACCCCAATTATTAATGTCTTTATAGTATTTTTTCACATGGATAAACCATTATTTACTTGACCATTCCCCTGCTGTTGGATGCTTTAAGTTATTTGATTTTCCCCAAATTTTCACTCTTAAAAATAACACCGCTACCGGGCACATTGGCTCATGCCTGTAATCCTAGCACTTTGGGAGGCCGAGGCGGGCGGATTGCCTGAGCTCAGGAGTCCGAGACCAGCCCGGGCAACATGGTGAAACCCCGTCTCTAATAAAATACAAAAAATTAGCTGGGCGTGGCAGCATGCGCCTGTAGTCCCAGCTACTCGGGAGGCTGAGGCAGGAGAATTGCTTGAACCCAGAAGGCGAAGGTTGCCCAAGCCGAGATCACACCACTGCACTCCAGCCTGGGTGACAGAGCGAGACTCCATCTCTTAAAAAAAAAAAAAAAGAAAAAGAAGTAATAATAACACTTCTGTTACTTATACACAAATTTGGTTTTCATCTAAATCCCTTTTCCCCTTCTTCATGAATTGCATTTTTCCACTCTTAAGCATCCCTTTATTTTCTTCCCAGGGATCACAGAAGAGAAAGATGAAGAGCAAATATTTTTCCTTTACTTTGTGTATTTTCTACAAACTTGGGGCCTGCCTTGGTGGCTGTCAAAGTGTCCTTTTTTTAGAGCAGAAAGAGTTGCAGGAAAACATGATGTGGTGTTTCATGCAACATAGTGGAAATGCAGTTTTAGGTCATCAGGCTGCACTTCCTCTCAGTCCGCAGCCCCAGAGCTCTGTAACGAGGATCCCAGTTTTCCAGACTATTGTTATGGTACAGGTCCAAACCCGCCTGCCATCTGGGGAAATGTGTTGCTTGAGCCAAAGTAGGAGCTCCACACTGTGCTTAAATCATTTACCTGTCTAAATAGTTCTCACCTGAGGGGTGGGGGAGGGGTTAAACTCTCCCCTCATTTCAGATTTTTGGAGTTTAATATGGGCCAAGCAACAAGCCCAGTGTGCCTGTTAGTCCCTGAGGAACATTGGAAACTGTCTCTGGGGGGCTGGGGGAGAAATTTTACTTTCCCAAACTTTAGCCAGGATTTTGAATCCTTTCTTTTTGCTTTCCAATATCAGTAAATGCCTAACATGTATTCATTTTCCCCCTATATTAAATGCTTAAAGACTTTTCAATTCCATGTTCAGTTTTAAATCATGAAAAGTGGTTGTTGGTCATTTATGTTGTAACGTGATGGCTTTCCGTCTTCTTTAGGAATAAACATTACAACGGTGGCTATTCCATTGGTGCTCCTTGTTGTCCTGGTGTTTGCTGGAATGGGGATCTTTGCAGCCTTTAGAAAGTATGGTGACTTTACATGTTTAAATTTCTTCTCTAATTATGCGAACAATAAAAAACCAAAAAGTTTATTCTTCAGAAATGCATATGTACAAAAGCAGCATGGCTTCTTTCAAAATAAAATGTTAACTTATATTTTACAAACAAGTTAGATAAAAGTAGAAATGATCGAGTATTACTTTATTAATCTTTTTTTATAGACAGGGTCTCCCTGTGTCTCCCAGGCTGGAGTGCAGTGGTGAGATTGCTCAAACTCCTGGGCTCAAGCAAACCCCCTGCCTCAACCTCCTGAGTAGTTAGGATTACAAGCATGTGCCACCATGCCCAGCTAATTTTTTTATGTTTTGTAGAGATGGGATCTTGCTTTCTCACCCAGGCTGGTCTCAAACTTCTGGTCTCATTTGATCCTCCCAAAGCACTGGGATTATAGGCATGAGCCACCGCACCCCACCATGTATTACTTTATAAGCAGTTCTTGTCATTTAGAGACCTTTGGTAAAGACTTAACCTTTGAGTATTGTTGAAGTATCCTGAAATTGATATATTGCTTTAGAAGTATCTGTGCTTCTCCTCCCTGAAGAGTAAAAGGAATATTAAATAGGCTGCTTGGGGTATCACCAAGCTGCCCCGTAACTCAGCCTCCCCAAGCCTGTTTCCTTATGTATAAAATATAGTTTACCCAGATGAATTCTGAATCTCTTCCAGAACCCTGAGATCCATGTTTATTTTGACAAATGTTAGATGTTGGATCTAAACAAAAAATGGAAAGTATTCTGAAGTTTTCTCTTCTTATATTTTAAGCAACTTCAGAATCTATAATGTGTATATTAGTACAAATAGAATGAAGAATAGTTTCTGCCATCATGAGAGAAGGTACAAAAGTCTCTGGTTCAGGTAGATATTCATAAGTTAAAGCATGCCTTAGTGTAATGTGCTTGTATGAAATGCTTCTAAAGACACCCACAGTTTTGGACTGGAGTATAGTAGAGATGAAGTGAGACCATGTGGTCATGAGGAATTGCTTCAGGATGACTGCATGAGCTAGTGATAAACTTAATAAGGCACTGATTTCTAATATGCAAAATAAGATTAGTATATATTCTTCTAGTGAAATCTTGTGACCTTTCTTATAAATGAGATAAATTTATAGATAATTCTACATATTTGTATGATTTTCTAAAGCACATGGCAGCTGCCATCTCATTTAATTCTCACATCAACCCTATGAGGTAAGTACTATTATGATCCTTATGTTATATAGGGAGAGAGAGGCAGATACATTGGCTTATAAATATTCAGTAGGACTTTTTGTCTTGATAGGAAGAAGAAGAAAGGAAGTCCGTATGGATCAGCAGAGGCTCAGAAAACAGGTTGGTTGAAAACTCTATCTACAATTTTATCTGTCTTTGAGGAAGGGACAGGATCTGCTGATTGAAAGCATAAGGAGGCCAGTGGCCCACATTTATTTGGTTAAAAGACATAAGCCCTGTAGCCTTTAAAGTAGCATATCTATAAGGAAGAAATTTATTGTGTTCTGTCTCTTTATTTTAATGGCCACTTTACTTTTGTTCAATGTCATCCCCTATCATTTGTCAACATCCTTTTTTCTTGGCCACTGGAGTTTAGGCCACGACACTGTCTGCCATCAAGGAGGTATGACAAAAGCCTTATCAGTGAACTGAAGTAGGCCCGTGTTGTTAGCATCTGCAGGCCTGTGCTGTACTTTCCACCCTGAGAAAGTGAGAAAAAGACCAGGCAGGGCTGGTGTGCAGGTTTCAGATAATCCTGCACACCAGCCCCGTCTGGTCTTTTTCTCACTTTCCCAGACACAGGTGCCCAAGCAATGAGTTAGCCATGGTCCAGAGAGAGAGGGCAGTGGGGCAGGACCCCTGAGAAAGCTCAGGGACCATTTGAGACTCCACCTCCCCAGGGTCTAAACACCAGCTGCAGTGTCTCCTCTGCCTCACAGATGCCATGCCAGTGCAGATTGTCGGAGACCATACCCAGATGATCTCACAAAGGGAGAATCTGGGACCTGATGAGGGCAAAATACCTTTTAAAGGCACAGCGGAAAGCATGGTTAGAGTAGTGTTTGCTGTTGTGGTTAATGACCTTGGCATGCTGTTCTTAGCACACACACCTGAGGAGGACATTGATCACTGTCAGCTGTCAGGAGGCAGCCTGACCTCTGACTCATCAAGGAACATGTTCTGGAGGACGCGCATTACATTTCTGACATATTCATTTGGTTTATGTTACCTTTATTCCAGACTGTTGGAAGCAGATTAAATATCCCTTTGCCAGACATCAGTCAGCTGAGTTTACCATCAGCTATGATAATGAGAAGGAGATGACACAAAAGTTAGATCTCATCACAAGTGATATGGCAGGTAAGTGTCATATTTCTAGGACTGTGCTATTAGATTGGAGGTGCTGCTTGTGGGGGAGGGAGACAGGAGAGAAATAAGGCAAAATCCTTTTCTATTTAGATAGGGTCCAGTAAATCTGAAATGTGTTTTTTCTGCATTCTGCACAGAATTACAAACTGACACTGAGATATTACTTAAAAGCCCTATTCAGCCAGTCTTTTCACCTGCAGGGGATATAGTGACATCCATAGTGATAGCCCTGATGTACTACTTGTATCTGGAAGCCCTGAATCTATTTTTGTTACCAAAGCTTTGATTAAGGCACTGGTACAGAGGGGCTGAAAGGAGGAATTAAATACAGTTCCTGCCCTGAGGAAGGTGAGATAGGAAATAAAGGAACTCTCTCAGTATGAGAAGGGCCTCAGTGTCCCTGACAAGCCACATCAAGAGTCGAGCTTCCCAAACCATCTATGGGGAAATGCTTTTTGTTTCTTTTTTTAAAATTTCTACTCCATCATGAATGAATACACTGTAAAATGCAATATAAAATACTAGTAATAAGGAAATTTTAAAGATACAAAATACAAAGCTCTAATTTTTTATTATTAGATTCAACAGACATAAAATTAAGAGTAATAAAGAGTAACTAAGAGTAGTTTCTTGACACTTAGTCTCAATTTCTGCACCTGTCTCTATGGCACTGCTAAAAACAGCTCTCAGATACATAGGACTCTGTGGGGCATGCTCTGAGTAGCACTGCGCTCTGGCTTCTCCCTCCTCACGTGCAGCCTGAGGACCTGCAGTATAGGCATCACCTGGGGGCTTGTTAGAAAGGGAGGCCATAGAACTAGAAGCTCCCAGGTGACGCCTGTGCACATCAGTGACTGGGAGTTGTCAGCCTAAGGGTTGGTTGAGTCACTTTGTGGACAAGGAGAGCATCCTCTGCAACCAAAATCCATCCTCTTGTTCCTTGGAAGTGACATGAAGGGAGAACCTAATTTCTGTTGTCTTATGCCTTTCATTCTCCTTCAGCTTCTAATTCAGTCTCTCCTCCCTCCTCCCTGAATGATCCTCAGGCTCCTTAAATGTGCAATGACCCGGGTTCTGTCTCACCCCCACTCACCACAGTCTCTCCCCTAAACAGTCCCACACCCTCCCCAACTTCCAGCAGTGCCCTTCCCTGCATGTTTGTCCATGCTGCTTCTCACACCCAGACTTCCCTCTCAGTCCCCAGTCCATAATTCTCAGCAGCCTGCTGGACACCTCCACCTGCAGATGTCACCCGTTCCTCAGCAACCACAATCGAATCCATTGTTCCTAACCCTCACCACAGATGCTCTGTGCATTCCTTGTCTAATGGCTTCTCGACTGCACATCCCAGCCTCAAAGAGTCCTTGCCTCCCGGCTTTCCTCACACCCCACCTCTCATTGGTAACAAATTCCTGATTCCTGTCCCAAAGGGTCACTTTTCCTCTTTCCTAGTTTGTGACTTCTATGTGCATTTCTCTTTGCTTTTTTACCTCTCACTTTTTGATCTTTTCCTCTTGGGTCAACCTCCACAGTTACCTCTGAAAGTGCCAGTCTTTCGTTTCCCATAGAATTAAACCAGACTTCCTAGCAAGACAATCAATGCTTTTCCATGCTCTAACGCGTGGCTAACAGCATATACTCAGGATGTGCGTTCGAATCCTACTCCATCGCCCCATTGTGTGACCTAGGAAAAGTTAGTCTCTCTCTGCCTTGGTTTCCCATTTGTAAAATGGAGTAACAGTTCCTACCTCGGGATTTTTTTGAAGATTATTAACATCTTGCTATTGGAATAGCGCCTGGCAAAGAGTAGGAGCTCTATAAATGGGAGCTCCTGGCATCATCCTCACTGTCACCACTAGGCCCTGACCTGTTGCTTTGGTCCTCATATCCTATTAAACAAACTACTCTGTGTCCCTCATACTCTGGCCATATCAACTCTATTTTCGAGGCTGTTTTTTTCTCCATTTCCACACTGTGTGACTTCCACCTCCATAGCTTCTCCAGAGCCAGTTTCAGAGCCACTTCCTCCCTGAAGTATGTCCCCATGCCCCAGGACGTCGTCGTCGCCCCCATCTCTGAGAAGACCCTGCGAAGCTTCCTGAGCAGGCGGTGCGGTTGTGTACTGCCTGCGGGTGGCTTCTGTGGCTTTCACATCAGGGTTTTCCGCAGTGCCTGGGACACCTGAGGGCACCCGGGGGGAAAGTCAGTCACCACGACCTGAAGCAGAGTATCCCCGTCTGCCACTGACAGGCCGGCCCGTGTGTGGTGCCCGCTAGCTGCCATCTGTCTTGTGGTTTCAGATTACCAGCAGCCCCTCATGATTGGCACCGGGACAGTCACGAGGAAGGGCTCCACCTTCCGGCCCATGGACACGGATGCCGAGGAGGCAGGGGTGAGCACCGATGCCGGCGGCCACTATGACTGCCCGCAGCGGGCCGGCCGCCACGAGTACGCGCTGCCCCTGGCGCCCCCGGAGCCCGAGTACGCCACGCCCATCGTGGAGCGGCACGTGCTGCGCGCCCACACGTTCTCTGCGCAGAGCGGCTACCGCGTCCCAGGGCCCCAGCCCGGCCACAAACACTCCCTCTCCTCGGGCGGCTTCTCCCCCGTAGCGGGTGTGGGCGCCCAGGACGGAGACTATCAAAGGCCACACAGCGCACAGCCTGCGGACAGGGGCTACGACCGGCCCAAAGCTGTCAGCGCCCTCGCCACCGAAAGCGGGCACCCTGACTCTCAGAAGCCCCCAACGCATCCCGGGACGAGTGACAGCTATTCTGCCCCCAGAGACTGCCTCACACCCCTCAACCAGACGGCCATGACTGCCCTTTTGTGAACACAATGTGAAAGAAGCCTGCTGTGGTACTGAGCGTCGGGCTGTCACAAGGCACTGGAAGAAGGGAGCCTGCTGGTCCAGAGTGTGCGTGTGTATCGGTGTGTGTGTACACTTGCATGTGTGTGTGTGATCCAGTAGGATCCTAGAGACAACCTGTCATACTGTTTACAAAATTGTGCAGCTGGTTTCGTGCTGACCCTTAGGGTGCGTCTGTTGGGTTTTGTTGGGCTAGAAAAATGAAAATTTTCAGATGGCGTTTTCATTCCTCTGACTGATATTGAGCTGCTTTGGTGTTAAAGGTGTAATGTGTACAGAGTTGTATTTAACAATAATAAAAGTAACTTAAGTTTGCTCTATCAGATTTTAGTTCTGCACAGAGGTTAAGTGGGAAAATGCAGCTGTTGCAAAATGTATATAAATAGTATGTTCATTTTTTTCAGTATATTATCTGATACTGTGTTAGCAGCAGGTCTGCTTAAACCTAGTCTTGTTGTTATTGAGTCATTTCCTCTCCTTTGATAACTAGAACTGAAAGCATTTTTAACATTCTTCTCCTGGAAGAAATGAATTACTTGAAGCATGAAAAGCACACCAGGGTGGTTGTTTATTTAGCAATTATGACTGTAGATTTAAAAACAAGCAAAGAAACAACACCTCAGCAGCTGCCCGTTTCCTTAGTCTCCACTTCAGAGGGGGATGCGAAGAGGTCGGCCCAGCTCCGGTGACCATGAAGGTGGCACAGGAATTACAGTGTGAATGGCTGTGTCAGATGTTTTCGTACCTCAGATTAAAAATATTGCTGAGGTCAGACGCCACAATTTTCATGACTTTCTTCAGAAGTAGCACATTTTCGTGACTTCCGCTGTCCTCTGAAAAACAAAGTTATTTGGAACATGTTCATGCAAAAGTGATTCTGACCAAGTCTAAATCGAGCTTTTCTACTGACATGAAACTGTTGGAAACTGATCTCATTTTATAAGAAATGATTTTCCCCTCAAGGAGGCGTCTGTAATTCCAGAACAGTCCAGACATCAGCTGTACCTCATGCTCAGTAGTTTTTATTTGAGTTTCTTTTGTGAGTTAACTATGGGAGATTTAACCTCTTTTGCCAAAGAGGGAAGTGTGTGTGTTTTTTTAATAGAAAATATGGACCAAAAATTTTTTTCCCTGAAGAATGTATTATAACCCTATTTGTGTGGTTATTACATCCTGTGAAATGTATATATGTTAAAATAATGGGGGTGCTGGAAGGTCATGGCAGACTAGCTGCTGGTTAGTGTGGAGGGGAAATGGTTTACTTTGTAGAGTTTACATGGTTTTATGCGCACACTAATTGTAATAAACTATGCCAAACCAAACTGCCCCTGACTCTCACTAGTCAGCCCTGCTCGCTGGGGTGTTAGAGGCACTCAAGGTTCAGCTTCTGTAAAAAGGCAGGTGCCACAGTGGAAAGAGAAAGAGCTTGGTGCCAGATTAGGCCAGACCCCAATCTACCACAGAAGAGAAGTCTGGCTGCTTCTATAATGATGAGACTCGGTTTCCTCATGTTTGAAAATGGTGTTGTCGTGCTTTCTTCCTCCAAAACTTACTGATAAAAATTAGTTGGAACATTTATCAAAGTGTTGTCTATAGTAGGTCCTTTTTTCTAATGTAAGCCTTCAGTGGGCTGTTTACAGAATTTTAATATTGGAATATTAGACCATAAGCATAGGCCTAGATCTACAGCCCTTCTTTACAATAGAGCTGTCTTCATCTATCACAGTTCTTCTGCGGCACTAGTGATCTAATCATGACCAGTGGGAGAACAGGACTTTTTTTTTTGGATCATCACTTCCTCAGGGTAGACTCTGTAGAACAGGTTGGGTGAGTGGAAAGGTCTGATAAACCCTACACAGCTAAACCTAAACTAGAGGATAAGGGCAGAAAAATTTTACATCTTTCTTTTTTGGTGTTTTGCAATATCAGCATATATGATAAGGCGTGAATGAGACAATTCTAATTGTCTGACTTATGTTATCAAATCCTACTGGGAGGCAAAGATTGTATTCTGCCACTTCTTAAATTTGCGGTTGAAACACATTTGCTATGACAAGCAAGACTACACTTACACAGGCTCCTGAAGCTTTGCTCTGGGTTTTATTATTGTTATTTAAATGTTCATTAACGTTTACAGTCAGCCTAGAAAATAGAAAGGATGTGAGAGATTGTTTTGTGTTTATTTTATACTGCTTTGGATTCTTAACATGAAATCACATTTGTAGGCACAACTGTATATACCATGAATAGCTATGAGACCTTTCCCCACTCTGACCAGTCACAGCAGTCCAAGTGTGGCCACCGGGTTGACCTCACTATTCCTAAAATGCTTATCTTGCATTCATGCACGTACCAAATAGTTATTGAGGTTCTGAGAGCAGTGTTTACCCTGTACTTTCTTGAGTTGAAAGAGAATGCCTAGTCTCTCCCCCAGATCTGAGAGCAGTTGAATCCCTCCAATGAGAAGCTAGGGTGAATACAAACACCCCAACCTGCAAGTATTTCCTGCCCAAAACACAGCCCATGCAGTCACCCCATGCCACATTGCACACCCACCCACACTGCTGTGTTCACATCCCACTACAGATCCCCTGTCTCCCACTGATCTTGCTCCCAGCCTCTCCTTGTTCTGGGATAAATTCCCCTAGGGGCTTTAAAGGTTTTTATTTTGTCTTTGGTATTCTGCAATTTTACTACTATGTATTGAGCTATGAATTTGTTTCTGTTCACATTGCTCAGGACTTGTGCCTCTTGAATCTTAGCATTTATCAACTATGAAAATGATCAGCCCTTTTTTTTGGTTGTTTTCTTTATTTTCTCCTGGAAATCCTATTGGATGCTCATTAGAGCTTCTCATCCTATCTTTGATTCTGATACCTGAGTATTTCCATTTATTTATTTATTTATTTATTTATTTATTTTTAGACAGAGTCTGGCTCTGTCACCCAGGCTGGACTGCAGTGGCACTGTCTCAGCTCACTGCAAACTCCGCCTCCCAGGTTCATGCCATTCTGCTGCCTCAGCCTCCCGAGTAGCTAGGACTACAGGCGCCCACCACGAGGCCCAGCTAATTTTTTGTATTTTTAGTAGAGACGGGGTTTCACCGTGTTAGCCAGGATCGTCTGGATCTCCTGACCTCGTGATCCGCCATCCTCGGCCTCCCAAAGTGCTGGGATTACAGGCGTGAGCCACCGCGCCCGGCTTCCCTTTATTTCTTAAGACATTAGCTAGGCCTTGTGAAGAATTCTGATTTATTTGGTCTGACATTCCTAGGAATTCATAATAGACAGGTTTTCTTCTTATTTAGTCCGCCGTCTTGCTGGAATGATGCCTCCCCAACAGGTACAAGAAAGCATATTTATTAAAATATCAGGCCAGGCACGGTGTATCACACATCCCAGCACTTTAAGAGTCTGAGGCAGGTTGATAGCTTGAGCCCAGAAGTTTGGGGCCAACCTGGGCAATGTAGTGAGACCTCCTCTCTACAAAAAAAAAATTAAATTAGCCAGTTGTAGTGGTGCAAGCCTGTAGTCCTAGTTACTGGGGAGGCGGGAGGATCACTTGAGCCCAGACGGTGGAGGTTGCAGTAAGCCAAGATCACGCCACGGCACTCCAGCCTGGGCAACAGAGCAAGACCATGTTTTTGTTGTTGTTGTTGTTTTTTAAAAAGAGAAAATAGCACAGGTTTAGAACCATACAGAACTTGGGTTTAACTGGAGATTTAATCTTTGTAACTATGTGATTACAGGCATATTACTGGTGCTTTCTAAATCTACTTCTTTATTCCCAGAATGGAAATTATTATAAAAGGGCTGTTGTGCAGACTATATTATAGTGTTTTGTATACATTAGATGATCGATCAATATTAGCTCATTTTCTCTCTGCCCAATCTGAAGTCATCCAACACCATTTGCCTTAGAGTCCTTTTTATTTTTCAAGAGGAGGCTGCCTGTCCTCCCAACAAATGCACTTAACTGTGGCACACACCCTCCTCCCAACAGACTACTTCCACATCCTTTTTTACTTTTTCACCACCATTCAAAGCTCTCCCTTTTTTTCTCACCTAGCTCTACCACCTTTTTCTTTTTGCTGTGACACCTAATATCTTCCAGGCCACTTTTTTCCATTCATTGAGGACATTCACCTAATTCTAGGTCTTCTTCATTCCTCCTTTGTAATCATGCTAGAGAATGAAGTGCCCAACATGGTCATTTTTATGGTTTCTTGACTTCCACTCTAGTAACCTGCTTTCCATTTAAACCACTCCCACACATGTCCACATTCTTGTCATCAGCAAGAACCCCAGCACTGTAAACCTAATCTCCAGCAATTCTCTATCAGCTCAAAACCCCCTGAGTTCTTCAGCTTTCCACCTACTTAGTCACTGATCTCATTTAGATACCAAACCCCTAGATCCCATCATTTTCCTCTAGTTGTTAATCCTTTTGGGTTGCATTTCCTTCCCTATCCATCATCGAACTGGTTTGTCTCAGCATTTTCACTCCATTTTCTTTCCAGGAGCCCCGAACCATGAGACCCCAACAACATAATTCCCCTTGAGAATACCATCTCTCCATCTTCATCACAGCAGCAGGGGAACATTGCAGAACTATTCACACTGTGGCTGTTACAAAAGCTCGGTTTCCAGTTTACTGGGGGCCCATCACTCCTCAACGCTTTTATTTATCTTTGATCCCTTTTTCCGTACCCCTTAGCAATTATTCCAAAGCAGTGCCACTTTTCACACTCTCCCTTACTCTGATCTTGCCACTTCCTTCACCTAAAAATAAAAGTCGTTAAAATCAGAACTAACTTCCTGCTGATTCCTCTTCTCACAAAACCTGTATCCACTTCATTCCTTTCCTCCTTCCTTCCTGTGTCAATGGAAAAAGTGTTAGAAACCTTCATCTGTGATCTTAAATCCCACTGCCTTCCCCTTATCTCTTTGCTCCTATTATCCCTTTTTCCTTTATCTTCTTCTTCCTTTCATTGGAGGTCTCCCCCTCAGCCTTTAAACTTCCTCAAATCTCTCCCAAGTATAAAGAATTCTCCCTTAATATACTAAGCCCTTCTAATTACCTATTGTCTTTCTTCGAACAGTGATCTCTTCTTGGAATTTTTGTCTGCCTTATTTCCATTCATTCTTTTTCTAATGTAGTTTTTAGTCAGTTATATAGGTACACAAAACGTAGTATCCCTTTCCATTTGTTCAAGCCCCTTTTGCATCCTTTCAGGGGATTTTAAAGGGTGCTCACATAAGTACTGCACATTTTTTGTTTAATTTGTACTTAGGTGTTTTTTTTGTTGTTGCTGCCATTGTAAATTGTCCCCACCTCCTCTTTTATGTATCAAGAACTAGTATGGCCTAGTGGTAAAAAGCATGGATTCTGGGGCTTAGACTCCCTGGGCTCAAATTCTGCCTTAGTTGTGACCAAGAAGGACTTACTTTCTATGACTCCATTTCCTTATTTCTAAATGGAGATAATAATGGTATATACCTTATAGGGTTGTGGTGAAGATTACAAGGATTAATGTACATAAAACCCTTACAACAGTGTCTGACCCATGATAAGTGCCACGTGGTGTTAGCTATTATATGCAGCCTTCCTGTTCGATTTCTGTGACTAATTTGTATGCTGCTCCTTTACTAAATGTCCTTATTATTCCTAGTAGCTTTTAGTTGATTCTCTTAGGTTTTTCTGGAATTTGATCACGTTTGCAAATAGTGCTAGTGCTATCTCCTTTCCAATATTTATGTGTACATTTAATTCTATTGGCAATACTTCCAGTACCATATTAAATACTTCTAGTAGCTCCCACCTTAGCATGATGCTGGCTTTTAGGCAGAGATAGATTTATTATGTTGAGGTAAACTTTATTATGTTAAGAAAGCATCTATTTATTCCTTTTTTTCCCCCTCACAAGGAATGTGCTTAATTTTGAGCAAAGTCTTTTCAGCATCTATGGAAAATATGATTTTCCTCCATAGGACTCCTCCCTAGAGCCAGTCAGATGATTAATTACATAATTAGATGTCCCAATGTTAAACATCTGGTTATAGATATGAATCCATTACTGTATTAAATTTGCATGGATAGGATTTTACTTAGGATTTTTACATTAATATTCATTTGTGGGCCAGGTGCAGTGGCTCATGCCTGTAATCCCAGCACTTTGGGAGGCTGAGGCGGGCGGATCATGAGGTCAAGAGATCGAGACTGTCCTGGCCAACATGGTGAAACCCTGTCTCTACTAAAAATATAAAAATTGGCCGGGAGTGGTGGCTTGTGCCTGTAGTCCCAGCTACTCGGCAGGCTGAGGCAGGAGAATCGCTTGAACCTGGGAGGCGGAGGTTGCAGTGAGCCGAGATCGAGTCACTGCACTCCAGCCTGGCAACAGAGCGAGACTCAGTTGCAAAAAAAAAAAAAAAATCTTTTGTGAATCAGGGCTTTTCTTTCTTTGTGGCAATCTTGATCAGATATTATTAGCTTGACAGAAACAATTTAGAATTTTTCTTCCCTTTTTTGGTTCTCTTGCTAGGCATTAGAATTAGCTGTTGTTTGAACGTTTAGTAGCATTGCCCTGTGAAATCATGTATTTTGGTAATTTGTGGGGAGAGCACTTTGACAATTCCTTCAATTTTTCCTATGGAAATTGGTTTGTTTAGATTTTAAAACTTCCTTGGGAACAGTTTTGGTAAATTACATTTTCCTAGAAAAGTTTTCAAATTTATTCCTATAGAATTGAACAAAGTAGTCCATTATTATCCTTTTAGTTTTCTCTTTTATGGGTATTTCTCTCTTATTTCTTGTTTTGTATATTTGCATTTACTCCCTTTTTTCATGACTAGTTTAGTCAGCAGTTTGCCTTTTTCCTCTGAAAAATCAGGGTTTTTTTTTGTAGTTCTCCTGTTTCAGAAGCCAACAACCCATTTGTTACTGCCTTAGGCAGAGGTTAAAAATGCCCTCAACCATGGTGAACATGACAGTAGAGGGCACCTAGTGAGCATGACACATCCTCAAATGTCACAAAAGGACACAAATATCCTTGTTGCAGTATTGCTTCCTAAAGAATATGGGGACAGTATGCACACAAGCAAGAAATAACTTATTCCGTATTTGGTGGGGGCAGGGGAATGCTATAGTCTTGACGATCTAGAATTCTACTATGTAACTCTAGGAGTTCTCTCATTCTATAGTCACTCCACTACAGCCAAACAGTTTCTTGTGAAATTCAAACCCAGCACAATCATCATTTTTAGAAATCAAAACTGTATCAAGCCAAGGGTCCATCAAACCGTGCACCTTTTAAGAAAACTTTAGAAAAATTCTACTGCAGTTGGCAAGCATGGAAAAAATAAAAATAATTGTTGGAATAGGAGGACTGAAAGCTGACAATTTTATCTATATTTCCCCTTTCCTTCTTTGTGGCCTATTAAAGTAGAATTAAGAGAGGGATTTGAGTCTTGGCTCAGACACTTAACTAGCTGTGTGACCCTGGAAAAATCAGCCTTCAATTTATTGATCTTCACAGGAGTATTTTATTTGATGAGTTTCAAAAAGCCTTACACCGCTAATAAAAGTAAAATTAATAATGCATCTGGAATCTGCTGCCCCCTGCTGGCAATTTACCAAATTGCAAATTCTACCTTTCCAACGCATAGACTCCAAGTTTTAGTGTCGGCCTATATTTTATCTAATTTTCCTTGTTATAGTCCATTACCTATCTTCCTTTTTTAAAATATATTTTTATCTTTATAGGTTTAGGGGGTAGAAGTGCAGGTTTTGTACATGCATATATTGCGTAGTGGTGGAGTTTGGGCTTTTAGTGTAACCATCACCTGAATACTGAACATTATACCCAATAGGTAATTTTTCAACCCTCACCCACCTCCCACCTTCCTATCTTCTGTAGTCTCCAACGTCTATTATTCCACTCTATATATGTCCATGTGTACCCTTTATTTAGCTCCCACTTATAAGTGAGAACATGTGGTAGTAAACTTTGTTTCTGAGTTAGTTCACTTAAGATAATGGTCTTCAGTTCCATCCATGTTGCTGCAAGACATGATTTCATTCCTTTTTTCATGGCTGAATAGTATTCAATGGTATATATTTACCACATTTTCTTTATCCAGTCATCCATTGATGGACACTTAGGTTGATTCCATACATATCTTTGCTATTGTGAATAGTGCTGTGATAAACATACGAGTGCCAGTATCTTTTCAATATAATTTCTTTCTTTCTTTGGGTATATGCCCAGTAGTGGGGTTGCTGGATCAAATGGTAGTTCTATTTTTAGTTCTTTGAGAAATCTCTATACTGTTTTCCGTAAAGGTTGTACTAATTTACATTCCCACCAACGGTGTAAGTGCTCCCTTTACTCTGTAGCCTCCCCAACATCTGTTTCTTGACTTTTTAATAATGGCCATTCTGATTGGTGTAAGATGATATCTCATTGTGGTTTTAATTTGCATTTCTCTGATTAGTGATGTTGAACTTTTTTTTTCATGTTTATCATCCACTTGTATGTTTTCTTTTGAAAAATCTCTGTTTTTTGCTCACTTTTTATCTTCTTACTTAGACGCCAGAGGTATTTCTTTTACAACCAAATGCCCTCTTAAAACTTTAAATCAAGCTTGTTGTTCAAATCTTCCTTCTTTCCTAATTTGCCTGAAAGTTTTGTTGCAATCTCCCACTATGATGATAGATTTAACATTGTAGTAAATTGGTTCTTTAAGAATTTAAGTAACCTTTATCCCTAATGGTTTTTTTCTTAAAGTCTGTTTTTAAAAAATATAACTGTATCCATGTTCTTTTGGAGAAAATATGCCCAGTGTATATTCTTTCTCCTTTCACTTTCAAATTTTTTATGTCCTTATGTTTTAGGTATGTTCCTTTTAAACAACATATTGCTGGATTTTTTCCAATTTAAATAAAATGTTTTCTAATTTCAGTTCTTTCTTTTAATAAGTTTACACCCTGATCAAGCACTCTCAAAAGTCAATTCCAGACTGGGCACGGTGGCCAGTCTAATCCCAGCACTTTGGGAGGCGGATGGATCACCTGAGGTCAGAAAGTTCAAGACCAGCCTGGCCAACATGGTGAAACCCCGTCTCTACTAAAAATACAAAAATTAGCCAGGCGTGGTGGCACGCACCTGTAATCCCAGCTACTTGTGAGGCTGAGGCAGAGGAATCACTTAAACCCAGGAGATGGAAGTTGCAGTGAGCCAAGATTGCACCATTGCACTCCAGCCTGGGCAACAAGAGTGAAACTCCGTCTCAAAAAAAATAAAAATAAAAAATATAAAATTCAGTTCTAGGAGTACTCCTTTGGTTTTTGCCAGAATGTGCTAGCTAATTCTTACACTTTTTGTGTAGTTTCTTTTCTCCTTTATCAGGCCCAGCACATCTCCCATCCTGGCTTTACTAGGATTTAGCCCTAGTTACAGGCCTGGCAGCAGACTAGGTAGGGGCAGGTATTGCCTTAGGGATGTGGTTAGTAGCAGCCTCTGTAACATCTTGGAGCATAGACAAGGTACAAGGTCTTATTAGAGAAGCGTGGGCTTCTTCTTAAGACCAACAGTCCAGTAGAGATTGCAAAGTCTCTCAGGTGCAGCCATCCAGATCTCCCCATGGTTCTAGGTTTTCCTCACCAGGGCCTTGACTTTCACAAAATAGAAGAGGTTTCGCTGAACATTCAAGTGTCTGAAACTCAGCAACTCTTAACACTTAGGTGTTCAGCCTGAAGCTCAGCTGTTTCAATCCCTCCATTGTAGGAGGTAAGGCCTCCTTGGGAGCTGCCCCCCTCCATCCATTTCTGTAGGTCATTAATACAATCCTGCTGTAACCGGCCAACTCTGCTATTCTTGTAGATGTTGTTCTCCCACATTTTTCAAATGTCTGCATCACTGACCCTCCTGGAGAGTTCCCCTCTCCATAAGCTGGATTTTTTCCAATTTAATAATTTTTTCCAATTTAAATAAAATGTTTTCCAATTTCAGTCCCAAGTCTCCAAAACTCTCCCCAAGTTGAGTGGTTTGCTAGGACTCATCAGACTAAGCAAAGCTTTATTCACAATTATGATTTATTACAGAGAATATAAAGCAAAATGAGGAAAGGGAAAAGGCATATGGGCACAGTCCCAAGAAAATCAGGTACAAGCTCCAAGATTCATTTCCCAATGGAGTCACACAGGACATGCTTAATTCCTCTAGCAATAATGTGTAACAATACATCAAGTGTTGTCCACCTAGGAAGCTTGCCTGACTGAACCTAGGAGTCAAGGTTTTAGGGAAGTCAGTGTAGGTACCCTCTGCCTAGCATGTACCAAAATTCTAGATTCCCAGAGGAAAGTAAGTGTTCAACAAAAATCCTACTGTTTGTACAAACACTTCAGGCACAGTAAACCGCACTTACCAGCAAGGGGATAATGGGAATACTCCTGATATCCAAATTGCTGGACGCTAGCCAAGGTCCAACCTTGCAAGCAGACCTAAAGACAACAGGTTCAGGCCTGTTCTGTTAACTCTTTTCTGCACACCATTTGTGAAATAGCCACTGAGCCATGATTTTGTGCCAACGACTAGATAAACTATACTCACCAACCAGATGTCACTGTCTTTACCCTTTGGGTGGGTTCCTAATGCCCATCTTATTACCTGTTTCCTCAAATCTCACTCATGGTCACTTGTGTTAATCTAGCCTCTCTAAGAAGCAGACGCCAACACCAAAAAGGGATCTGCTGTGCAACAGATTTATTAACGGCAATGCCAGTGAGGAAAAATAGGTAGGAAGCTGGAGTTGATTGGAGGCTGGAAGGCAATGAGATCACAATGGAGTTAAGACCCAAGGTGAATGAAAGGAGGAAGGAAGGTTGGGTGAAAGCAACTTGGACTACAATGTAATCCTAAGGGAGTTTGGCAAGACCATCGTGGAGTGCTCCAGCTAAAGTTGAGGAGTCATCATATAATATCCCTGTCATAATCAGTCACTGACTGGCAGCAGCATGGAGGAGCATAGCCTCACCATGTACACAGGGATGGATTTCAGACCACAGCAGCTGGACCTTCAGTAAGCTATGCTCCCTCCTGCACGAGAACTGACAGATGCATTCTCATGGCTGCTGCCGTGGTGATTATAGCTCTCAAATCACACCTGAAAAAGGTTCATTATTGAACAAATATTCAGCACCAACAGTGCACGGTAATTTGCAATACTTTTAAAGTGTTTCTTTAAGGTTAGTTATAAAACCACCTAAAATAAAATACTGATTAACAATGAAAATACAAGTTCTCTTTAAAATTTCATAAACTGACCAAAAAAAAATTCATAAATTGACCAATATCCTATGGGGTTGTATTCTGGGGAAAAGACTTCTTTTCAAATCACTTGGTGAATTGGGAGCTTAAATCAACACACGGAAAGCATATATGTATTAGCACTAAATCAAGGTTAGTCAGTGACAAAAATGTATTTCTAATGTTCATAACATTTCTAAATGTTCATAACTCAAGTAATTCATTTACAAGTATTTTCCAAAAATTATTTTACATATAACTTAGGAACTTCTAAATCATATATACTTAGATGTCAAAATGGAAGAATACCCTTTTAAATAGTATCTTAAAAACAGGATTGATTTTCTAACTTTCATCAATGTTTTCCTCATAGATAACAACAGCTGGCAATATTTATAACACAAAATTAAGCCAAGTCCTTTGCACAGACTTTATGACATGTTGGTACAAATAATAGAACTACTAGAAATAAATAACAAGCCAAAATATTTAACGTCAAGGAAACAAAATGTTTATTTAAAAAAATGAGATCAATATCATTTTAATGTAGAAGATGCCATCTTTATTTACAGGCTAATAAAAAAATATTAAACTCAACTAGATATAATACATTATCATAAATGCAATAGATTTGAGGCCAACCATAAGTGTAAGACTGGATAGATGGAATAGGGATTACATAATCAGGATGTCAAATACTGTGCATCTTACACATGAATCACATGAAACCTTTTTGTTTCTAAACATGAAAACAGCATAAGTCCACTGCAGTGGGGAAAAAAACAGCACCACAGACAAGCTGTGCTAACTTTCGATAGCTGTTGACTTGTAATTATCAAGACTCACAAAATTTTCGTCTTTCTCAAATTTATTTTAACAATAGTCTCACCACCAAAATGTTGCTTTTCCATCATATTCATAACAGAGATACTGTAGAAGAGAATTTTAGAGGTTAAGTGTAAATATATACACGCACACATACAACCCTCACATTTTATTAAAACGTTTTCTCAACCATTCTGTTTGTGTATACATGTGTGTATTTCTCCTTCTGTCCCCTTCTCGATGAAATGGCTTTGCAACAGTTCCCTCCTTACTTGTTTGGTTTTGTCCTAGAAGTTTCAGGGACATATGAATTTCTTTCCTATAAATGTGAAAATATTAAAATTGGTTCTCAGTCCTTTGGAACTAATAACTAATTCTTAGTTCATCCCCAAAAACCATACATTCTAAAATGAACTTTTAACTAGTTACTTTCTAACACCGGACAGGAAGCTCACAGTAGCATCTGAGCAACGGTGCTCTCCCGTAGGCTTATAAACCACAGTGAAGCAGGAATGAAAAGGAAACTGACCTGTGGAGTTTTAAACTACCTGGAAACTTTTCATTCTATTTATCAGTCCTTAAAAGGAATTTATATCATGACAATCTCACACAATTCTTCAAATTACACAGTGACCTCATAAAAATTCCAACTTGAAGTTTTAAAAAACCACCTCTTCATACACTTATTCGGTAGTTCTTGAAAATCAAAGGGTTATAGCTTACATTTCCTAAGGATTCAGTCATAGCAGATAAAGGATGTTCTCTGAAAAAAATGCCATGGCCATTCCATCCCAGGCTGTGTTTTAAGAAGATAAGAATAACATGGTTTCATGTCACAGCAAAAAGGTTTTCGGGTCTGCTACAATGGACAATTTTTTTGACTAAATAAATACGGTGGCTAAAATCCAGTTTGCAGATCTCATGTCATGCATGGAAGGTATGTGTTTGGCATAGGGGATTCATAAAGAAAAAACAAGTTGTTTTTTTTCTTTTAAGAGGCCTACCCTGTCAAGAGCAAACAATAACATGTAACTTGCTTATTCATTTGTACAATTAAATACTAGCTTTTGCTCAGAGACAATGCTATAAAGTATTTTAATGTCAGTAACAATATACACTACGAAGTGCACTTCCATTACAAATTAACATGGTGATATACAGATGAACACCACCACCCAAAACAAACCATAAATGAGCAACAGTTAAAACATTAAATTTATAAATAGCAAAACCACAAAATAAAGTATATACATTTTATAGATTTACCCTTGAACAAATATATAGTGTATCTGGGAAAGCCAAAAAAAATGTGTTTTATCACATAACATCTGAATACCAGAAATGAAGATACTGATAATATTCTAAAAGCCTTGTAGGCTTTCTCCCACTTAATATTCCTTTAACTGTACGTCCTTTAAAACAGTGATATTAGCAAAGCTATCACCTCTTTAATGCAATGTTGTGACTTTGCCTAGCAGGTTACAATGACCTGCAGAATATTAAATCAGAGAGGAGGCACTCCATGTTTAATCATGGGACAACAGACCTAACAAATTTATAAACCTGCATATGAAGAGAGCTTTAGTCAAACATAAACTGACATGAAAACCCAACCAAAACAATTACTGTATCAAAATGTCTTTATCTCATCTTGCCCACCTTTTAGATGACTGGAAATCATTTACTTAGAAAGAAAACTGCCGTTTGATTTGAATGTACTGTGTTTCATGACATAGTAATAAATCTGAACTTTTACTACCAGAAAAATTTGTCTTTAAGTGCCAGGACTATCACAAGACAAACTTTATGAACAACTCAAAATGTATAAAACTGTCTTTTGTGGACCCCAGAAAACAAGCATTTGAGGCTCAACATGAATGGGTAAATGCTCCAGTACTGCGCACACAGATCAACATAATTGAGAACAGATGTTTTACACTCATCTGCATTTCTTTTAAAAAACAAAAAAAGTAAAATGTTTAGTAACTTTTGAGAATCTATTTCTAGTGCAGCATTGATTGATAAAAGACTGCTTAAAGAAAACTATTTTGTACTGCATTGAATAAAGCTGAAATGCAAACTCATTACAATAAATGATCATTAATAATTGGTTTAGATTTTAGGATGCACAATAAATTTTTTTAAGTCTAAAGCCTTTCAGTTACAAAAATTAAGTCAAGCCTATATTTCTACAATTCATTGAGTCAAGCTCTGTCTTCTGAAATACCACAGTTAACATTCTAGAATATAAAATATGAATTCACTTACTCTCTGTATTTTAAAGGGTACTCCTTATAAAATTCCAGTTAGCACTGTCCTCCTACTAAAGGGAAAAGGAACCAAGTAAAACAGTAGGGTTTCATTTGGTACTTAAGAGCCCAGTAATACCCCTTTGGGAAACACATGCTTTGGTGCTTACAAGTTCAAGAAAATCAAAATTGCTTTACATGCAATAGCTAATTATGGTCTACCACAGAAAACAGGGTGTTTTATGCATTGAGAATTGTTCACATGAAGCCCTGAGGTACCCGCCTTTCATTTAGGCAACAAACAGCCTCCCCTGATTTTGTAGTCTTTGTCACCATCTTCCCCAGTGCCCCAAATTCAGAATAGTCTGATTAACAATCTTGTCTGGAGATATGGTCAATTTAATAAGATTTTTTATGATACAGAGTGTGCAGATCATCTAATTTTGAAGCACCGTCATCTAGCGGAGTTTCACTTGCAGTGCCCAGGTCTCCATTTTCATGTGTGTCAGTTACTGCCTTCTTATTAAATCCTGAAAGAAAGGAGAAAAAAAAAGCAGACACTTTCTGGTTTAAAAAGTTGGTTTTGGTCAGGTGCAGTGGCTCATACCTGTAATCCCAGCACTTTGAGAGGCCAAGGTGGGTGGATAACCTGAGGTTAGGGGTTCGAGACCAGCCTGGACAATGTGGTGAAACCCCGTCTCTATTAAAAATACAAAAATTCGCCGGGCATGGTGGCACATGCCTGTAATCCCAGCTATTTGGGAGACTGAGGAAGGAGAATCACTTGAAGCCAGGAAGTGGAGGTTGCAGTGAGCTGAGATCGTACCACCGCACTCTAGCCTGGGTGACAGAGTGAAACTCTGTCTCGATTAAAAAAATTAAAAAAAAAAAAAAAGTTAGTTGTATAAGTTTATTGAGTGAAAAACAAAGGAATGCCCAAGTAATTAACATTAGTAATCTGAGGCAAAAATAATGCCTTATATTAATCAAATCAGTAATTCCTAACAGGGGAATTCTTCCCTCTTATGGCAGGTATCAAATATTGTACAGATTTAAAAATACTATATTGGGCTTATGTAAAAATTGTATTAAGTTTCCTATCAAGTTTTCCTTTCCTTTTTTTTTTTTCTTTTTTTTTTCTGAGACAGGGTCTCACTCTATTGCCCAGGCTGGATTGCAGTGGCATGATTACGGCTCACTGCTGCCTTGACCTCCTAGGCTCAAGCAATCCTTCCACCTCAGCCTCCTGAGTAGCTGGAGCTACAAGCATGTGCCACCATGTCCAGCTATATTTTAAAAATTTTTTTGAAGAGACAGGGTTCACTATGTTGCCCAGGTTGGTAACTCCTGGCCTCAAGCGATCCTCCTGCCTTGGCCTCCCAAAGTGCTTGAATTACAGGCATGAGCCACCATCAAGCTGTCTGTAAGACTTAGAAGTAATACATATAATTGTAAAATTCAGTCAATTCTACTTATATAAATATCTACTGAACTGTGAATTATATTTTTATTTTTCATTGTTGCTTTCATATTACATTAACTTCAGTTAACTGAGGCATATACTAGTTAATTGCTTAAAATGTAATTTGTTGGCAAGATGATGTCTAGCTAAAACTTAAAACGAATTCTGATCATCTATAAAATAAATAATAGGCTTATAAATAAATAAGTGTTGACTATATCACCTATTTAGGTGATATATATATCTATAAAGTATAGACGTGTGAAACAATAACCAATAGATACATTTTTTTAAGTGAGTCAGTTAAAAGATATATACACACAAATTTTTAGTTGAGTCACATTTTAAGTGTCTGCAATTTGCATATGTGACAGAGAAGACTTCTAGCCTCAGTTACAAAAAAAAGGAAGAGACAGGCTTTCTAATCCCGACAGAAAACAGCAAGTGTGAAATACAATGAAACCATATGGAGAGCAGCCCAACAATTAAGGTTTTGACATACTGCCACAATAGTTTTGCTCAAGATGCACAGTGAAAACAGTAACTGCTACTGCTATCTTTGTGCAGACAGTTTACAACACACAAGTTTATCAAAAGTGCAACAGTTTATCAGTTCACCATAAAACTCCATGCCAGGAGTTCAACATTTTGGTCTCAGGAGGCCTTTATACTAAGCATTGAGGACTCCAAGAAGCTTCTGTTTATGTGGATTATAGCTACTGATGTTTCCCATATTAGTAGGTAAAATTGAAAAATCTAAAAAAAAATTCATTTCTTTGTTAAAAATGACAATAAATCCAGAAGGTTAATATAAATAACATTTGTCTAATGACAAATAACTCTATGTTCCAAACAAAAAAATTCTAGTTAGAAGAGTAGCATTATTTTACAATTTTACAAATCTCTTCAATGGCTTTGTAGATGATAGCTGTATTTTCATATATCTGCTTCCATTCAATCTATTACAAGTATATGAAGAAAGTTCAGCCTCACACAGATATGTAGTTGCTAAATGGAAGAGTATTTTAACAGCCTTTTCAGATAACTGTCAGTATTGTTCTCTGATATTATACAAAAATTTGACAATGTGGAATTTGAAACCTTATCAGTGAACTTTTCACACTCTGTTATATTAAAATCCATTTGCCTATCTTGCATTTTGAATGGATCTTTTCCCATGCAAAATTTTATAACTTCATTTACTGGTGATTTGAAAAATATTGGACCATGAAGTTATGTAGCAATTCCAAAAGTTGACACATTTCACTTTACTGTATCAAAAAATCACATTCATTAATATCATCATCAATCTCATCAGAAAAGCTTAAGTGTTAGGAAGCTGTCAAGCTCATGGTGATCAACGTATGTTTTACAAAGTTCTAACTTTCACTTGAGAGCTCACATTTTATCACTGGCAATAAATATTATCAGTTGTCTTTCCTGAAGTGATGGACTTTGTTCATTTTTAAGAAAATGGCTTCCAAATAGTCCGAAAATCCATACTTTGTTAGTCATTCATTCAAGTAAAAATTGTCTTCCATGAAGAAAAATGGCTAGTTCAGTCACTTATGTACTTTCCCTTGAAACCAGCATCTTTGTTCAGTGTGCAGAGTAAGTGCTTTATGCATACTTCCCATCTCATCACAAAGAATATTAAAAAGACAGGTACTCAAAGGTCAATATTTAAAAATTAACTGTTACTGCCATTTCATCAAAGATATTTTTAAGCAAAATTGGTATCTTCTTCTTTTACTATGAATGGATGGCAAGGAAGAAAACAATGATTACTAGTACAGTTACTAGTATTAGCAACACTGCCTTGATTAGTGCTAAGGCACCAGCAGTTTTACCCCAATTGCTTTTGCATCAACCAGATACCATCAGTGCAAATATCAACATAGCAAAAAAAGACAAATGATGTCTTAGTATTATTATGAAAAGCTTTGACCTCATGAACTCTGCTAAAATATCTCAGAGACCCTCAGAGATCCACAGATCACAATTTGAGGACCACTGCTCTATGTAAAAGGAAGTGCTAGAGTTTTTCCTTAAAATATGTCTAAATGATAGCAAAGGAACTAAACCAAACATCCCCAAGATAATATAAGTTGATTCTAATAGCAATCATAAGGTGACAGTATACTTCATACTTATTCATAATTAGCTTAAAATTCATTGTGAGAGATGAATTTGCATCAAGACAGACAGACAATGTAGTCTACAAGATAGATCTACTCAAAATAGTATATTGGTCTTTGTTTCAGAGTCTAGAAAAAATTTTATTTATTTTTCAAGGATCACTTGCAGTAGAGTAACTGGTAATGTACTTGTCTTAACAGTCCAAGATGAATATAGAAGAACATATATGGTAAATAAACTGTTAGCATAGTATACAATAAAACAATAAACAAGGGAAAGCTCTTCATTCCTTTGATTTCCTCACAAAACAGTTTTACTGAAGAAATTCTGAGGCCTTCACATTTTAAACATTTAATAATAATGAATATGTTAATAATAATTTTTAGAGTGATTTTTACCTTGTAATACTTTGATTTCCCCACTTGTGTCTTTGCAACTAGCACCAGGGTTACCACCTCCTTCTAACTCATCAAGGTACAAACGGTAACGATGTCCACTCTCATCTTCATACTCTACGTTTTCATCATCAGAATCCACTTCAGGAGCCACATAAACTACTTCAAATTCAATCTCTCCTCTCTAAAACAGGAAATGAAAATGAGAAAGTCAAGTTATTGTAATTGTAATTTAAAAAGGATTTCCAAATTCTTTGTGGGAAGGCTTAGGGGTAGAGAGATCTAAGAGATAGCTGATTTCCAGAAAATAAATAATAAAATTCTAGAATCTAAAGAGGTAGTGAGGCCATCATGTCTGATCAGCCTCGTGAATCCTCTCTACAGTTCCTTTAAACATTATAGTAGCTCTTTCTACTGACCATAGTCTTTTTGCTAATAGATCTAAAATTTAAGAGGATGCTTAATTATTAAATTTATAGAATTTTGGAACAAGTATTCAGTTTTAAAGTTATTTGCTACTTTGTACTGCACACAGCAATTCAGCAAATACATCTAAATAGTCAGATATTAAATAAGGATATCATACAAACCTTTCCTTAACTAATTCAAGAAACCCCTAGAAAATGATTTTTGTACACTGCCATAAGGACATCATATAAATCTTTTCTTAACTAATTCAAGAAACTCCTACAAAATGATTTTTTGTTTCTTATTCAATAGGTCTTGAGTAAGAACTTACACTGAGTACCAGACACAGACATAGTGTTAATCAAGGTATTCTGTCTCGTACTAATAGTAATTACTATATTTATATATTTACTATAAATTATAGCCTTCAATCCCCAGAATAATCCTATTATAGTCTCTTTTACATGAACGAGAAAGCTGAGTGAGTCCTGCAGAAAGCAGATAACTTTCCCTACATAATGAACAAGAATAAAGAAAAACAAAAGTTTGACTCTGAAGTCCTTAATCTTTATATTATGCTAGACTAACTGTGTAATATTTGTACTGTCATTCTTTAACAATGAAACATTCAAGTAAAAAGTTACAGATCATGCCAGGCACAGTGGCTTACACCTGTAATCCCAGCACTTTGGGAGGCTGAGGCAGGTGGATCGCTTGAGCTCAGGAATTCTAGACCAGCCTGGGCAACATGGCAAAACCCATCTCTACAAAAAAAAAAAAAAAAAAAAAAATTAGCTGGCCATGGTGGCAGGCATCTGTAGTCTTAGCTACTCAGGGGGCTGAGGTCGGAGGATCTGTTTGAGCCTGGGAGGTTGAGGCTGCAGTGGTCCGTAATTGTGCCACTGCACTCCAGCCTGGGTGACAAAGTGAGATCCTGGCTCCAAAAAAGAAAAAAATGTTACAGATCGTTTTATGTTAAAAGAAAAATTTCCAAGCTATAATTGTCATTTAATAAGAGACTCCAACCACTACATATAAGTGTGGTGTTGGCAATTCTGAAAACTATGGCTTGCCTTTGCTCAAAAGAAAACACGGCATTTTTGACTGCTACTCACTAAGTTAGTCTCTTTGGTGCTCTTCTTTCCCAGCAGTTTAAGGTTATACCTCAGAATTTTAATATGTGCTTAGTTAGCATTTCCTTAAAACTTATGGCTGCCCATTGATAGCTCCTTCACCAGTTATCCCACTCTTTTGCTACTGGATGACAGTCAAGATGGATTGATAAAACACTAACTTAAGAGAATAGCGTAGCATTCTTAGATCTCTCTTGTCAGCTAATGCTTTAAAAATACCATTTTGCAGAAAGAGACAGATGATGCAGTGGTCTTCAGCAAAGTTTTAGATGACAGAATTAGATCTGTGAGTAGCTGTCATGGAGACACAGATTTCAGGCTTAATATGAGAAAAAGCTTTCTAAAAATCAGTACTGTATTACAATGGAATGGACTGGTTGATATCAGCAAGTCTTCCCTGTAATGTAATTATTGAAGTAGTGATGTTGCAAAGATTTATGCATCATATAGAATTGAACCAATGAACAATATTCACTTTCAACTCTGAGATGCAATTCTACAGAGGCATACCACACTGATAATCCAAGAAACATCTCAATGTACTACCAATGCCTCTAATTCCCTCAACTCTATTCTTGAAAGAAATAAAATAAAACAACATTTTAAGTACAACTGTATGACAAATATGACTCCTGAGTATGAATCTCAATTCTATAATTTATTTGCTTGGCAACTTTGAGTAAATCCTTTCATCGCTAAGAACTTTAGTTTACTCATTTTAAGAGAGTTGGGCTAGATAGTTTCTATGTGTGATTTCAATTTTAATATTCCATGACTAAAATCAATCTACTTCTAGCACTGTCTTTTCTGTAATACCTTATATATAGTGTTCTAGGCATTAAGGATGTTGTTTTTTCAGTCTCAGGTCCTGTTCTGAGTACTTTATATGTATTAACATACTTAATCCTCACAGCTTTCTTTCAATCCCTCCCACACAGGTGAGGACACTGAGGGACAGAGGACTTAAGTAACTTGCTCAAAGTTATGAAGTAAACAAAATGGAATGGTCCATTTTCAGTAAATCTGACTGAATGTCAGCTATAAAAGCATTAAATCAAAGGAAACAAGAACTATGTGTAAACACTTTACTACTTTAGAAACTTCGTAGGGAAGTATACAGTGTTCAATAGATTCATAACCAATTGATAGATCCAGTTCTAATTACATGAAGGGAATTTACCTGCTGAGAAAGAATAGTTACAGCTTCTTTATGCTTTGTGTCCCTTAGGTTAACTCCGTTGACTGCCAAAATAGCATCCCCAACGTGCAGCCCTCCGCATCTATCAGCAGGTTGCCCCGGATGGATCTCAGAGATGAGGATTGGAACACCATGTTCTTTCCCACCCTAACAACAACAAAGGGCAGTAAATTAAAGTACTCTTTGTAAGGTACAGTTACCGATTAATCTAGAGATAAAATATTTTCTTAAAAATATATTTCATTAAACACCTATGCTGTCTCTATAAATGCTGGGTAAAATTTTATTTGCTACTTAAGTAATGGTAAAAATTATCAGAGTATTGAACAGAAATTGGCTAAATTCTTAAATTAAAAAAAACTTATGTGTTAGTACTCCATAGCACCATTACATTTTATCAAGTCTAAATCACTACGAATGACAAGACCAATTATTTTAGGTGCCACAAAAATAATTTTAAGATTATAAGATAAATTTCAATTTCAGAGAAGTTAAAATATGAAAATATATGCAATGTAGAATTGAAAAAATGCAGTATTTGGTACCTATCACTCTCTAGCTTATATCATTGTTGCGTGTGTGTAGGGGTGTGTGTGTGTGTCTTATTTGTCCTGCTAAAATGTATGCTCTTTGAAGGCAGCACATAAAAAAAAAAAAGGTAAGTATTCAAGAAATATAGATTAGATGAGCTTTTTATTATAAGAAACATTTCTACATTAAGCAATACTAAAAAAACAAATGATCTTGCTCAGTGCCTAAGTATTACCAAATGAAAATTAAAGCCACCTTATTCATTAAAGCACTGAGATGACAACAAAATGACTCCTAAAGGCATCGAATTTAAAAAAAAGAATATATAACATTTGGACCCAAGAGCCAGTGAAATCTGACAGCTAATAAATGAGGCAAGAGAAAGATACACGTACTCCGAGAGAGAACAATACAATCTGAAGCCATTTAACATAGAAGAAAACAGCCACGTCTATTCCCAAGGGCTCCTAGAGGCATCACAGTATATGGCACAGAACTATTAAGTGAATCATAATAAAAATGTTAAACTATGCTTACTAAAGGTACACTTAATAGTTGCTAGGAATATTTATTTCTTAAAAAAATATTTACACAAAAGCAAACATTTATCCCCATGGGGATAAATTTTAGTTATTTAAAAAATATATCCAGAATATTCTGTTCCCCAGTGATGTCCAACAAAGGAGCATGATTATACTAGATAACTGTAGAAAATGATACTGGAAGTACTACTTCTTACTGTAATTGAAATGCCAAGGCCTTCATGATCTTCCTTAAGGAGGAGAACTTTTCTAATTGGACCAACACCTTGGCTTTTCTTTAGGGAATCTTGATCCTTATTGGGAGGAAAAAAGAAGAAAAAGTAGTATCATTTAAATAGCATACCAAATAGAGTAAACTCATACTATATAACTTGCTTTTAGAAATCTGTATTAACTTCCTGGAATGGATAAACAGTATAGGGTTAAGAAAGTAACAGATAAAATGGAAAAATGAAAATAGCTATTCTGTTGATGCAAAATTTATAGATGATATTCTCACCCTTTTGCCAATAATGTTTAAAATATTGATACATCTCTTTTTAAATTGTAGGGCATTATAAAAGAAATGATTTCCAGGAATTAATTGAGGAACAAATATCCTCAAAAAATAAAAGTGTCTATCTTCACTGGATATCTTTAAGATATACATTCATTTTAGCTGAGTTGTAGAGTTGAAAAACAAATTTCCAATTGGACCATTAATTACTTATACATTCCTTGGTGCTCTGGAGTCTACCTCTTAAATAAAGGGCCTTGATCCACTAATAATCTTTTCTCTGGTACCCTTACTCTTTCTGTCTCTACTAAGCTGTTTTCCTACTCAGCAGATAAATGAATCACAAGCCTCTTCCAGTTTTAAAATACTGATCATGTGCAAATGCAAAACAAAACAAAAAACCTTTCAATCCTTCACTATCTTCCTTAGCAACTACCATCCTCCCCCTTTCCTTAACCTCTACACGAAGTTCATCCTCATCATATCTACTTCCTTGCCACTCACATTCAGTCCTCTGGTCTCTGTAATTAGAGTTTTGCCCCTACATGCACAACTGGAATTTTCTTTTCTGTGGTCACCAGTAATCAATATTGTTACACACAATTAACACTTTTTGTCACTATCCTACTTCAAACTTGCAGAAAGTTGATACTGTTCATCAACCCCTCCTTGAAACCCACTCTCTCTGTTAGTTTTTATTACACTACTTTCCTAGATGGCCTGTATCTGACAGCTCCATCCCAGGCTCCTTCCTTTAGTGATCCTTTTCCTTCTCCCACTCCATAAGTTTCTATCCTTGGCCTCCTATTCTTTTTACTACATATATACTTTATATATACATATATACTTGGAACAGGCTTAATGAGTTCCAAGGTTTCAAGTATAATAGAAGGATAGTTTCCCTAATATTTCTTCAAAACAGATTTCTCTTCTGAAATCCAGAGTCATATGTCCAGTTGGATGTATCTTGGATACCCCATTGTCACCTCAAACACTACTTGTCTAAAACTGATCTCATCATCTTTTCCCCAAATCCTTCCTTTTCTTCTATTTCCCTTCCCAGTGAATGCCAGATCTCACTCAGTTGCTCAAACTAAAAGCCCAGACTCTTCTTTTTCACTATTTAACCAAAAGCAGTTAGTCACCAATCAAGCCCTCCTGATTATAATCCTCTCAAATCTATCCTTCTTCTCAAATGCCACTTCTCCTGACCTCATCACTTTCTCCTTGGATGACCATAGTATCTTTCTAATATATCTCCTTGACTCCAACTTGGTCCTCTTCACTATACCAAAATAACTATTAAAAAATGTAAATTTTATGAAGTCTGCCATTTTATTTAAAACTTCCATGATTATCAGGTTAAAGTTAAAATTCCTCTATTTAGTATAAAATAATTTCTATAATCCAGCCACTACCTAAAACCCCAACCTCATATTTAGCTAATTTAACAAGCATGCTTTTATCACTCAGACACATCTGATACAAACTACTTTGTCTTCCTCCTAACCGCTCCATTTCCCAAATCTACTGGACCTAGAAGTTAATGGGAACCACCAGTGCCCTAGAAAACAATGGCATAAGTGCTTATCGCTATCCCCACTTCTCTTCCACCAACTCTATTTACATACCAATTCTTCTTACAAAAATCTTTGCAGAGCCAACAAACTATTTTACTATTTAAGGCCATACATTATCTGGTACTAAGATATGTGAACCCTTGGGAGACATGCTTTCATATATTAAGGTCTATATTATCAAGCAGCTGTTATGATAAAATTCAATAAAGATTTATCCAGATAGAAGCTTTTATATAATGGTGGCTACAGAAGCAGACAACTGGCTACAGATCTCAAATTCTATCTTAATCCAAGACCAAACAGGTGTAAATGTTAGTTCAGAATCTACATTTGGATTCAGTTACTAAAAGTTCCCTTAAAGAACTACCCCAAAATATCTGCCAAATTATCAATATGACCACACACTCTAAGCTAAGATTAAAACAAATTCAAGCATGCCCAATCATGATCCAGGAAAAACTGGAAATATGATCCAACATTATAGCAATATGCATTTGCTAACAATGGCTCACTGTCTGCAGCACTCTCAGGGCATTAGTAAGTCTGTGAAGAGCTACTAAAATTTCTATGGGTGTTGAAACTTCATCTACTTTGAATAAGTTGAATCCCATTTTCACTTTTAAATAAAGGTTTCAAACAATACTAGAATAAAGGAAAGAATGGAAAGCAACTGTGATTAAAGAAAGAAAGAAGAGGCTGGGTGGGAAGCAGCAGCAAAGCAAACATACATGGCCTGGTGGTGCTTGCATTGGTCGTTTCAAGTCATTACGTCCTCTGCAGGCTCGGATCACAGTTTTGTGACGATGCAAATGTATTTCAGCTTCTAATTGGTTCCAAAGCTTATCATGAGCAGGTCCCTTCATATCTCGTCCTAGCAATTGTATCTGTTGGACCCTTCATATTGGGAAAAGAGTACATTGATTTTTCATTATATTCACTACAGTGAGAATTCAGGAAAATTAGTGAACATAAGTAGCTTTTGCATGAATCTCAAATTAGTGATAAAACTAATACTCACGAACTTCTTGATGTCTCTCAGATATAAAAAAAATATGAAAACTCTGAAAAGAACAGGTATCCTCAAGGGAAAAACCAGTAAAAAAAATTTTTAAAGGAATTAATGTGAACTCCTTTAGTCATATACTTAATTCAAATAAATCTAAAAAAAAATTTATGAGATTAATGTCAATCTATGTCTTGCATGCAAAGTCACTGAACTCAGATACTATTAAATGTTAGCTTTTAGATGAGATAAATGGACAAAAATATTTCTTCTAATTAGAGTTTCTTTTCACAAAATGATTACTTTAAATGTGGTTAAAAGTTACTAGAACCAGCCAGGGCAACAAGGCAAAACCTTAACAATTAACCAGGCATGGTGGCATGCCTGTGGTCTCAGCTACTTGGAAGGCTGAGGTGGGAGGATCACTTGAGCCTGAAAGGTGGACGCTGCAGTGAGCCAACGTTGCACCACTGCACTCCATCCTGAGCGACAGAGTGAGACCCCATCTCACAAAATTTAAAAAAAAAAAAAAGTTACTAGAAAATTTGTACTTCAAGATGATATAAATTATTTTTTCTTTGTTCCATGTTTTTAATGTGACATTAAAAGAATATGCACAAAATGATTTAGTACTAATAAGTCACCAAAGTTTGTTAATAATTTACTTAATAAATACAGCAGAATTCTGTGTATGATTATGATAAAATCATTGTCATTAACTAAATACCAACACGTTTTTTTGAAGGGCAAGAAAGACTGGGTTTCAGTGATCATAAAAAGAATTCCTTATGGAAGTTCTGCTATGCATGTGAATATCGGCTGTACTGGTCTCAAGGCACAAAATAGTTGAAAAGTGCTGCTCTACAGAGTTGTTAGCATTTCACAGTAAGATACTATCAGTGTTTGTGTGTGTAAACTAAACATATTTAGTATGGATAACTAGATCTGCGATACATAATGCTGTCAGTATTAATTTAACAACAGTAAGTTAAAACCAACTGTAAAATAATTCTGAGGAAAAAGATTAATGCTTCATTTACCATAAGAAAAAAGAGTAGGCCAGGTGCGGTGGCTCACACCTGTAATCCCAGCACTTTGGGAGGCCAAGGTGGATGGATCACAAGGTCAGGAGTTTGAGACCAGCCTGGCCAACATGGTGAAACCCCATCTCTACTAAAAATACAAAATTTAGCTGGCCGTGGTGGCAGGCACCTGTAATCCCAGCTACTCAGGAGGCTGAGGTAGGAGAATCGCTTGAACCCAGGAGGCAGAGGTTGCAGTGAGCAGAGATCATGCCACTGCACTCCAGCCTGGGCAACAGAGCAAGACTCCATCTCAAAAAAATAAAAAATAAAAAAAGAAAGAAGTAAGAGTCAACCTCATTAAATATCCAATTTGTCACTTAAGAGTACAATAATACCCATTTTTTACACACCTTCCTGCCAGTTCCTTATCCAAGTACTTGGCAGCTAGTCTCGCCCCATATACTTCAGCCTGGAGAACAGCTATATGTCTACGAAGGGCTTCATTCTCTTTTCTCAACAATTTCACTTCAGCTTCAAGTTGTGCTTCTTTCATTTTTTCTTTTTTGTTTGCCTCAAGCTCTCTTTCCTATGTAATTTTTAAAAGCATATAATTTAATGAAAATAAAAACTCTTTAGCACTAGACCATGTTCCTGAAAATGCACAAAAGCCTACAGTTCAACAATGTATCATCTCTATAAAATGGAACACAAAGATCTGGATGTAGTTCTTTTGAACTAGTACCATAACATCTTGGAACTACTTCTAGATAAAATAATTGCACGCCATGGGTTACCCTGATATGGAGTATAGTAAGAAAAGTAGTCTACTCTAAGCTCATGTTATCACATATTAGTAAAAGTGGCTTCAATGGATAGTTGAATCTGCTATTTACTTCTAAAACCCTTTTGAGAGTTAAATAAGGACCCCAATAGACATTTTAACTGTTATTTATAGATCAAAAAAACCACGTAAACACTGAAAACTTGCATTTATCCTGAGCAGAACTGCTTTTACAGAATCCACAAATCCTATGAAAACATGGTTACATTTGTTCACAATATGTGGAAGACATTATTCCCTATACCCCCTTTGTCCCTTTTGTGAGGACGTAAATAAAAACCTACCTTAGCACCAGAGAAATTGTTTCTCTTGAGGAAATGATGAATAGTATTGTTTCTATTGTATGGGCACTGATTATTTTACATAATTATTTCCCTTTTTATTCTGGATATTGAGAAGCTAAGAAACAAATTTAAGCAAATTTTCAGCAATTCATGGAATATATTTTGGTACTAATTTAATGTGCCTCCTTTGGTCTACTGTTTTGAACAACATCAAAATAGATATATTTGAATACTAGTCAATAAATACGATAATCCTAAAAAAAATATATTTACATATACACACACACATACAAGCTAAAATTAATGACAACTACTAAATGCTAGATATATTTATCACTTCTTTGATTAAAAATATTTGTTATATATATGACAAACAGATGAAAGATTAGCAGACTCAATTTCTGGGAAAAAAAAGATTAGAACGTAATTTCTAGATACTGGTTTTAAAGGATTCGAAAAACTCAATCTAGAATCCTCCTTTTAACATAATTTTGGAATTATTAAACTCTTATTTCAGAACCTATGTCCTAAAAGGGCAAGTATCTGTTTCAAAAGAAACCAGTTTGGAGATACAAACAAAAATCTTTCTTATGACATGTTAAAGTTGATGCAACTTTTGAAAGAGCACTCCTAGACCAAGATTTCTTTGGCTTATGGGCTAAATAAACTTTATGTTGATGATTACCTACTTTCAATTACTTTAATGAGCTATTTATACTACATTAATGAAATGTGGGAGACATACTAAGCTACCACTCACTGGGGTTTTAATGATTCAAATCCCTAATGAATCTGACAAACTCTTGGGCCCGAAATTAACAGAGGTAAGCAAGAATAAGATGAAGGAAACTGAAGTTAACCATTTCTAGATTTCCAGAAAAAAATTTTCTTGGTTCTTAGTTAACCTGTTTGTTACTAGGTAACACCCAAGATGTTCATTTTACATTTAGATACCAAAGATTATATCTTCAAAAGAGGTAAAGCCATAAGACAAATTGGAACTTGATTAGGTTGGGGTAATGAGAAAAATATTAAAAATGTATTGTTATTTTCTAAAATAACTTCTGCTAAAGCATTTCAAAATTCAATTGTTTCAAAGGCCATACGATTATTCTCAAGACTCTTGAAAAGTTGTAACGCAGTAGATGAAGAAGAAACCAACATGCACATTCTTTTCTGGAAATAATTTCAAACAGAAACTTAAGGGGGTTAAAAACTAAGCCTGCTTGATATATCTTCAATACCCTGAAGTGGGAAAACCAATTGCTCTTTGAAGTAGAGGTATGAGCAAGCTACAAGGCTCAAAAATTGTCAAAAATTGACAGGCTCTGCAAATAATGGCTATAAATCACTAACAAAAGAAAAATGTTTAACAACATGCAGTGAGAAAAGAGCAATGGGCCATCCACTGAACTTTTCAGGTACTGGAACATTAAAAAATTGCCATTATTAATGCTATTTTCAAATACAATGAGTGACAACATATAATATGCAAATAAAACACTAAGAACACTTCAGCGTGACATATTAAAGCAAAACAGAAACAATATACTTACCAGCTCCTCCACAGAGGGGCCAGACTTCAGATATAAGAAAAAAGTTTTATAATTAGAAAAAGATCAAACAAATGATTTTATTTAGTGGTATAGTCATTATAAGGAAAAATCCCACATGTTGGATATCATTTGGGTAAAGTTCATTAGAACAAATATATTTGCAATCTATAAACAATAGTAACTGTAATAGCATTAGATTAAAACTTTTTGTTTTATCAAAATTAGTCAACATAACTGGTACAGTGTTCTTTTCATCATACTCTTTCAAATTCTAATGTTAAAACTTCAGGTAAATTCTTTTCTAGAGAAAATTTAGATTGTTTCTGAATGTTAATGTCAAATAGCTCGAAGAAGCAGTTATGAGCTTTTATTTCAGTTAAATAAAACCCTTCTAACACAGATTCACAGAGTTAGAAAACTTAAGAGTTTAACTTAAAATTATTTTCATGAATTTTAACACATCAGTACTAGGAACTAATTAACCAAATGAAATTAACTGAAAACAAATAAAACTTATAAATGTATTACTCTCATTATATCATCAACATCATTTCATGTCCTGCCTCTGCCAAGCAATAGCTGTCTTATTTATTGCTGTGTCCCATATAGGAACAAAATATCTGCTATCTCTTACACACTCAAAACATATGTGGTACACAGTGGCAGGAAAAATGCTTACAATATATTAAGAGCAAAAGAAAAGAATGTGCTACTGGTTGGTACCCAATTCCATTTCTTACTTCTTCCTTATTAACAGACTCCAGTTTTACTGGAAGTGGCCATATGGCCAATAGGAGACTGACATGCAGCTGGGGATGGTCAATGAAATGCTGGCAAAAATTACTGAGAAAGATTTAATAATAAGTTCTTTAAAGAAGGCTAACATCATGGAGAAGCATCTTTTTGCCCTTTCCTTAGATTAATCCTTCTTCCTGCCTGAAATGCAGACATGAAGAAATCCTGAGGATGGAAACCATAAGCTAAAAATGGCAGAGCACAGTGATGGAAGGAATCTGGATCTCTAATATTTGTGGAGCTGCCGTATCAACTCTAGACTGCCGGTCTCAGATTTCATTTCAGAGAAAAATAAGTACTGTTCAAGAATAATCCCAATGTTACTTGGGATTTCTGTTATATGCAACTGAATTTAATCCAACTGATACAGTAGGGCAAAAAAAAATCTTATATGTTATAATCACAAATATCTTTTAAACATATTTATACATATATTTTAAATAGGAAAAATTCTATCAGTTGATTGTTGATATCACTGATTATCTATAGGTGATGAGATTGTAGATTATCATAATGATCATAAACTTTATATTTCTTATATTTTCTAAATTTCCCACAATAAGCACATATATTTTATAATTTAAAAGTCTCATTCAAAATTGTCCTGTACACCCTGTAAAATACATGCAAGGGCATGTCACTCTCTAAACTACTTACCAATTTTGCCTTAATGGTACCAGAGTCAGCACTTTGACCAGTTTTAGCATGAAGCTGCAGCTGAATAGAGTGCAGCTGTAAAAGCTGATCATGTACTTCTTTCTCCAAAACAACTTTCTCTGCTTGGGTTTCTGTCAGTTCAGATTTCAGATCCACCAACTGTGCCTTATAAAGAAAACAATAGAAGAAATTAAGGATGCTTAATTTTCTTTCTTTTGACTAATAATTGTTATTCAAGAATGACAACAGAGAGACTACCTTTGAAATAAATACACAAACATTAGAATAATATTATCCAAGATACAAGACATCCATCTAAACTGACAGAAAATCAATAGTATAAGTCAGATATTTCGGTAGCAAGAGAAATCCACTATAAGCTGTATCTTCTAATAACACAGAATGCTACTTCCATTTTACTTTGCTTACTTTAAGAAACCTTTTTACTGTTTCACCTTTATCTTCAAAGCTTATGAAAACACAAAACTATGAGGTGGTTCACCATGTGGTAGAGACAATGTGTGCTGTGGTGGATCACTAACATTAACAGTATTAGAGAAGATGTCAGTAAGTGAGTTGTGTTCTGTCTTCAATCCAACGAATACTAGCCCAAATCATCCCAATCATTATCTAGTAAAGTTATTTTAGGTGCTAAGGTATCAACTTCTGAGACTATGGTAAGCCTAAAGATCAGAGTTAACTGTAAGTCTTCAGCTTTAGCATAGCAGAGCAACTCATCAGGACCACTTACCAATTCAGTCTGAAGTTTTCATTTTTGTACAATTGATACATTGTTTTACAATTGTGCACAGGATGTGTCCCTTGTGTTTTTGGTTTTCCCAGCTAGCCAGTAGATTAAAGATCAAGACATGCCTTTGTTTCCTATTCAACTCAACATAATTTTGCTAAGCATCTAAGGGCCCAGAACTATGCCAGCACAATGAGAAAAAAAATTGTAGATAATATTTTTAAAAATCATAGATCATAATTTATGCCCTTGACAAGCTTTCATATCAACTGGGTTGATAAATACACATGTGGACCAACTAAAATAATGTGGCAAGTTATATACAGAGAGAGAACTGACCCAGTCCCAAGGAATTCAAACTAAAGGAAGGCTTAAAGAAGGGAAGTAAGAAAAAGATTCATACTGAAAGTGAGTTTAGAAGGGCTTTGAAGGAAAACAACAACATGGACAAAATAGAAGCAGTAATGAAATATAGACATGGGAAGACTAGCAAAGGCAAAGTGGCAGAGAGACTAAAAGCCTCTCTGAGCATAGATAGGGATCAGATAATTGGGATATGTCTCTATATCCCAACTGCACCAACCAGTGCCTAGTGCATAAAAGATGCTCAAATTTAAGTATCTGTAAAGTTGAAATAAATTCTAATACTAGCCCTGTGATTCTCAATAAAACATTCTGTCTCAAGTTCCCTCAGTTTAAAACAGTGATAATATCCATGGCTTTGACTATTCTCATAAGATTATTAATCTTATATACAAAAGAACTTATTAGACTAGGAAAATGTTATTATCGAGGAGACTAAACTACCTCAAGGGATGGTATACTGACAGACTGGATATGACCCGATAGGAGAAATGAAGCTGAATACAATGAATGGCTTTGGATGATAAACTAAAACTGATATTCAATCTAACAGGAAATCATTCTATGCCCTAAGTGACATTTTTTGTTTTTATTTTTAATAACACCTTTATTGAGATATAATTCAATATCATAAAATTCACTCTTTTAAAGTAAATAATATAGTGGTTTTTAGTATATTCATGAAGTTGTACAACCATAGTTACTACATAATTTTGAAGCATTTTCTCTCAATGGCATTTTAGCAACACTATTAAGGAAATGAAGACAAGGACACAGTAGCAACGTCCTATTTGTAGCTTATCAAATGACATGTTATCATGGTAACTTTGTAAATGAAAATAAAGGATTTTACAATGCTGAAAAGAAATCGTTAGCAATACTTAGTTACAGTGTATCTAGTACAGTGGATGTGCAATGGAAGATTAGGTCAAGAATAATGCAAGTATTTCCAGTTTTGAGAATAATGAAGCCATTGATGGAAACAGTAAGATTAGGATGACAGCTTATATAGACATGAGAGAAAGAAAAAGATAAATTTAAGTTTTAGGCATGCTGATTTTGTGTCAACCATGATATAATCAACAGGAAATATTCCACAGAATGTAGGAAATAAAGAAAATAAATAAGTGAAAAGGTAGGATCTGGATTAACACTAGGAGCACAGAGATGTGAATTCATATCCTATGAGTTACAGGGAGAACAGAGTATCAAGGTCTGGGATGGCCCAAGAGGTAGAAGAAAAGAAGTAGCATGCTATAAATTAACCAAGATGTGGCATAATATAAATAGTGGGCTGCCTCTTGCTTTTTTACTTCCTGGAGATCACTCCCTATTAATAAAACTTCTTCATTCCTTTTTTTTAAATAACTTTTTAATTCATATATAAACATATCAGGGAAGTACACAAGTAACACATTACAAAAAATACCTATTTAACTATCACTCAGATCTTGAAAAAAAAAAAAAGGGCAGTGCTAGCACCCCAGGATCCTTCTTTTGACCCGCTCCAATCACTACCTCCACCTTCATCCACAAAGGTAACCATCAGAGTATACACTGACTTCTAACACCATAAATAGTTTTGCCTATTTTTGAATGTTTGAGTATGCTTATAAGATTTGTTCATAGCTTGTTTTGCATAGCTGCACTTCATTTTCAGCAATATTGTATTCACTAAATAAATATATAACATTACTATTTTTCATTCATTCTACTTTCCCTCAACTTAATTCTACTTCTCATTCTATTTCATTCTACTTTGGATGGGCATTTGTGTTGTTTTGAATTTCTGACTATTAAAATGATGTTGCTATGAATCTATCTTTTGATACATATTGCATATATTTCTCTTGAGTATATATCTAGGAGGGAAGCTTCTGGGTTACAGAGTATGTACGTTAGACTTCAGGAGAAAAGGTCACTTTTCCAAGTGATTGTAGCAACTGACATACCCACCATGTATAAGAACTTTGAGAGCATCATATCCTTGCCTTCACTTGGCATTGTCAGTATTTTTCATTTTAGCAATTCTGGTAGGGATGCAGTGGTATATTGTTGTGGTTTTAATTAAAATTTCCTCATTGCTAATAAGGTTTAACTGCCTTTTCATATGTTTATTGACCATTTGAATACCCTCTTTTGTGAAGTACCTGTGTTAGTCTCTTGCCTATTTTTCTAGAGAGTTGTCCATATTTTTCTTGGTGGTTTGTAAGTTCTCTCTCTCTCTCTCACTCTCTCCCTCCCTCCCTCTGCCTCCCCCCCTACACACACACACACACACACACACACACACACACACATTGATAGAGGCAGGAGGCAGAGAAATTCTAGGCAGATGGGGGTGTGTCCTCGGCAAAACCCCATCTTCAAGCCTAAAAGCTGAAGCCCAAAGTGAGAACTTCCATCCCTGTGTGCCCACTCTCTCCCGACTGGTTCTTTCTGAAAAAGGTCTTTTTACCAATCAAATGTTGTTTTTTCTAAAACTACCTATGGCCTGCCCTGCCCCCCATCCTGTGCCAGTAAAGACCCCAGACTCAGCCAGTAGAGAGGAGAAGCAGCTGGACTTCGGGCACAGGCATCATGACTTCAGAGATGGTAGCTGGACATCGGAGAGAGGCAACTTGACTTCAGGGGAGAGTGACATGCCCTTCCCATCCCCTTTCCAGCTCCCCTCTCTGCTGAGAGCCACTTTCATCACTCAATAAAATTCTCTGCATTCACCATCCTTCAATTCATGGATGAAGGATGGTCAATGCAGAGAATTTTATTGAGTGAATGAAAGTGGCTCTCAGCATGAATTCACATTACCTCATTCTTCGTGGGCACCAGACAAGAATTCGGGACCCACCAAGTGCAGGTACCCAAAAAGGCTATCACACTGGCCCTCTGCCCTTACTGGTGGAGGGCAGCTGCCCCCAAAAAGGCAAAAGGTGCAGTGAGCTGATAATACACTTCTGTCCAGCAGAGCTAAGAGAACCTTGTAACATGCCCTCTGGAGCCTTGGGATCGCAGGCACCCAGACCTGGATGCTGCCACAGGGCCTGCATGGAGTTTGCTCCTGCAGGTACTAAAGCAGCTGGCCAGTTCCTACACCTGCTTGCCTACACACTCCCTCCCATGAGGGGTGGAGTGCAGCAGACCCAAGTGAACCAAGTTTGCTCCTGCCAGTGCCAAAGCAGCCAGCCAGTTCTCATACTCGTTTGCTCGTGTGCTCCCACCTGCCAGGAGTTGAGCAGGGTGGGCTGAGTAAACAGGGCACCCCTGTCGTGAGTACCATGAAGGTGTCAAGAAAATATCCTGCATCAATATGAACTCCTTTATTGGGTGTGAGTTACAAATACCTTCTCCCATCCTGTGGCTTCTTTTCACTTTATAAATGTGTATTTCAATGAACAGAGTGCTTAATTTTAATGCAGCTCATTACGTTAATAGTTTCCTCCCCAACACTAAATGCTTTTTTGGCATGAGTTCTACCTTATCTGGTATCAAGTTTGCAACTCCTGTCTCATTTTGTTTGCAATTTACTCAGTATAATTTTGTCTGATCTTTTGTTTTTAGCCTTTCATCCTATTTGTCATGTTATATTTGTATATAACATAATACACATGTAAAGTCGTCATCGCTCTCTTTGGTGGCTTTAAAAATGTACCTTTTTTTAATCTTCTGGAAGCTCTGTATCTTTGCTCTAATGATTACTGTGACATTATATCCTAATTTCCTCTTTTGACTGTATTTTAAGGTATTATCTTTAAGGTATTATCCCTTCTATGAGAACTCATGAAATTAGCTAGTTGACATCTCACTTCCCTCACTCTTCTCAAACATTTAACAAAGTGTTATCCTTCTATTCCCAGCTAATAACTATGAGTGATCATCAAGCTTATTTCACATTTTCAGAATACTCTTCTCCCATTTTGAGAATTGAAAACAAAATCTATATTGCAGCACATATAGCATTCAATATTATTCCATCATCTTTAACTCCAATAGTCTTTGTTCTGCTATTAAATATATTCTATTCTCAGTACCAGACCTTTAATCAAAGCTACTCCAATGATTTCAGCTCATTCCCAGGAATAGATTTATCAGAAAGGTTTCTTTGGATTAGTGGGAAAACAACCACAACCTCAAAGTGTTTTTCCTATTCTCTCATTCCACAATAATCATCACAGAAACTTCTGTGACCAAATGTGGGGGATTTCACCCCACCAACAAACAAGCAATCAATTTTGCAGCAGACATCAGTTGGGTGTCCTCCAATTCAATTTTGACACTATCTACCTGGAGATACTGTCAGATCCCACAGATTGAGGGCTCTGTCCTACAAGACTGCCCCATTCTTTTCAGACACTAGTTGCAAGTCTATGCTTCCAGAACTTCTGACTGAATGGCTTCAAGTTGGGGTTCCCACATTTCCCTTTTTAGGTTCAATTAGTTTGCTGCAGCAGCTCACAGAACTCATGGAAGCACATTTACCATTTTATTATGAAGGATGTTACAAAGGATACTGATAAAGAGATGCACAGAATAAGGACTGGGGTAAGGGACACAGAGCCTCCATGCCTTCCCTGGGGGCACCAGCCTCCATGAACTTCCATGTGTTCATCTATCCAGAAGCTCTCCTAACCCTGTCCTTTTAGGTTTTTATGGAGGCTTCACTACACAGGTGATATAGTTTGGATGCCCGTCCCCTCCAAATCTCATGTTGAAATGTGATTCCCAATGTTAGAGATGGGGCCTGGTGAGAAGTGACTGGATGGATCATGGGGCAAATTCCTCATGAATGGTTTAGCACCATCCCCTTGGTGGTAACTGAATTCTCACTCAGTTCATACGAGATCTGGTTGTTGGAAAGTCTGTGACCTCCCCCACCTTACTCTTGCTTCTTTACTTGCATGTGATCCATCTGCTCCTGCCTTCGCCTTCCACTATGACTGTAGGCTCACTGAGGACCTCACCAGAAGATGCTGGCATCATGCTGCCTGTACAGCCTGCAGAACTGTGAGTCAACTAAAATTTTTATAAATTATCCCCATTTGATATTTCTTTATAGTGACACAAAAACAAATTAACATAAGAGGCATAACTGGTTTAAATACTGGCTACTGGTGATCAACTTAATTCTAAGCCTCCTTCACTCTCTGGAGGTCAGGCACCAAAATCAAAGTAATTTTTTTATTCACAGTTTCCTATTAATCCACTTGCCTAAACTTTAATCCTCTACCTGTATTATTTTCTAAGAATACACAACAACTACACAATTTTCATTTTAAATATAAGCAGGTTTTTATTTTTTTAACTGTCTTATGGATAAATACTCCAATTATTTTACCTTAAGCACCCCTCAAAAGCCTCATGTTTTGAAGGAGGAGCAAACTAAGCCAAGAAATTTGTGAACATCAAGTTGCACAGCATGAAAATTGGATGCAGCTCAATCATTACTTTTAGCATGCCATAGAGCTCTTTTGATAAAGTTTTAGAAGGTCCAAGCTAACAACCTAAAACATCTTTATTTTACACATGAAGAAACTGAGACCTAAGAGATTATGTGAGATGCCCCAAATTACAAATTGCATGGTATTAAAACTCAGACCTCCTCCTGACATCCTTTGTAATTCTGGCAATAATAGAAAAAATGGGGAAGATGTAGTCCATGAGCTCCAAATGACAGCATATTCCCCAAATATCAGAACTAGACAAAGCTTTAACTAAACAGCAGATTCTGAACCCCATACACACACCCCATACCCATACACATGCACAAAGACAGGCACTGGTACTTGTGAGCATACACAGGTATGAATACACAGACACACCTGTAGGCATGCAAACAGGAACAGATGCAGGTACAGATATGCAAGCAAACAAAGCACACATTCCCCAAGTTGTTTAGGAATTATGAAGAAAATAGTTGACTCCACATGGCAATTTAACTATAATGAACTATAGCACAAAAAGCTGCTGATAAAGGTGTAAATATTATGTCACATCTACCTATAATTGCTTCTACACCTTTTGTTTTAAAGTTTGTGTACAAAAAGTAATCACTTCACCTTTTAAATATCTGTATTCTCTTTATGTTTTAAAATGTTAATTTAGGATGAAAGTACAGATTGGAATGTAAATCTCTAGCAATTATACCATTTAGTGTCAATATCCCAAATTTATCATAGACATCCATCTACTTTTCAAAAGGCTTTAAACCTCATATAGTCAAAAAAACAAAAATGTAAAAAATAAAAATCATATAGAGATGGCAGGATAACACTATAAAAAATACTAATGTATTAGTTATTGAGTACTATATTAAATTTAATATAGTAAATTGAGCTTCCAATTAATAAGAGAATCTTTACAGATTATGCAAATCCCCTTTTCTCATTAGAGGAGGCAATTCCATTTTATCTGGCAAAACTGTCTTTTTTCCTGGAACTAAACTTTTAAAAGAATGCATCACAGAGATTCTTTTTTTTTTTTTTTTTTTTTTTGAGATGGAGTCTCGCTGTGTCACCCAAGCTGGAGTGCAGTGGCGTGATCTTGGCTCACTGCAAGCTCCACCTCCCAGGTTCACGCCATTCTCTTGCCTCAGCCTCCCAAGTTAGCTGGGACTACAGGTGCCCACCACCACTCCCAGCTAATTTTTTGTATTTTTAGTAGAGACGGGGTTTCACTGTGTTAGCCAGGATGGTCTCGATCTCCTGACCTCGTGATCCGCCCGCCTCAGCCTCCCAAAGTGCTAGGAACAGAGATTCTTACATAAAAGATCCTAAGCTACCTGACAGACAACAGAGGCAGAACCATTCTTCATAAGACCTTTTCTCTTGTGACAAAAGTCAAGAAGAAAATGTAACTAATGAAAGCCATTTTGATCCATTCCTTTTCTTGTACACCTTCAAAATATCATTTAACTCATTCACTTTATTATAAAAAATCTCCCTCTATTTTTTCTTTCTTCTATGTGCCTGAGGTGGTCAAAATCACAGAAATCTAATGAGTCTTACTCTAAAACACAAGACTATGACCAAACAGAAAATATATTCAAAGGTCAAATTGAAAATCTCTGCCATCCCTCAAGATAGGAAATAATACTCCTCCTTACTTCAGGTCAGCTCTTGAAGCAGTTATCTGGTCTATGAAAGTTCTGTGAGAAAGCTGTATCTGTTCACTCTATTTTTTTTCCATCCAACCATAATGACCACTAAGTTCATCTGCCATTAGTTCTCCCCCAAAAAATAACATTCTACAGTCTAGACAAGCAAATGTAATCCTCATAATATACTCTGAGAGACGCACTTTTTATCCAGATATGACAACTGAAGTACATAGAGGTTAGGTAACTTCACCATGGTCATTAAAAAGCCAGTAAACCAGGCATACATAACTACTAGAGAAGCTAAGGCAGGAGGATCACTTGAGCCCAGAGTTTGAGGCCAGTCTGGGCAACACAGCAAAACCCCCATTTCTTAAAAAAACCAACCCCCCAAACAGTAATAAATAAATAAATAAATTTATATATATATATAAAACTACAAATTGTAATGAGCTGTATGAAAGAAACTAAGAGAATTAGCAGAGTGGAAGTGTATGGCTATTCTTCTGGGAAGAGTTTTGATTATTACTAAAGCAGCAGGTCCCAAGGTCTATGGGACATTTTCAGGGGATCTGAAAGGTCAAAACTATTTTCATTATAATAAAACATTATTTGTCTTTTTCACTATGTTGACATACTGAAGGTACAAAAGTAATGATGAGTAAAATGTTGGGATTTTAGTACAAGTCAATGCAGTGGCACCAAGCTCCATCAGTAGTCATTGTAGTCTTTGCTGCTATGCACTTGTAGTTTTTGTCACTGTTGATGTTTTGTTTTACTTTTTTTTTTTTGAGACAAGGTCTCACTGTGTTGTCCAAGCTGGGCTGCAGTGGCATGATCACAGCTCACTGGGGACTTGGAACTCCTGAGTAGAAATAATCCTCCCACCTCAGCCTCCTGGGTAGCTAGGACTACATAAGCACATGGTCATTTTTAAATTTTTTTGTATTTTTTGTATTTATTTAAAAATAGGTCTCACTATGTTGCTCAGGCTAGTCTTGAACTCCTAGTCTAAAGTGATGCTCTCACCTTGGCCTCTGTATTAGTCTTCACTGCTATAAAGAAATACCTGGGACTGGGTAATTTATAAATATTATTATTATAAACAAAAGAGGTTTAAATGCCTCACGGTTCCACAAGCTGTACAGAAAGCATGGCTGGGGAGGCCTCAGCAAACTTTTTTTTTTTGAGACATTGTCTCACTCTGTCACCCAGGCCAGGCTGGAGTGTAGTGGCATGATCTTGGCTCACTGCAACCTCCACGTCCCAGGTTCAAGAGATTCTCCTGCCTCAGCCTCCTGAGTAGCTGGGATTACCACTGCCCGCCACCACGCCCAGCTAATTTTTGTATTTTTAGTAGAGATGGGGTTTCACCATGTTGGCCAGACTGGTTTTGAACTCCTGACCTCAAGTGATCTGCCCGCCTCAGCCTCCCAAAGTGCAAGGATTACAGGCGTGAGTTATCCTCTATTAAGCCAGGAATTTAAAGGTTTGAAAAAATATAAAACAATGCTATTCTTCTAAAACATTTTTTGGTTTTAGAAAATATAATTACATTTTAATTTAAAATCATTTATATTAACATGTAATGAGTTTATTGTAGTTATTTTTAAATGATGTAATAAAGTTTTCTCAGTTTAATTTCTAATACAATAAATTCTACATTTATACTTTTTTTATATTTTATATTTTTATATATTTATACATATAACCCACATTAAAAAAAAAAAGAGCTCTTTGGGGTTCTCAAAATTTGTAAGAATGCAAAGGACTCCAGAAACCAAAAAGTCTGAGAACCTTGACTTAGACCTTCTGAAAAAAGGCTCATGTGGCTCCACCATATAGAGTAGGGGTAGGCAATCTTTTGGCTTCCCTGGGCCACACTGGGAGAATTGTCTTGGGCCACGCACAAAATACACTAACACTAATGATAGCTGTGAGCTAAAATTAAAAAGAAAAAACAAATCACGCAAAAAAATCTCATAATGTTTTAAGAAAGTGTACGAATTTGTGTTGGGCTGCATCCAAAGCTGTTCTGGGCCACATGCAGCCCACAGGCTGCGGGTTAGACAAGCTTGAGATAGAGTAAGAGGAAAGAATGGTAAGATACATCATAGGAGGGATACCCAAATGTCAGATCATGCAGAGCCTGTCTGCCAAAATTAAGAGCTTGAATTTTATTCAAAAAGCAATTGATGAATTTATGTTTTCTTATTTTTTATTTATTTATTTTGTTGAGATGGAGTTTCACTCTTGTTGCCCAGGCTGGAGTGCAATGGTGCAATCTCGGCTCACTGCAACCTCCACCTCCCGGGTTCAAGTGATTCTCCTGCCTCAGCCTCCCCAGGAGCTGGGATTACAGGCATGTACCACCATTCCTGGCAAATATTTTATTTTTAGTAGAGATGGGGTTTCACCATGTTGGTCAGGCTGGTCTTGAACTCTTGACCTCAGGTGATAACGCCCACCTCAGCTTCCCAAAGTGTTGGGATTACAGGCGTGAGCCACTGCGCCCAGCCCTAATGTTTTTTTTTTAAAAGGCAGCTATGTGTAATATGAGAGACAACATGAATGAACTGAGTTGGGGGATGTGAAATGGAAACCAGTTGATAAATCTGACAAGTAATTTGCCGTAAACCTCAAATGAAGATCCAATCAATAAAAAATGTTTCCATTTTAATTTCAAAGCACTCAGTTGCTCCATGATCAAACTGGAGATGGGGTGGGGAGGAGAATCAACCTACTCAATATTTTAGGAATATCACAAGTACTAAATCCATACTCAATATTCTTATTTCATGATGTTTAAAGTTATTTTCAATCAGTTTCAATTTTTTCCCAAAATAAGATACCATGAAATATTAACTCACAAATTATATGCTTGTGAATTACATACCAGAGGAATAAATGAACCTGAAGATCAGTCTTTCAGCAATGGAGCAGGCACTGTATACATGAATATAGAGTCAACAAGACAGATACCATCCTAGCTCTCATGAAGCTTATATTACAGAATGATTGTGGGTAATCTTTGAAGATTTATAGCAGAACACCAGATGCGTTTCAAAAAATTCATTCATTCAAATAAACATTGAGTACTCACTGTGTACCACAATCTGGGGACAAAAAGATGAATAAGACATGGATTCTAGAAGTTTTCTATTAGGAAAAGATAAGAATGTATTTCCAGGCTGGGCATGGTGGCTCACAACTTAATCCCAGCACTTTGGGAGCCCAAGGCGGGTGGATTGCTTGAGCTTAGGAGATCGAGACCAGCCTGGGCAACATAGTGAGACCCTGTCTCTACAAAAATTACCAAGAATTAGCTGGGCGTGGTGGTATATGGCTGTAGTCCCAGCTACTCAGGAGGCTGAGGTCAGAGGATCACTTGAGCCCGGGAGGTCGAGGCTGCAGTAAGCCATGATCGTGTCACTACACTCCAGCCTGGGCAACAGAGTGGGACCCTGTCTCAAAAAAAAAAAAAAAAAAAAAAGATAAAAAGATTACATTTCCAATTGTGATGCAACGTGTGGTAAGCACTATTTGAAAGACGTGTGATGTACCAATTCAAAAAGAGGTAAGGGGAGGTAGTCAGAAAGAAGTTCTCTGAGCTTTGAATGGAGATCTGCTAATACAGGGAGTGGAAAGGGAAAGGTGAGATATGAAAACACCTGACAGGTGAAACAGGGAATAACTAGATCAAAATGATTGGTATTTAACACATCAGTTCCAAATTTTGTTTTGTTTTGTTTTGTTTTGTTTTGTTTTTTGAGAAGGAGTCTCACGCCGTTGCCCAGGCTGGAGTGCAGTGGCATGATCCCAGCTCAATGCAACCTCCACCTCCCAGGTTCAAGCGATTCTCCTGCCTCAGCCTCCCGAGTAGCTGGGATTACAGGCATGCGCCACCACACCCAGCTAATTTTGTATATTTAGTAGAGATGGGGTTTCCCCATGTTAGCCAGGCTGATCTCAAACTCCTGACCTCAGGTGATCTGCCCACCTCAGTCTCCCAAAGTGCTGGGATTACAGGCGTGAACCACCACACCCGGCCCCAAATGTCCAATTTTAAAAAGGGGCCAAATACCAATTCTGTAATCCTTATATAAACCAATCTGATATCTATACCAAAGGAAGTACTCAGCAATGTGGTTTGGGAGCATGGAAGCAAAGAATACAAAAAACAAACAAAAAGCTCCTAGAAACCAAAATAAGTTCACAAAAAGATAATGCTGCCTTCTAAATCAGCTTCACAAAGCATTTGATGGTTCAAACTATTTCCCCTAAAACATGGTTCTGACCTTCAAACAGCTTACATTCTAGAGGTAGAAAGATGTGGTAAACGCTAATTATAGTACAATGTAACAAATCTAAAAGTACAAATAAGTTCAAGGGCTTAGGGCAGCCTCTGCCTATAAAGAGCAGAGAGGAGTGGAGTAAGGAAAGCCCTCTCTGAGACAATGACGTAAGTGGAGTCTTGAAAGATGAGTGTGTGTTTGATACTGTAGACAAAGGGTATAGAGAAGGCATTATACACCAAAGCCTATGTGAAAGTACAGGTGCCATAAAAGAGCAAGGCCTATTTACAGAACTGCAAATAGATCAGTTTTATTGAGGCAAAAGCAGCTAAGAAGGGGTGATAAGAGATAAGGAGAGACAGACAGGCACACTGATCACCGGGCCAAAGAATTTGAATTTTAGAGAGATACAGAAAGAAGAATGACAGAATTAGGTTTGTCTTTTTAAATACAAACCACTAGTATGAATCACTCTAGAATGATCAGGCAACCAAAGGATGGTTTGGAAGGAATAATGATTAGGAGACTATGTTAGGAACACCCGAGAAGAATAAGGACCTTAATTATGCAAAATATCCTAATCTTATCTCATTATCTTTCCCAGACCTGCTCCTCCTTTTCCTGTATTCCTTACTTCAGTAAATAGTAATGTATAAACTTCCTAGGGCTGTTACAAAAAATTAGCACAAGGCTGGGCACGGTGGCTCACGCCTGTAATCCCAGCACTTTGGGAGGCCAAGGCGGGAGGATCACTTGAAGTCAGGAGTTCGAGACGAACCTGGCCAACATGGTGAAACCTTGTCTCTACTAAAAATATAAAAATTAGCCGGGCATGGTGGCTGGCGCCTGCAATCCCAGCTGCTCAGGAGGCTGAGGCAGGAGAATTGCTTGAACCCAGGAGGCAGAGGTTGCAGTGAGCCGAGATTGTGCCACTGCACTCCAGCATGGGCAACAGAGTGAGACTCTGTCAAAAAAAAAAAATTACCACAAACGTGGTGGCTTAAAACAACAACATAAGTTTATTCTTTCACATTTCAGGATGCCCCAAGTTTGAAATAAGGTATGACAGGGCTGGCTCTTTCTGGAGATCCTGTGCCTCTCTCCCAGCTTTTGGTGCTGTTGGCAATCACTGGCATCCCTTGGCTTGTAGATACATCACTCCAATCTCTGCTTCTATCATCACATAGCCTTCTTCTCTGTGTCTGTGTGTGGCCTTTTCTGTCTCCTATCAGCACACTTTCATTGGATTTAGGGCCCCCTCTAATCCACTATAATCTTACCTCCATCTTTACATAATTACACCTGCAAAGACCCTCTTTCTAAATAAGGTCACATTCTGAGGTTTTGGGGGTGGATATGAATTTTGGAGGGATACGATTCAACCCACTACAGATACTGATCAATCATTTCCCAAACAGAAATGCAGTGTTATCCTTAACCCTTTCTCTTATCTCCTGCATCTACATAATTATCAAATCCTGTCAATTCTCCTTCCTTAGTCTTCAATTTATCTCCTTTTCATCAGCCCCATTACCACTTTCACTTCAATAACACACTTGTCTGTATAACAAACTCCTTTGCTATAACATTGAATAAACCTAGTTATTACTCTCATTACTGTGCCTGTACCTAAACAGATATGCATTGCTAGAGAAAATCACACAACAGTACAGACCGGTTGCACCATAATTTATGATAACTAACCCCAAGCCATTCCTCAACAATGCCTGGCAGTCCTGTTTCTCTGGCCAATTGGCTCTCCCACTCTTCCATTACTATCTCAAACCTCTTCTACTAGCCTCATGCTCTTACTCTCACCTACTTTTAGCAACTGACGTGGGCTCCTATTTTACAGAAAAAAAAAAGCCATCAGACAGAAACTTCCACAACCTCCTACTGTCTGCTCCCATTCTCTCCCTCTTCTAAGTAGCTGTTATTACAAAATCTTACTAATATTAACTACCCCACTCTTTTTCTATATTTGGCTTTTCTCTCAAGTAGATGCTTCTCACAGACTTATGTTTTATTTGTTTTTATTTAAAAACAAAATGAAAACAAAACCTCCCTTGTACCCTACAATCTCACTTCTTGCTATCTATTCAGCCACACTCACTCTTTCTGTCTGCTTCTCTCTCCACCTCCTCCATCCCCCATCAGACATAATGTGTTTGTGCAGAGACTGATTTCTCTAGCTCCGTAGCCTCAGGCCTCTTACTTAATCCCTGTAAAGTTGGAGTAACTATACTAATAAACCTGTTTCCAGGACTGTTGTGAGAATTGGATGAATCAGTCTATGTAAAAGACTCAGAAGAGAGGTTGGCCCATGGTAACTGATCAATAAAGTTGGCAATATTGTTATTGCTAATAATATAACACATTCATCTATCTATTCAGGCAACCAGCTGCACAAGATTGTCACTTGGATTTATCCTGAACTCCCTCATCCCTCTGTTCCAATCCATCTCTAGGTTTTTTTTATTTTTACCTCTCCAGTTTCTCTTGTTCTGAATACCTTCTCCTACCTCTATTATCTTACTCCACACTATCATAATCTCACATAAACAGAAACCTTCTAAACAATTTTCTGCATTCATTCATGTCATTCTCTGCAATTTTCTCCATACCATAGTCAGAGTGAACTATTCTAACTTCATATCTGAGGCTACGAACTGGTTTAAAAGACTTCCCACGATTATGATAAAGCCCCAAATATTTTTGCATGGCCATAAAGTCATGTAGAAATAGTCCCTCTCTGTCTGTTCAAACTTATCTTGTGCCTTGCTTCTTTTGCCCTCTTCTCTTGTTACACATACCAACTATCTCTCGAATCTTCAAATGCACTATGCGCTTGCCCACCACAGGTGCTTTTCACTTCCCATTCCCTCTACGGCAATGTTGAATGGCATTCCTATTTCTCTTAGCTTAATTCATTCCTATTTACACATAATTCCTTTATGTCTTAGCTCAATAACTTCCTCAGGGAAGCCTTCTCTGACATCCCAAAATAGGGTCTCATTTACTCTTATGTACCTTTCATAGTATTCATCAAAGTTGCAATTTCTCATTTACATGATTATTCTCCCAACAAATTCCTCCAATATAATCCAAACTCCATAAAAGCCATGACTACATCCCTTTTTTGCTCTCCATTGTATCCTAAGTGCCCAATACAGCATCTGGCACATAATTCGTGTTCATAAGTGCGTACTGGATCAATATTAAACTTAAGCTTCAATGTTGCAAAACAGCCTATTTAAAAACAGGACAGATTTAAAGCAGCAAAGGGACAAGCATATCACCAGTTCATTATCAATGTGGCTCTAGATCAAAGTTAAAAGTTTCTCTACTGTTGGCTATGAATAATAAATCACTTCAAAGAGATACTAACAGAGCAATTGCTGAGGGAAAGGAGGATGTGAAAGAAGGTGTATTGTTGTGCTGTTACTTTAAAAAAGGAGTAACAGGCAGAACACTCTTTCAAGGCAGAGGTGAATTTTTTAAAGTATTGGTTCACAATCTTTATTCTATTCCAACACACCTACTACTGCTAGTATTACTATTCCTACTGTAAACCTAAAAGGAAAAGGCTGAGGCACAAAATATACTTTAGTTTACCTGAGCCAAAATGAGGACAGCTACTCAACACATATTTCCCAGATGCCTGGGGAGTGCTCTGGCACCTGAGTTACAAGCAGATTTTAAAGGGAAAAAGGAACAAGGCAGATACAAAGTTGCTTGATAAGAATTCTCATTGGTTTACAATCACTGATTAGTGACTGGCTATTCATTGTTGCACTATAAGGTATGACTTATGGTGTCCAGCATATGGTATTTTATGGCTACTTGGCGTCAGTTAGTCTAAATCCTACATAGAAGGTGGCTTCCAGAGATAACTGCTTAGGTCAAAAGGGAGTGCCATAACTGCGGTTTCATTCCAATGCCTCTCTAGGCCTCACAATGGAAAGGAACTCAGTTGTGTTTTGTTTTGTTTGTTTGGGTTTTGTTTTGTTTTTTCAATAGGTTTCTGGGGAACAGGTGGGGTTTGGTTATGTGAATAAGTTATTTAGTGGTGATTTCTGAGATTCTGGTGCACCCATCACCTGAGCAGTGTACACTGTATCCAATGTGTCATCTTTTATCCCTCATCCCCTTCCCACCCTTTACTCCAGATCCCCAAAGTCCATTGTATCATTCATATGCCTTTGCATCCTCCTAGCTTAGCTCCCATGTATGAGTGAGAACATACATTTTGTTTTCCACTCCTGAGTTACTTCATTTAGATAATGGTCTCCAATCAATTCCACCCAGGTTGCTGCAAGTGCCACTATTTCATTCCTTTTTATGGCTGAGTAATATTCCAGGTGTCTGTATATATACACACCACATTTTTTTAATCCACTTATTGATTGATGGGTATTTGGGCTGGTTCCATATTTTTGCAATTATGAGTTGTGCTAGTATAAACATGTTTGCAAGTATCTTTTTCATATAATGACTTCTTTTCCTCTGGGTAAATACCCAGGAGTGGGGTTGCTGGATCAAATGGTAGATCTACTTTTAGTTCTTTGAGGAATCTCCACACTGTTTTTCATAGTGGTTGGTGGTTTACATTCCCACCAACAGTGTAAAAGTGTTCCCTTTTCACCACATCCGTGCCAACATCTATTTTTTTTTATTTTTTTGATTATAGCCATTCTTGCAGGAGTAAGGTAGTATTGCATTGTGGTTTTGATTTGCATTCCTCTGATCATTAGTGTTGTTGAGCATTTTTTCATGTTTGTTGGCCATTTGTGTATCTTCTTTAGAGAATTATCTATTCATGTCCCTAGCCCTCTTTTTGATGGGATTGTTTGTTTTTTTCTTGATTTGTTTTGAGTTCCTTGTAGAGTCTGGATATTAGTCCTTTGTCGGATGTACAGTTGTGAAGATTTTCTCCCACTCTGTGGGTTGTCTGTTTACTCTGATTATTTCTTTTGCTGTGCACAAAGTTTTTAGTTTAATTAAGTCCCATCTATTTATCTTTGTTTTTGTTGTGTTTGCTTTTGGGTTCTTAGTCATGAAGTCTTTGCCTAAGCCAATATCTAAAAGGGTTTTTCCAATGTTATCTTCTAGAATTTTTATGGTTTCAGGTCTTAGATTTAAGTCTTTGATCCATCTTGAGTTGATTTTTATATACGGTAAGAGAGGAGGATCCAGTTTCATTTTTCTACATGTGGCTTGCCAATTGTCCCAGCACCATTTGTTGAATAGGGTGTCCTTTCCTCACTTTATGTTTTTGTTTGCTTTGTCAAAGATCAGTTGACTGTAAGTATTTGGCTTTATTTCTGGGTTCTCTATTCTGTTGCATTTGTCTATATGTCTGTTTTTATACCAGTATCATGCTGTTTTGGTGACTTTGGCCTTATAGTATAAAGTCAGGTAACCTAATGCCTCCAGGTTTGTTCTTTTTGCTTAGTCTTGCTTTGGCTATGTGGGCTTTTTTTGGTTCCATATGAATTTTAGGATTGTTTTTTCTAGTTCTGTGAAGAATGATGGTGGTATTTTGATGGGAATTGCATTGCATTTGTAGATTGCTTTTGGTGGTATGGTCATTTTCACAATATTGATTCTACCCATTCATGAGCATGGGATGTGTTTCCATTTGTTTGTATCACCTATGATTTCTTTCAGCAGTGTTTTATAGTTTTCTTTGTATAGGTCTTTCATCTCCTTGGTTAAGTATATTCCAAAATATTTTAATTTTTTTGCAAGTCTTATAAAAGTGGCTGATTCTTGATTTGATTCTCAGTTTGGTCACTGTTGGTATATAGGAGGGCTACTCACTTGTGTACATTAATTTTGTATCCTGAAATTTTGCTGAATTCATTTACCAGTTCTAGGAGCTTTATGGATGAATCCTTAGGGCTTTGTAGGTATACTATCATGTCATCAGCAAACAGCAACAGTCTGACTTCCTCTTTAACCATTTGGATGTCCTTTATTTCTTTCTCTTGTCTGATTGCTCTGGCTAGGACTTCTAGTACTACATTGAATAGAAGTGGTGAAGGGGGGCACATTCTTCAGATAAAAAGTTTCTCTTTTTTCTTCCACAGTGCCACTACTATTCCAATCAATGCCTATGATTCTAGCATAGCCATGATCAAGTGGCTCATGACAGCAAAAACTCACAAGCATGTGGAAAGTGTGAGAGATGTGAGCAATTTGAAATGGCACCACCTCAAAATACACTGATATTCTCTGCTATTCCATTCTCCTCAGATATGACTCTTCCCAAATATTGCTATGGCAAAAAGCAGTCACATGGATATCATTTGTATTTAATTTTAAGATGTAATCTATGTTCTCAAAAAACTAAAAATAGAACATATACACTAGGGATATATGCCCCCTAAAAAGGAAATCAGTATCTTGAACAATATGTGCACTCCCATGTTTATTGCAACACTATTCACAATAGCCAAGATACGGAAGCAATCTATATTTCCACAACAGATGAAAAGATTAAAAAAAAAAAAGTGGTATATATACACAAAGGAATACTACTTAGCCATAAAAAAGAATGAAATCCTGCATTGAAGACCACATGGATGAGCTTGGAGGACATTAAGTAAAAATAAGCAAGGCACAGAAAGATACATAATGCATGTTCTCACTCAAATGTAGAAGCTAAAAAAATTGATTTACCAGGCATGGTGGCCCATACCTGTAATACCAGCATTTCGAGAGGTTGAGGCAGGAGGATCTCTTGAGCCCATGAGTTCAAGACCAGCCTAAGCAACATAGTAAAACCCCATCTCTACTAAAAAAAAAAAAAAATAAAATAGAAAAATTAGCTGAGTATAGTAGCTCATGCCTGTAGTCCAAGCTACTTGGGAGGCTGAAGCAGAGGGATCAACTGAGCTGGGAGTTGGAGGCCACAGTGAGCTATGATTGCACCACTGCACTCCAGCCTGGGTAACAGAGTGAGGCCCTGTCTCAAAAAAAGAAAAAAAAAAGTTGACCTCATAGAAGTAGAGAATACAACAGTGGTTACTGTTAAGTTGGGAAGGGTGAGGCGGGTAGGAAGATGTTGGTTAACACAGCGGTCACCAATGTTTTTGGCATCAGGGACTGGTTTTGTGGAAGACAATTTTTCCACAGGACAGCGTGGGGATGGTTTCAACAAAAGACATTAGACTCTCACAAGAAGCTGGCAACCCAGATACCTCGCATGTGCAGTTCACAACAGGAACAGGATTTGTGCTACTATGAGAATCTATATGAGAATCTAGTGCCACCACTGATTTGACAGGAGCCAGAGGTCAGGCTGTAATGCTCTCTTGCCCACTGCTCACCTCCTGCTGTTCAGCCAGTTCCTAAGAAGCCACGGACCAGTACTGGTCCACAGCCCGGGGTAACAAAATTATGGCTAAATAAGAGGAAAAAGTTCTAGTATTCTATAGCACCATAAGATGATTACAGTTAATAGTAGCTTAATGTATATTTTCAAACAGCTAGAAGAGCAGGTTTTGAATTGTTTCTAACATGAATAATGTTTGAGGTGACAGATATGCTAATTACCCTAATTTCATCATTATTATGTGTATCCAAATACCACACTGTGCCCCCTAAAAAGATGCGACTATTATGTCAATTAAAAATAAAAAAGAATAGCCCTAATAGCCTATTCAAGTAAAAAAGTAACCTATGATTTTTTTGCAGCAAAATTTAATATTTTAATAATAAATATAGTGTTTAATGTTAACTACATTATAAATTACCCAAATTGGAGGTATCTGTTTCTTCATTATATAAAAATATTTTATTACAGTAATATGATTAAAGGTATTAACCTCTGAAACCACTGAATGTCACGTTTGTCATATTAAACCATAAGTGGTTTCAAATATGTCTTAATGTCCATATAATTAAAACAATAGAACAAATTCAATCCTTTTCCTAAAAAGTAAAAAAGGGCAAGAAAATATGGAAATTGTTTCAAGCTTTCAAACAATATATGGAGCAACCACTGAAATTCTGTAGATGGAACAGCAGCAAGTCTACTTTGAAAGGCACTGCTGACAATGAACTTCTTTCCACAGCAATACACAATTGATTCCATAAAAACGGCAGAAGCTGCTAAACGTGTACAGATTAACATCAAAGACAAACAAGTTGACTGTAACTGAAAAAACACAAACAAATGAACAAACAAACCAAAATCATTAGGATTTTTCCCCTCCCCATTTTCCTATGATCTTTAAATCAACAGTTTCAAGCATAAAAAATATGCTCACATTGTGATATGCTAGCATTTCCTATTTTGAGAAACAATGCAACCTCCTAAACCAGGACATAAAGTCAGAATGTGTGATTTTAATTTCTGAAAAAAGAACATGCATAATTTATTACAATTCTGAATACTCATCTAAAATATTTAAAGACAAAAAAAATGGAGCACAGCCTCCTACTGAGAAAATTATCCTTCCTCCCAATTTCAATTTTTATATCTGACATCAAATCCCTGTTTAAAGTTTCCTTAGGTCATTTTAAAAATAAATAAAATATTGTTTCATTTTTAAAAAGTTGTTAATGCCCAGTTGATACTGCAGTTGTAAATGATATGAAATTTCTCGTGTGATGTTTTAGTCCACTTTCTGTTTCTTATAACAGAATACCAGAAACTAGGTAATTTATAAAGAAAAGGAATGTATTTCTTACAGTTATGGAGACAGAGAAGTCCAAGGTCGAGGGGCCAGATCTCGAGAAGTCGAGAGCCTTCTTGCTGGCAGGGGATCTGTGCAGAGTATGGAGGCAGCATAGGGTGTCACATGGCAAGGAGGCTGAGCATGCTAACATGCTTACTCAGGTCTTTCTTCCTCTTCTTATAAACCACCAGTTCTACACTCCTATGATAACTCATTCATCCATTTATCCAATAACAAATCAATCTATAAGTGGATTAATCCATTCATAAGAACAGAGTACTCATGATCCAGTCTCCTCTTAAAGGCCCCACATTGGAGATTCAATACTGTCACATTGAGGATTAAGTTTCCCATACACGAAATTTGGGGGACACATTCGAATTATACCATGTGGTAAAGGCTACTCTTGATCTTTGTTGTTTAAAGCTAGAGAACTAATGGCCAGGCACAGTAGCTCATGTCTGTAATCAAAGCACTTTGGGAGGCCAAGGCAGGAGGATCACCTGAGGCCAGGAATTCAAGACCAAACTGGGCAACAAAGCACTCCATCTCTTTTTTGAAAAAAATATAATAAGATAAAATAAGATGAAATAAAGTTAAAGTACTATTTCTAGAAAACATTAAATGCAATTTCACTATCTGAGAAAAATAGCTTTCTTGTGGAAATTACTACCAATAAAGAAATCAAGAGATGTTTTCATTTACCTACAGTAAGAAGTGATTACCTTCATATTAGCACTTTCTAATCTTTTCAAAAAGGATAGAAGAAATTAACAGTTCTCGCAGTGGAGAAGAGCCACAATTCTTGGATATGTAAATCTATGTTAATCAAAGATTAATTATGCCACATATTTCATGGCTAATAGGAGAGAAAGAATGCTGACCACTAGGCAAGGAGAGGATGTTTAACTGACATTCATATTGATATAGATATAATGGGCACTGTCAATGACAACGAGTAATGATGATTTCTTAGGAAAGCATGTTCAGAGTTTTGCACATCACTGATTATCCCATTTTTATCTATTACACTTTTTGAAAAGAAAGACCCATTCTCTTAAATTGCCTAGTTAGAAAGTACTCTTTATGCAATAATGTTAATCTATCTTGATTTCTAAATATTTTAATAATGTCCTTTTTAAATTTTCTGCACAATATGATATTTTTGTTTTTTTGAACCACAGCCACTCCACCCTCACCCACACCCAGGATCAGAGATTAAAGCAAATGATTCTTTACACTCTCTCAAAAATAAATCCAGACTTTGGAAAATTACACAGTAATGTACAAGCATATAAAAACTCAAGGTCAGAAGTAATTTCAATAATTGCAGGGAGCTCTCTGGAGGTATCTGCCTGTAATTTAACAACCAACTATGGATGTAAACCGAGACAGTGATACTATCGTTATGCACCACGAAATTTTCCTAAGAGCTTTGATCAGATTCCCCTAAATAGTTTATGCATGTCTCTGTATGCAATCATAGGCGCTGACCTGGAATAATTAAAATGAAAATAATCAGTGCTGTATCTGTCTTAACATATACAAATTCGGTTTATCAATGTGAAAGCAGATCTGCAAAACTCAGTTGTCAAAAGGTGGCCTACGGTATTTTCATGACAGAGAATCTTTGTTAGGTTTGTTAATGTAACATGTGCAATGGAGGCTGGTGTATGTAATTAGTTTCCTCCTCAGAGAGATACTAGGAAGGTGGACGACAGTACCCCGGGAACTCACACGTCGGTCTAGGGCCCTTTTTGTCCCCCACCCTCACCTCACTCCTCAGACATGCACTCTCCCATCACATTTGAAGCCCCGGTGGGCAGTTTTCTAGGGTCGTTTCACTGGAGCGTTAAATGGCATCTGACGCCACCGGGCAGCCTGGGGTTGGATGCCATAGCCGCCAGCACCCACGGCTCACCTCCAGCTTGTGGTTGATTTGAGACACAGACTGGGCTTTGTGGCAAAGCTGTGCAAAGCAGGAGCTCAGGCTGGTCATCTTCTGTCGCCCCTCATAAGTGATGTCCGCTTGGTCTGGATCGATCTCTCCCAGGAGCAGATCCACATCCACAAAAGCTTTGTCGAACTCCTTCTCCAGCACCTCCAGCCACCGGAACATGGATACCCCGCCAGGGGCCCCCACGGAGCAGGAGGCGCCCCCTGGGCCCCCTCCGGCTGCTGCTGGGCATGGACCGCCCGCCGACATGGCGCCGTCAAGGGCCTCTCCCGACTGCTGAAGACCCTCGCCGCCCCCCGCGCACGAAGGGAACTGCTGGGACTGAGGGGACCCCCGCGCGCGCGGGCACACTCCGTCACCTCCCTTCACCTCGCGCCGTTAACGCCAGCAGCACAGTCACAGAACCGCAGGAGTAACGAGGCTGAAGCTGAGGCGGCAACGGCGGCGACACACGGAAGACTCAGTCAGTCCCACCTCCCAGCCTGCCCCCGCTGCGCATGCGTAGCGAAGAGCTGGGCGGACGCAGCCACGAGGGACAAAATAGGCGGGGACAGGATGCGATCTTGGCCTATGAAAGGCCTCAGCTTGGGAGCGGCCTGTCAGCGGCCATATTAACAACTGGCAAACTACGGCTTGAATCCCTGAGAAACGGAGGCGCGTGGTTTCTGCACCCTGGTTGGAAAGGCCCGAGGATGAGAAAGGTGTCCACGTCGCAGAAAGGAAGGATTTCCGCCGGTTTGACTTAACAGTTGGCGGGAGCCGTTCCAAAATCCTCCCAGAAAGTTGCTGCGGTGGCATCTAGGGTCAGGGAGGGGAGAGCAAGGAAGGGCGGTGTGAGCATGCGCAATAGCCACGTTTTTACCTTCTCGATTCCAGTTCCTGGATAGGATGGAGTGGGTGTACACACTGGCTGTTCTTGGTAAACCAGACCCCAAATTCCAGGTGTGGACTGCCTAAAGCTGCGCATTGAAGCGGCTGACCAGATTTTGCGGAATTAATAGAAGACTTTTTGTCTTGTGATTAAGAGTCAGGTAGACCTGGATTCAATTCTTACCCTCTGTCACATACTACCTGTGTCGCCTTTCATGTATTAACCTCGAAACCAAGTTTCCAAATTTTACTTAACTCAGTTGTAAGGTAAAACGCTTAGCGTCACTTCTTGGCACACGGTATTCCTCTTAATACACCATAGGTCACACATTTCAAAAGCAACTACAGTAGTGCTTCACTTAAGATGGGGATATGTTCTTAGGAATGTGTCCTTAGGTTAATCATCCCTTAGGGAACATCCTAGAGTGTATTTAAACACAAACCTAGATAGTATAGCCTACTACACACCCAGGCTATATGATGTAGCCTATTGCTCTTAGGCTGTAAACCTGTACAGCATGTTGCCATTCTGGATACGGTAGGCGATTATAACACAGTGGTAACTATTTGTGTACTTAAACATATCTAAACATAGAAAAGGTACAGTCATATACTCTTATAGGATCACCATAGTTTATGCGATCCATTCATTGCTGAAGCCTTGTTATTTGGCACATAACTGTACTTTAAAAGGTGTATTTATTTGAAAACTGGTAGTGTCCTCACACGTGACATTTCAGAAAATCAAAATTGTGAATTCATATATTTACAAATATATTGAATGCAGAGCTCTGTTGCGACATTGAAGACACAAAAATGAATGAGACATGACCCTTACTCAAGATAGGCTAGTGAGGCTACTACCCCTCAACTATAACTTTAACTTGAATTTTTCAGTGCCTTTAAAAGTATCCAGCAACTCCTCTCTTTACATTCTGCCTACTTCCAGTTCAAGGGTAGACAGTCCTAGAAAGGGAAAGAGAAACCTGTGTGATTAGAGTAGGCTGGTGGAAACTCCTGCATTACCTAGAAGCATATTTAGCTGAGTGCAGTCTGCTGTTATCTGTTCTTGGGGCAGACCCTTACGGTTAATCACAACCCAAAGCCTGCATTGTGTGCCCTTCGCTGATGCAAGGCAACTGAGGAGCAAGAAATCACAATTTTATTATTGCAGTCTTTGTACTGCATGGCAGACTGGTTAGCATGAAGCAATAAAGTCCTTTGGCTTGAGCAAACTTAGCTAATCAAAATGGATCATGAGATCCTGACCTTAGACTTAAGTAGGGACCTTCATACAGGTTTTAGTACACAATAAATAATGTAAAACTAAAATTTACATCTTTCCCCATTCCCTTCCAAAATTAGCTTTATTTTCATCTACAATATTTGCAAAAACATTGCTACAGCTATCAAGCTCCCAGCCACTTTATCTACACATAATACAGTTAGCAATGCATTTTCAGGAACGCGAAGTAAATAATTTAAAATTAGCAGGGCAGGGGGAGAATACATCGAACCACAATTATAATAGCTTTCAATTATTGAGTCCTTACTATGTGTTAGGCATTATGCTATTTTCTTTAATTCTTTGATCCTTACAAAATCCTATGAGGTAGGTATGATCACGTCTTTTATTGTTGTTGTTGAGACAGGATCTTGCTCTGTCGCCCATGCTGCAGTGCAGTGGCACGATCACAGCTCACTGCAGCCTCACTTTGTTGACCAGGCTGGTCTGGAACTCCTGGACTCAAACAATCCTCCTGCTTAGGCCTCCAAAAGTGCTGGGATTACAGGTGTGAGCCACCACACCCAGTAATCACTTTTTAACAGCTAAAGTCACAGACAGCTTAAGTGTCTTGGTAAGGTCACAAAACTAGAAAGAGATTGAGGTAGTATATCAATCTAGGTGTCTTTTTCTCCTAAGTTGTTGCTGTTAACCATGTAATACAGAAGAATGAAGGAATCTATTTCTTCTTGTAAAAGTTAGCAGTATAATAAACTAGCAAGTAAGTTCCAAAAGTTCTTTTTAATTTCTTCCTAGTTAGAAACCATATACAAATCTATTAACATATAAGAACCATTACCAAAAATTGTAATAACTCATTTTCTATTACTTGTAACTCTAATTTATATGAACCACACTTGAGTATAAATTTCATTTCTTTAAAAAATCAACTTCCAGCTACATTGTGTGGGTGCAGCTGAGTGACATTTTAAGTGTTTATATGTTTCCAGTGCTCTAATGGTTTGTGGGTACCCCCATTTTCGAGATTGCAGAACCCAGCTTCGTATCTATTACCTTTACAACTTCAACAAGTCATAGACTCATCTGTGTCTCAGACGAGTTTCATGTCATGTTGTCCCTTCTCATTACTGTAGTATGTAGACATAATCTTTTGCCCACCTGGATTGAGGTTATGCAAATCTGCAAGTCACAGCAGAACATGGATGTGAAAAGGAGGGCTTATCATCGGGGCTTGATGTTCAAGTGCTGCCATCTGTTGTCGGTGTACTCTATCTACACTTACTGCCTTATCCTTACCTACTCTGGAATTGGAGATTGCATGTAATGTCAATACTTGAGCGATTTGTTTTTCCACAGATATTAAAGTCTTGATACTTCTATTTGCAGTTGGATTGGCAGAAGCTTCCAATAACTGTTTTATGAATCATGCTTATGTGATTTTTAAAAAATATAACTTAAATGTGACACTCTTGTTTTAGGAACTTATCCCTACAGAGTTTTGTCACAAGGCATTACTAAAAATAAATTGGTTGGAGACTGAGGAAATTGGGGAAAGAGAGATGATGCTAAGGGTTTCTTTGATAGGTACTGGTAATTAACTGCGGGGTCAGTGTATAGTTTAAATATTTATGGAGCATCATTGATTGCAAGGGCACTGTAATAAAAGGGTGTATAAGACCCACCTTGGACTGGAGAGGGAGATTATCACTTATTGAACTCTACTGTGTTCCAGGCCCTGTACCTAACTTCACGTGTTTCATTTAGTTTCCAGTAACCCTACCAAGAGAAGGGGTTAAGTATATGCTGTTAGTGGCTATAACAAGTTGTATGTATGGTGAATGAAGAAAGTAAAAATCCACTAGCATTTTATTTAATCAATGTAGGAAAGGTTTGGAGTGTTGTATTCATACATATTATTTATATTTATTGAATTTATTATTCATATTACCAACAGTTTTGAAAATTTCAGATACATATGCTAAAGAAGTAAGTTTAGGAATCCAAAGGGATTTATTAGCCTTATTCTCCTGATTATTTCCCTTATATAAACAAAGGGATCTGGGTGTGGCGGTGTGCACCTGTAGTCACAACTACTTGAGAGGCTGAGGTGGGAGGATTTCTTGAATCTAGGAGTTTGAGACCCTCCTGGGCAACATAATGAGATCATGTCTCAAAAACAAACAAAAAACAGGACAACTGTTTGCTCTCTTGTTTTTAAAACTTGAGAATTTTGGTACAGTGATTTAGAATTAGCTCAGACACCTCCTCTTCCAGGAAGCCTTCCTTCTTTCTCCTCATATGATGCTATGGGCTCCATCCCCAATTAGTTTCCTGTAAATATCTTTTACCGCATTTATCATATTATTTTGGAGCTTGTTAGACTGTGAGTTCCTTGGCAACAATAACTGTATCTTACTTATCTTTGTATCCCAGGTCCTAACACAGGACCTAGAATGTGGTAGGAATGCTATAACTATTTGTGTGATAACTTCAATAATTAAGGTATTCGATCATTCTACCTAGGAAACTAACAGTCACTTCACTTTTCAAGACATACTTGTGATACATGCTAGAGAGCATAGCTAAATATTAATATATTTTTATATTGCCTCAGAGATTAGGATATCTATAAATTACATATTAGTCTTTCTTTTCCAAACCTAAAGTTTTATTTTACAATGATCTGGCTTATTTGACTAATAAATCCATTATAATTTAGGCTTCAAGGATTCTTTTGCTTATTCCATTGTTAAAATTTACTAGATACTATGTTTTGTATAGTATATTCAACCTAAAACCAAAACATAATAAATTTTACACTATCAAAGACAGACTATAACTGCTTTTCCCCTTTTCCCCGATGTACATTCTTCATCTACCACTTCCCACAGCTCCAGGTTTGCTTCAGCCTTGTCTGAAACCACCATTTATCAACAGTAGTATCAGAGTTTCCTACTCATGTTTTCTTCTTCTTTTGTCCACTGTGAAGTCACTGTTTATTTCTCAAGTGTCAGACTGTATGGATCAAACATAGACTTTCCTTCATCACCTTCTGTTTTTTTTTTTATAAATTAGTCTACTAAGGGCCTCCGAAACAGTTGTATTCCAAATACCCTTCAACAATAATTATTTTTTCGAGTTTTGACTGAAAAGTATAAGTTATCTAATTAGAAATTTCAGCTGGGTGCCATGGCTCATGCCTGTAATCCCAGCACTTTGGGAGGTCGAGGCAGGCAGATCACCTGAGGTCAGGAGTTCGAGACCACCCTAGGCAACGTGGTGAAACCCCGTCTCTACTAAAAATACAAAAGTGAGCCAGGCGTGGTGGCACTCACCTGTAATCCCAGCTACTCAGGAGGCTGAGGCATGAGAATCACTTGAACCTGGGAGGCAGAGGTTGCAGGGAGCCGAGATTGCACCATTGCACTCCAGCCTGGGCAATGAGAGCGAAACTCCGTCTCAAAAAAAAGAAAAAAAAAAGGAAAAAGAAAAAGAAACTAAAAGTCAGAAAAGTGTAGTGAAACTATTACACAAAAAGCTCTATCACAACAATTGCTGGAGATAGTATTTGTTTTGTCCCCAGATGATTGTAACTCACTCAGAATTTGTTTGGCTTTTGTGGCCATGGTGAGCAGAGGGAGTTAGGATGAAAAGACTTCTATAGTGAAAATTTGTCACTACATGTGGGATACTCTCCATATTTGAGCTCCCTTCCTCTAGGGAATTTCCCATTTTATGTTACTTGGTGAGAGAGAGAATTCTTCTTCCATAATAAGCTGAAAATGTCAGATGATCACTTTCCTGACTCTGTGACAGGTAGAGCACAGGGCTGTGACCTAGACTCAGCTAACTAGAATTATCCACCTGAAATTTTTAACATGGAGATAGTGAGGCAGGATTGGGAGCATTCCTTTTGGTAGGGATTGGAGAGGGAGTGAAGATAGCAGTTTCAGCAGCAGCCATGCTAGTGTTGGTGTTGTGCTAGATTCAGGTTTGTGGTAGAGGCTGGTGCACTCGTGTTCTGTAGTGGCAGCAGGAATGGTGTCCTCACTCAACTGAGGTGCAATTTTGCAATTTTGCTTGTGATTCTGACTATGCAGCCTTCCTTTATTCTTGGCCATTTCCAATTCACATTCTCCAGGCATTCTTATACTTCATTGTGCTACCCAATTTTCTTTCAGTAATTCTTTTTCTGCTTTAATTGGCCAGAATTTGTTTCTGTTGCTTGCAATCCATAACTTAAACTGATACGCCAACTATCATTTGTTGAGATCCTACTTTTTGCCCATCAACTTGATAAACTTTAGTTTGCTTCATCTATTCCTTTCTCTAAAGTGGAAATTATTTCCCCCATTTTATCTTGTAGAAGAACAAACATGAGGCTTAGAGAAGTTAAGTAGTAGAAGAATTTAATTTTCTGTGTTACTTTCAACGTATGCTCTTTATGCAACGTGCTTCAGAAGGAGAAAATATATTTAAAAAGAATCATATACATAATTTGTTTAATCTTTAAAATGTCTTTTATCAGAGACAGGGGTTTTCAATTTTTTTTTTTTTTTTTTTTTTTTTTTTTTTGAGACGGAGTCTCACTGTCCTCCAGGCTGGAGTGCAGTGGCGCCATCTCGGCTCACTGCAAGCTCCGCCTCCCGGGTTCACGCCATTCTCCTGCCTCAGCCTCCCGAGTAGCTGGGACTACAGGCGCCCGCCAACACGCCCGGCTAATTTTTCGCATTTTTAGTAGAGACGGGGTTTCACAGTGTTAGCCGGGATGGTCTCGATCTCCTGACCTCGTGATCCGCCTGCCTCGGCGTCCCAAAGTGCTGGGATTACAGGCGTGAGCCACCGCGCCCGGCCAGGGGTTTTCATTTTTTAGAAGTCTTCTGTTTAGCTCCTGGCCAATCGGTTTTATTGCAGGAATAATGAGCTGATGCTTGTAATTCCAGATCAGGGAAAATTTGAGTTAGTTCGTTTCCTTTTTGGAATTCAGTTTCCTGTGTACAATGGAAAAATGTGGTGTTGATTAGATTATCTCTAAAGTTCCTTCCAGTGCTGACATCCTATGAAAGTAATAAAAATGATCCACACATCAAAAACAAAGTTAAATACTCCTTTTTTTTTTTTTTTTTTTTTGAGACTGAGTCTCACTGTGTCACCCAGGCTGGAGTGTAGTGGCACAATCTCGACTCACTGCAACTTCTGCCTCCCGGGTTCAAGCGATTCTCCTTGCCTCAGCCTCCTGAGTAGCTGGGATTACAGGTGTGCGCCACCAGGCTCGGCTAATTGTATTTTTAGCAGAGACAGGGCTTCGCCATGTTGGCCAGACTGGTCTCAAAATCCTGATGGCAGGTAATCTGCCTGCCTCGGCCTCCCCAAGTGCTGGGATTACAGGCGTGAGTACCTGGCGCTGCCAAATTCTCCTCCTAACTACAACAGAAGTTTCCGCATATTTATTTATCCTGGTATGATATGCCTTCTATGGTCATTACTCTCAAAATACTACATGCAAGATATTAGGTAACTTCAGAGTTTAGGCCAATTATTTCTTGCCCTTTGCTTTTAATAAATCAGGGAAGGCCAGTATCCATCTCATAGAGGTACACATTTGTTATGTACAGCAGCATTTTTAATGACGGCACTATGGACAGTTTGGACTCCATAATTCTTCATTGTGGGGGCTATCCTGTGCATTGTAGCCCCCACAGTGAAGCAGCATCCCTGGCCATTACCCACTAGAGGCCGATAACACTGCCCCTCTCCCCCGTATTTTGATGATAATCAAAAATAATGTTTCCAGTGGAGAACATGGTGGCACCCCTGTAGTCTCAGTTGCTCTGAAGGAGTGAAGTTGGGGAGGTGGAGGTTGCAGTGAGACAAGATTACATCACTGCATTGCAGCCTGGGTAACACAGAGTCTATCTCAAATAAAACAAAATAGAAAAGTTTCCAGAGAGAGAGGGAAAATAAGGATAAAGAAAGCAAGAGAGGGATATCCCAGCTACTTGGGAGGCTGAAGCATGAGAATGGCTTGAACCAGGGAGGCAGAGGTTGCAGTGAGCCAAGATTGTGTCACTGCACTCCAGTCTGGGCAAATAGAGTGAGACTCCATCTCAAAAAAAGAAAACTAAAAAAAATAAAATGAGAGGGAGTATCCAGCCTAGAGAATCTGAACAAACAATCTACTCCAATCCAAATTCAAATACAAAGCATATTTCTTGAGATTGCTATCTTTCTTGTGTTGAAAGACTAAAGCTAGATTCTGAGCTCTATTTTGAACACAGTTGCTGGGTGTGTCGTTGAGTTGCCATACTTGAGAGGCACCCTTGTTCCTTCACTTGGTTCCCTCTTACCCAAAGGAGTCAAGTAATAACAATCATGTAAGGTGTTGTTAAAATCTTTGGAAAAAAGTACTGCATGCTTCACACTTAGCCTTAAGCTCCAGAGATAAAAACACGAGAGCTTTATACTTGTGGTCCTTAGTCAATGTGTGAAAACTCCAAAAGTCGGCAGAAAGTGAACTAGAAGCTGAGCAATGGTGGCAGCTCCTGTATTCCTCCTAGCATAATAAAGATGAGACAGGCTTGCCATCTCTAGAAGAGGAACAACAAAACATGTATGTCCTTCAAGCATAAAGGCTGTACCTTTGTTTTATATTTTCTCTGCAGTCTGTAAGTATCAACAAGACTTTGCCTGCTATCAAAAAAAAAAAAATTGACTTTTCAGCTTAACCTAAATAAATAGGTATGTTCTGGGAAAAGACAGATCTTTTATTCTTCAAAACATTCTGAAGCTTTTTATGATCAAAGTTATTTACATTTATAATGCTAAAATCAAAAAACAACTTAAAACTCCACTAGTTAGAAAGTAGTTAAATTATAGACAGTACTTTTGATGGACTATTATTTAGACATTTAAGTTTTTATTTATAGAAACTGAAATAATATGCAAAAATATAATAGTGAAAAGAATAAAATGTAAAGTTATGAGTATGTTTACAAACATGAGAAAATAAAACTTCACAGTGTAAAATATTATAAATAATGCTAGAATTGCAGTAAAGGTATAGAAATGCCATGAAAAAGAAGAAAAAAATTATATAGTGTAATTTCAAGGCTCAAAGAAAAAGGAATCCTATGGTCACCAACAAAGGATGAAGAATGGAACTCATCACTGTGCTGCATAACAGAAAAATTTGCTGTTATCAATGGCAGATGAGAGGACAGGATTTTGCAGGCATTTTATTTCAAGTAACTGGATATGTATTTACCTTTATAGTAATGCAGAAACATGTGCAATAAGTATTACTCTTTGTCTTTTCAAAGCCTAAGCATAGAAAAGAAGAAACTGGAAATGTGATGTTTGACTTTGGGATGTGACTCAAGGTGACAATTCTTCCCTCCTTGCTGTTTTTTTTTTTTTTTTTTTTTTTTTTTTTCCAAATTTTCTTTCATTGAGCATTACTTTGATTGCTAGAAATTCTAAAAATCAAAAAGAAATTCTATTACTCAACAAAAGAAACAACAAAGTGTTCTGAAAGTCAGAATAGTTACCAAAATCTCTTTACCATTCCTTATCTGTGATAGTTAAAGAAAACAGAGGAAAAACAATTATTAAAAAGAATACAAGTCTTTGGAGAAAAGCACACAGAAATCCTTACTCTGGAAATAAAATAAATTGATTATTTGATCAAAGAAACTTTTAGCTTCCGTGAAAGGAAAATATCCTGGGCCCCCAAAATCACTAAACTAAAGGTAAAAGCCAAGCTGAGAACTACTTAGGGCAAACCTGCCTCCCATTCTATTCAAAGTCACCCCTCTGCTCACTAAGATAAATGCCTATCTGATTGCCTCCTTCGGAGAGGATAATCAGAAACTCAAAAGAATGCAACCATTTGTCTCTTATCTACCTATGACCTGGAAGCCCCCTCCCTGCTTCAAGTTGTCCCACCTTTCCAGACCAAACCAATGTTCATCTTACATATGTCGATTGATGGCTCATATCTTCCTAAAATGTATAAAACCAAACTGTGCTCTAACCACCTTAGGCACATGTCATCAGGACCTCCTGAGGCTGCGTCATGGGCGTGTGTCCTCAACCTTGGCAAAATAAACTTTCTAAATTAACTGAGACCTGTCTCAGAATTTGGGGGTTCACATTTTGGTAACCAAGGAGGGATTCTGAGTGTAGGTGTCCCTCACCTTTGACAAATCTCCTATGGGTGCTTGGTACCAGCTTCAGCAATCTTTATGACTCAAACCAATAGAACAATTTGCTGAGGCCTGGAAGCATCCCCTCCAGAGAATCCCTGATCTCCCAAAATTTGGTTGAGAACTAGTTTATTTTGCTGTACAACTTTTTTTTTTTTTTGGAGTTTTACTTGTTTCCAACACAAGGAAGGCAAGTTTTTCTGCTTCCACTACGATGGTAGGCAGTGTTATATATAAAGTTTTGGTGCCGCAAAAGAAATAGCACTCGAATGTAAAATTTTCGTTTAATTCTCAGCAAGGCAAGGTACTTCTATAGAAGGGTGCACCCTTACAGTTGGAGCAATGGTGAGCGCACACCTGGACAAGGGAGGGGAAGGGGTTCTTATCCCTGATGCACGTGGCCCCTGCTGTTGTGTCGTTCCCCTATTGGCTAGGGTTAGACAGCACTGGCTAAGCTAATTCTGATTGGCTGGCTAATTTAAAGAGAATGAGGGAGTGAGTGCTTTGGTGGGAGTCAGGGCAGAGCTGGTAGCAGGTAATTGGAATGAGTTAGGGTGGAGCAGGTGATTGGAATGAGTTAGGGTGGAGCAGGTGATCAAAATGAGTCAGGGTGGAGTAGGTAATCGAAAAATGTTGCTTTACAAGGAAGTTAAATTTAAAAGTAGAAGGCAAAGAATTGAACATACTGACATATTAATTATTTGAAAAGAAATTTAGAACTCATATCTAACAGCAGGTAACTCCTTTGGGGAGTTTGAGCTTGCTTCCAACGGGAAGAAGAAGTTTTCTTTCCCTGCTTCTAGGAAGGTAGAGAGCAGTCTTCAGCTTGAGACCCAATCCTAGATAAGTAAGTGAATTGTGGTTTGTCTTGGCTAAAGTTAAGATTAACAACCAGCTGGTCTTAATTTCTCCTTACCATTAGAGCGCTCAGTAACTATATAAGTTGTGTGATCATTTGTTTTGCTTAACTTTTTTATTTGCTGCTGTTTGTTTCTATTTTTGTTGTTGTTTTGGTCTTTTTACCACTGGGTTTGATCAGCTCTATCTGACCTGATTAAATCTGAAGGAAGTTCCAAATTACAGGGAACGAGGCCTCTGAAGTGGCTAAATTCCTACCAAAAAAAAAAAAAAAAAATGGTGGTGTGGTCGGGGGGGAAAAATGGCCAGCAAAAGGGGAAAAAAAAGAGGAAAGATTTTTCATTTTGACTACGAAGGGGCTTTATTTACATAACAAGGCCACCTTTTACTAGCCAGATCAAGCTGAAAGAGCAATGGCTATACTTCTGAAATTGCAGCAATTTTTCCTAGTTGAAATACGGTAATGACATTTTAAAAGATTTTTTTAAAGCAACTCAGTGGTTAAAAGTCAGCTTAATTAAAAGCTAACATCCAAGATGTGTGTGTGTGTGTGTGTGTGCATATGTGTGTGCCCGTATTTAAAAGGCCTTCATGTTTTTGTTTTTGTTTTTCTCCTAAAACCATGTCTCTTTTTGAGCAAAAGTTGTTTTTTTCTTCCTCAGTTGACTGAATTCTGTTTTCTTCATTTACTTCTGCTGTCTCTCCTTTCTCTTGCACCCTCTGCTGCATAAGGGACTTAAAATAGTTTATAATAGCCTGGGGCTCCTTAAAGAAAATGAAGGCACCAGACTCCCTTTTGGGGAGAAACCTGTTTTTCCTTATGGGGAATCTATTTAATTACAGGGATATATTCTCCTCCAGGGGCGGTCTCCAGTCCTCTCTCAGGAGGGATCGCGCTCTTCTGCCTCATTGCAGTGGCTTCAGGGATGAGAAATTGAGACCCACCCAGTGTGACAAATAAACCTGGACTCTCAGCAACGCAGAGAAAAAAAAAGAAACTGGCCAGCAACCTAGCCACATATGTCTCAGTTCTTAAACTGCTTAATTTTATATTGTGTTAACTGCTTTTTTATTTTTGACTAAAATCATTACCACAAGAGAAGTTACTCTTGGGTTTTAAAGGAAGAGTGTGGTTTAGACACTTAAAAGTGTCTTTAAAAATTTTTTTTCAAGTGTAAAAGCATCACATGGTCTAACCTCACAATAATTTTCCCTTTTTGAAGATTTACAATTCAGTATGGGCTCTGCCCAGAGCTTGGAGATCCATAGATAGTCCCTATTTAAATAAGATTGGTCTCCTTATACAATCCTATGATAGATTTCTATAATTTTATGTTTGATTTTGCATCCACCTTTAATCTTCCTACAGCACCACCAAACTTACTCTTTCTGTACCTTATGATGTAAATTTTGCTATTTGAATTTCACTTGAGTTTTTTACTTTAACATGCAAATTTAAGGCTATTTAACTGACTACTGCCTAGGGTTGTGAAACAGGTTATCAAGAATACAAAAGTCTCAGATAGGGAAAAATAAAAGGTTTTTATAAATCTATAAAATGTACTTCTATCGGCATGCCTAATACATTTAGGTATTTATGCATTGCCAACACAATATTTCACTACTGATATAAAAGAGGTCTAATTAATTGGCTTAAGAAAATAAAAACACTTGAATCAGATCCTTTATCAGGAAAAAAGAAAAGACTAGTCAAATGCTTTCTTATTTACATAAGCAAAATCTTTAGTAAATAAGCTAGCTTTAAAATTATTGGTAAAGTAATATTAGAAATGTCTGAAGAATTGCCAGCATACATATTTGTTGCATTTATTAATCAAGCAATTTCATACTTATCCCTGCCAAATACTACAAGGTGTCAAAATTGGGCATAGAGGTTACGAAACTATAAACCCGGCCCAAGACAGAATGATCTTTGCTTGTGTAATTTTTAATAAATAAGACATTGATATTGGTTTAATAAAGATAGCTACATCTTGAATTTAGTAAGATTACCATAACTTCTAATCTTGCAGCTTTAGCTGGTCTAGTCCACAGATGTAAAAAGTAAAGCAGAGGTTCCTCTTCAAAGACTTTCCTCCCCATTTAATTAGGAATAAATAGTAACTTCTCTTAGAAGCAAAATTTATTCAAAGACCTGTGCTAACATTCTTAAATATCTGCTAGCTGTGATAAAGAAATCAATGCACTTTATGCTCTTAGCTCCCACAATTTAGCCTAAATATTTGCCCTGACATACTTATACTGGTCCAAGCAAGCATTAGGTCATAGCATATTCCTCTTCCTTATTTGAAGCTGTTTTTACCTTTCTCAGCATTCCACAAGTTACTTCTTCCTTCCTTTGTTCCCCTCTACCTTTGCCTCTTTTAAAAAGTTCTAAGTTGCTAACCAGTCGGGACAAATACAGAATGTAAGGTCCCATTCCAGCCAGTGGAAACTGGACACAGCAGTAGGATGGACATGTCAGGTTATAAATAACCCTGTCTCCTTTGTTCGGTGTGCTCTCATGGCAAAACTGCTGGTGAGTGTATCATTTCTACAGAAAGTATAAAAATGGCCTTGCTGAGTAAATTAAATTTATGTTCAAGTGCTATTTCTTTATGGCACTGGGGAACAAGCATTTCAAACAATTCGGTGGCAATCCATATGGGGATGTATTCTTCTCCAGGGGCGGTCTCCAGTCCTCTCTCCTGAGGGAGTGTGCTCTTCTGCCTCACTGCGGTGGCCTCAGGGATGAGAAATTGAGACCCACCCAGTGTGACGAATAAACTCGGACTCTCAGCAACGCAGAGAAAAGAAAAGAAAGAAACTGGCCAGCAAGGTAGCCACATACCGTGGTGACAACTCCATGCACAGACCAAGGAAGGAGAAGCCGCAGGGGCCAGTAAAGTATTTCCTTGGTGGTCGGGACTAAGGAAAAAGCCACAGGACTGTAAAGCATTCCTTGGTTAGGACATACCAAGGAGAGAGAAACCACAGGGGCGGTAAGCATTCCTTAGTTGGGACTAGGGAAAGAAAGCCGCAGCAGGGCCGTGAAGTATTCCTTAGTCGGGATGTCTTGCAGGTTAAAAAGAGGTGAGAAATACCCATGGGGGCGGGGCTTGAACCTCAGAAAGAGGTGAGAAATCCCCATGGGGGGGCTGAACTTCAGAAACAGGTGAGAAATCCCCATGAGGTGGGCAGGATGGGGGAGTTAAACCTCAGAAAAAAGTGAGAAATCCCCATGGTGGGGGGCGCTGAACCTCAGAAACAGGTGAGGAATCCCAATGTGGGGGGTTGAACCTCAGAAAGAGGTGAGAAAGCCACGTGGAGGGGTTGAACCTCAGAAAGAGGTGAGAAATCCCCATGAGGGGGGGTTGAACCTCAGAAAGAGGTGAGAAATCCCCATGAGGGGGGATGGAACCTCAGAAAGAGGTGAGAAGTCCCCATGAGGGGGGGTTGAACCTCAGAAGGAGGTGAGACATCCCCATGGCAGGGAGTTGAGCCTCAGAAAGAGGTCAGAAGTCCCCATGAGGGGGAGTTGAGCCTCAGAAAGAGGTGAGAAATCGCCATGGTGGGGGTTGAACCTCAGAAAGAGGTGAGAAATCCCCATGGGGGGGGTTGAACCTCAGAAAGAGGTGAGAAATCCCCATGACGGGCATTTGAAACTCAGAAAGACGTGAGAAATCCCCACGAGGGGGTTTGAGCCTCAGAAAGAGGTGAGAAATCCCCACGGGGGGGGGGGGGGGGTTGAGCCTCAGAAAGAGGTGAGAAATCCCCATGGGGGGGTGTTGAGCCTCAGAAAGAGGTGAGAAATCCCCATGGGGGGTGGGGGTTGAGCCTCAGAAAGAGGTGAGAAATCCCCATGAGGGGCTTTGAACCTCAGAAAGAGGTGAGAAATCCCCATGGGAAGGGGGGGTTGAAGCTCAGAAAGAGGTGAGAAATCCCCATGAGGGGCTTTGAACCTCAGAAAGAGGTGAGAAATCCCCACGAGAGGGTTTGAACCTTAGAAAGAGGTGAGAAATCCCCATGGGGGGGGTTGAACATAAGAAAGAGGTGAGAAATCCCCATGAGTGGGGTTGAACCTCACACAAACCTCCCGTAGTAAGAAAAATATTCAGAACCCCCTTTTCTTTCCCTTTAGGGGAAGAAACAGTAGCTCCACTCCCGCTGGTCCCTCCCCTAGGGGAAGGGGAAAGAGAGGGGAAAACAGCAGCACAGGTCACTGGCAAAGACAAAGGAAAGACCAGCAGAGAGGAAAAAGAAACTAGGAGAGGAATTCAGAGAGAAAGAAAGCAAAAACAGCAAGCACAGCACCAAACAGCAAGGCAGGCATGCCAAGAGTTAGGTCCCACTCCCCAGCCTGGCTCTATGTGAAAAAGAGGGCAGGGACCAGTGCCAGGGGGAGAGCAGAGGAGGTGAAAGGGGCATAATTCTTGCAATTTGTGGCAGGCATCTGCCAAGCCTCTGGGCTGGTGACTGCCCGGGGCCCGGACTGCAGCTGCGCAAATCCCACCCACCCCGAGAAACTAAGTAAGAAGAAAGGAAAAAAGCAAAAAGGGGAATTGGGAGAAAAAAAAATAGGAGAAATAGATGGCAGCATGTGCACAGGGGTGGGGCCCATGCTGTGGCCTGGCCCCGCTGGTGGCAGGAGTGGGAGAACTCGGGAGGGGAAAGGGAAACGGGATGACACAGAGAGAGAGGAAAATAGAGTGCAAATGATAGAGAAATCAAGGGAAAGAGTAAGAAAGAGAGAAACTGGAGGAGACAGAAATCAAAGGAAGACACAGAGGGTGAAACTAGGAAAAGAAATAATGTAAAAGGAAGGCAGAAAGTTAAGACATGTTGAAGATTGTCTGTGAAAGTCATAAGAAATGCTATAAAAGGGAATTTATGCAAGAAATATTGTATAATTTAAATAATTAGGCCTCTTGGATGTAAAATTATTTTTAAAAACCCAGATTATGTACAAGGTATGTAAGAAAGATAAAATATACTTTTAATAACAGGATTATAAGGAGGCATAAGAATATGGATTTTTACCTACATTAAAAGGTTTAAAAAATTTTGTTTTAAAGGTTTAAACAAGTTTTAAAATGTTAATTGTAAAGGAAATTCTTTGTGTAAACATATTGGCTAAAGCTAAAGGGGTATCATCCAGTTTTTCTGTGAACTGGACATTAACATAAAAGCACAGTAAATTTTTCTTAAAGCACTAACCTGCTCTTTAACAAAAATTATAAAAAGTTAAAAAGAGTCTATAAAAGTCTTACCTTATAGTCAGACATTAAAAGTGGAAATAATGACAATAAGATTTTATAAAAATTAAGTTTCACATTAATAGCACATTAATATAAAGGTAAAATTTAACTTATCTGGTATAAAATCATACAAAAAACATTGTCAAATATAAAGTGGTGTTTAGCTTTCCTTCTTTCTTTTTTTTTTTTTTTGAGACAGAATCTTACTCTGTCGTCCAGACTGGAGTGCAGTGGTGTGATCTCGGCTCACTGCAAGCTCCACCTCCTGGGTTCCCACCATTCTCCTGCCTTAGCCTCCTGAGTAGCTGGAACTACAGGTGCCTGCCACCATGCCTGGCTTTTTTTTTTTTTTTTTTTTTTTTATTAGAGATGGGGTTTCACTGTGTTAGCCAGTATGGTCTTGATATCCTGACCTCGTGATCCGCCCGCCTCAGCCTCCCAAAGTGCTGGGATTACAGGTGTGGGCCACCGCACCCAGCCTGGTGTTTAGCTTTCTTAAGTCCCAAAAGGCAGCCAGGTAAGTCACAAGGCCCCTCAACCCCAAGGCCACAGTGTGCAGGGGCGGTGAAGGCCACAAGAAGGCCAAGACATTAAAAGGGAGCAGGGCTGCAGCATGCCCTGGGTGGTGCTGAGCAGGAATGGAGTGGGAGGCATCACCATGGGGCCTCAAGCCCCAGGATATGCAGCAGAAATTATATACTTAATTTATCTTCCACTTTCCCTTCCCTTGGAACTAAAAGTCTTTTAGTACAGGTACCACCCCTAGAAATCCAGCACACAAGCACCAGCCTGAAAACCAAGTCCTTATCAAAACATAGAAAAACCTCAAGCCACCCTGGGAAGAACCCTATTTTATGCTGTTAACCACTGAGACTGCCGTCCACACAGCCAAGAGAAAAATGGACCCAACATACTCAAGTCAAGAAAACATCCTCCTCTCAGAATCATGCATTACTGTACTAGGATCAGGCCCTAAGTTAAAGAAAGCTTAACTTTCATATACCTTCTATATTGCTTCCTTTCCTTTCCTTATTCTGTCACTAGTTCCTTTGTTATTAATATAACTAAGTCTGACACACCTTAGACCATTGCCTTTAATGCTTGCTCTGTCATACCTTGTGGAAATGTAAAAGATCAATAACAGCTAGCCTTTTTACACAAATATTTATGTCCCAGCCCTCTAATTGACACAGTTTCCCCTAGCACTCATTGTTGTAATGACCTAAAGCCAAGATGCTGATTTTCTGCTCCTACGGCCTGGCAACCTTGTAGTAAATGGGACTCCATCCTTTAAACTACTCAGGAGCAAAGTTGGACTTCCACGAAAAAGATTTGTGCAGATCTAAAACCCCTCATCTATTTCACTAAAACGGCTACCCCTTGTGACTGTCAGCCGTATCAGTGTAACCCTGTCCTTCTCTGTATCACCACCTCTACCTTAACTAACTCTAGACCTGCCCTTAGTCACTTCTATGGTATGGGGATTGACATAAATGGAAAAGACCCCCTAGGTATTTTTAAAATATGCATTATTCCCCCATCTTCCCTTCTTCAGTAGCCTCAGTTCTAGATCCCACACCGGGTGCTCCTACATCTAATAAAACTAGGGTGCCTATTGTAAAAATAATAGAGCTAAGAGAGACCTTAGCCATCAAGACAAAATATCAAGATGCAAATGCCTGGTTGGAATGGATTAAATACTCTGTTCACACTTTAAATAAAAGCGATTATTACGCTTGTACGCATGGTAGGCCAGAGGCCCAGATTATCCCCTTTCCACTCAGATGGTCTCCTCGTCAACCAGATATGGACTGTATGGTGGGTCTTTTTCAGAATCCCACTGCTTGGGATAATCCATCATGCTGAGCTCTCTCTGCAATTTCCTGAAATTCAACACCCTGCAGGTCAGCCCCTGAGGGCAATCCAGCTTCCACCTCTAAATGCCAAGTTTACTTCATGCATCTCATGGGAGGGGGAAAATTTGGTGTTCCTTGGAAGCATAAAAGGATGCAAGGAGCTCAAGCCTTTCCAAGAGCTTGCCCATCCATCCATGCTTAGCCATCCCCAAGCAAATGTATGGTGGTACTGTGGAGGACCTTTACTGGACACCTTGCCAAATAATTGGAGGAGTACTTGGGCTCTAATCCAATTGGCTATCCCCTTCACCCTGGCATTTCATCAATCTGAAAAGGTAAAAACAAAACACTGCAGGCCAAAGGAAACTCCTTATGAATCCTTTAATCCTCAGGTTTACATGAATGCTATTAAGGTCCTGTGAGAATGCCAAATAAGTTTAAAGCACAAAATCAAATAGCTGCAGAATTTAAATCCACGTTGTTCCGGTAGGTAAATAAAAAAAAATTAGACTACATAAACTATATCTATTACAATCAGCAATGATTCATAAATTACACTGGGGATGCCATCAAAGAGATAGCTAAGCAATTAGGACCTAGAAATCAGATGGCCTAGAAAAATAGAATAGCTTTAAATATAACATTAGCAAAAAAAGTTGTTTGTGTCATAATTAAAACTCAATGTTGTACCTTTGTTCCTAATAATACTGCCCCGACGGAACTATGACAAAAGCGCTACAAGGATTAACAGCCCTATCTGATAAACTTGCCAAAAAGTCTAAAATAAATAACCCTTTTTCTAAAATGATGAAACATTGGTTCAGTGGATAAAATAAAATTTTAACATCAATTCTCACCTTGTTTGTTCTTGTTATTGGTGTACTTATTCTTGTAGGCTGTTATATTATTCACTGCCTTCAAAGTTTTATACAAAAACTTGTCTCTACCACTCTTACAGAGTTAACTCCTAACTCTCCTCCACCCTATTTGGAAAAATTACTTCTCTTAGAAGGACAAACAAAGCAATTAAGTCAAAACATATTAAAGAAGTTTGAAGAGGAATTATAAAATAAAAAGGGGGAATTGTAAAAAGTAAATAGAGGTTCCTCTTCAAAGACTTTCCTCCCCATTTAATTAGGAATAAATAGTAACTTCTCGGTTAGACGCAAAATGTATTCAAAGACCTGTGCTAACATTCTTAAATATCTGCTAGCCATGATAAAGAAATCAATACACTTTATGTTCTTAGCTCCCACAATTTAGCCTAAATATTTGCCCTAGCATGCTTATACTGGTCCAAGCAAGCATTAGGTCACAGCCTATTCCTCTTCCTTATTTGAAGGTGTTTTTACCTTTCTCAGTATTCCACAAGTTACTTCCTCCTTCCTTTGTTCTCATCTACCTTTACTTCTTTTAAAAAGTTCTAAGTTGCTAGCCAATCAGGACAAATACAGAATGTAAGGTCCCGTTCTAGCCAGTGGAAACTGGACAGAGTGGTAGGGTGGACACGTCAGGTTATAAATAACCCTGTCTCCTTTGTTCCTTGTGCTGTCTTGGCAAAACTGCTAGCGAGTGTATCCTTTCTACAGAAAGTATAAAAATGGCCTTGCTGAGTAAATTAAATTTATGTTCAAGTGCTATTTCTTTACAGCACCGGGGAACAAGCATTTCAAACAATTGTAAGGTTTGTTTTGGGAAAAAACTGTTATTGTGTTTGTTTCAAAGCTGAACTGTAAACTAAGTTTCTCCTGTTAAAGCGAACTAAATATGGCCTGAGAAGGGACTCTGTACTTCTATATATGAGGCCATGTGGACGAACTGCAACCTAGTTTAATAGGTAGACAATATTGAAAACCTAACTTAGGAGTATGTGCCTGTAACAATAGCTGAGTCTTAGCCAGTCCCAGTAGCCATACTTCAACAATTCATACAGTGCTGAGTATTCAAACTGTGTTCAAATAAGGCAAATGCCAACCTGTAACCAATCCAGCCATTCTGTACCTCACTTCTGATTTCTGTATGTCATTTCCCATTTTTGTCTATAAATCTTCCACCATGTTGCTGTGCTGGAGTCTCTAAATCTGCTGTGATTCTGGGGGCTGCCTGATCCATGAATCTCTCATTGCTCAATTAAACTCCTTTAAATTTATTTTGGCTGAAGTTTTTCTGTTATCAGACGGTATCAGAAGTGGGATCCAAAGTAGAGCTTCTAGCAAGCCCTAGGAGCATTGAGTGAACAAACAAGGTACCTGCAGGACCCACTTTTGTCCATTAATCTCTCAGAGCAGCTGGGGATGATGGGTAAGCTCCCTCTCTCTCAGATTTCAGAGCTCCATGGATTTGTGCTTTTTGCCCTCTGAGTTTCTTCAAGCAACTTTCTGATCCAAACTGGGTTTAAGTCACAACAGAATCTGGGCTGGGTCCAGGAATGGATTTGATCCAGGAATTAACTGGCTTGGATTAAGTTAGAGGCTCCATATATCTGACTTGGTCAGAAAGGAACTGGTATTAAGCAGTAATATTGCAGGGGTTATAAAATTTGGCTTTTGAAAATTCATGGGGATTTTTGTGTTCTACCCCTTTGTTTCCTTTTGCTTGCATGCTTAGGAAAAATCATTGGCTAAGTCAATCAAGAGAACCTGAGATTAAAGCCAATATTTTAGGTAAAAATGGGATCCTTAATTTCTGGAAAACTGAGTTCTTTCTAGCTTATACATTATGCCCAGAAGGCAGTGAAGTCTTACAGAAACGGCAAAATCTTACTAAAGGTAACTTACTGTAGAACATTCCAAATGAACAACAATTCATTGAAGTACATTTGAAAATGAGGGCTCTCAGTAAAGTCCCTTTTGGCTAAGAATGGGTTTGGCACTATGGCATGTTAACCGCTATTCCCTTTGGATTAATCTGTCTTACACTTTTTTCTGACAGATATGGGTGACAGGATAAGGCATTTACAGGACCATGGGATATGGGGAGCTTTTTCCTCCCCAAAAGGGGAAACTTGAGACCTGATGGGACTGCTGGAAAAGATCCCTTTGCTACTGACAAGTGGCTGCCTGAACTTTTCAGTGTCACTGCAGTGGGTAGGTCTTTATCTGGCCTCCTTGAGCTATTCACCTTCCCCACCCTGCCACAGGCAATACTTTTCTCTCTCTACTTTTCCTTTCCTATCTTTTCTGTTACACAGGGCAACCATCTTGCCCAGAAACCACGTGTTGAAATTCCTAGTCAGAGGTTGGATTAAAGATGATGGGGGTCTCATCTGAGGGCAAATTTAAGCCTTGACAGTTTGATATTGGGAGTTAAGCAGAGTGGCTAATGTCTACGTTTCATCACACATATTTTGCTCTGGGCAGAACAAAAAAAAGATAATTTTCCTTTTTTATGCGGCTTGGCCCCTAGGTTGATGGTGCAGCAAGCTAGGTCACTAGGGCTGCTTAGGGAAGCCTAGTATGCTGGCAAAAGTGTTAGAATTCCTAGGTAGTCAGATTTCTGGCTTTTCTCCCTCTTTTTCTCTGTGCAAACTGGTTAAATGAGGGGTAAAAAGATACTGCTTATCTCCTCTGTAAAGTTTTGATTAATATGAAAAAATTCTGAGGCTGGTCTTAAGCTGTAGTGAATCTGGTGTGCTTTGTGTGTCTTTCTCTATTGTTCTGTAATAAAGAGTGGTACCTTAGGATAAAATGCGTGCCTAAAACCCCATAAGCCTGATGTTCAAGATGGCCCAGCAAAATGTTCAGTTATGTACTTGGGAGATTGAACTTGTAACCATGTGGCCGTGCTTTCTCTTTTCACAATGGTGGCCTGAGTTCAGGGTTCAATCCCTAGCTTAGGGGATGAGCCTTTCTGGTTGATATTTGGGTGAACTTGGCCATTTTTTGATTCTCTTCCCCTCCACCAGTTGTCTTGAATTTTCCTTTCTCAAAGCACCTGTGAGGTTACTTTTGGTAAAGTTTAAAAGCCAGAAATATCAGCTGTTTGGCCTGGCTAAAGTTAGGTAATAAGAAATTTTAAAAGGATTTTGTTAAAGAGTGCTATGGTTAAAAGTCAGCTTAATTAAAAGTGAATATTGAAGCTCTAAGAGCCTGGGACTCCTTGGGAAAAACAGAAGACACCAGAGACCCTTTCCTGGCCCTGTTCTTTCAAGGACTCCACCCTAAAGCCAGTAATCCAATTAAGAAACTTTAAAACTGGCAAATGAAAAGTCTTACAACTGCTGTAGTAATCTTCTTCTGTCTGTGTAGTTATATATGTGTTGTGTGTGTAATGTTTATATATAAGAGCTCTAATTAACTGGCTTAAATCAAAGTGCTTATATAAAATATTTGGAAGAAAAAAACTGTAATGACTTTTAGTTCATGTAACTTTAGTAATCTTTGGGAAATAAACACAGCTTTAAAGATTATTAATAAAATAAATACATTTAGTCTAAATCATGCAGGTCAGATATTAGGTTTGCTTAATGCTTTAAGGCCATAAACTGCTTTGACTTTTGGAAATTACTCAATTTCTTTTGGAGGCATTAAATTCTAAATAAGGCCTGGGGATATGTGATATTAGCCTTACCCCCTAGCTATGCAAAGACAGTTATAAAGAAAAATGTTTTATATAAGAAATAATATTGTATGGTAAATTCATGTCCTAAAGTAAAATGATGGTTGTTTAAAAGGAGGGATGTTTAGGACAAGTCAGAAAGTCCAAGTATGTCATAGATGTTCTATTTAAGTTGCAAAGGGATTTGTAAAGGAAAATTTATGCACCAAAAGTGAAAGTTGCTAAGAATTACCATTATAACATGTAATTAAGACTACTAAAAAAATAGGTTTACATGCAAGGTGTGTGAGGAGAATGAAATGTGTTTTTGGTAAGAGACTAGAAGAAGGCAGGGAATGTACAATTTTGTCTAGAGAGTTAAAGGACTATTTTAAATTAAATAAGATAAAGCTAAAGGTCTAAATGAGTTTTGGAAGGTTTGTAAAAATGAACCTTGTAAAAGAAATGATATGTGTGAACATATTAACTAAATTTAAAGGAGCACTATGCGGTTTTTCCATAAATTGAACATTGAATAAAAGCAAAACATGGTTTTCTTAAAGCACTAATCTGCTGTTTAACAAAAATTTGTAAAGAGTTATAAAAGGTTCATAAAAATCTTGCCTTATGGTCAAACTGATTAAGCTTGGATAGATTTATCTATGACCTTTTATTAAAAATTGGTGCTGATATTAATAGCAACTAATGCAAGGGTGAAATTTGGCCTTCTCACTTGAACAAGATTTTCATGTAATATTAAAAGATAATAAAAAATATTTGTTTGCCTTTTCTTTTTTTTTTTTGAGATGGAGTCTCGCTCTGTCACCCAGGTTGGAGTGCAGTAGCGTGATCTCGGCTCACTGCAAGCTCTGCCTCCCAGGTTCACGCCATTCTCCTGCCTCAGCCTCCCAAGTAGCTGGGACTACAGGCACCTGACACCATGCCCAGCTAATTTTTTGTATTTTTATTGGAGAAGGGGTTTCACCGTGTTAGCCAGGATGGTCTCGGTCTCCTGACCTTGTGATCTGCCCGCCTCGGCCTCCCAGAGTGCTGGGATTACAGGTTGTTTGCCTTTTAAATACACTAACAAAAAAAGAAAAAGAAGAAAAAGAAGGGAAAGACAAAGACAGATTGTTTGGAAAGCTAAGTCTTCCCTCCATTAATGACTAAAGGTTTTGACTTCTTAAAAAATTTTGAGTCATCATTTTGGCTAAATGAATAACTTGGGGTGACCTGGAATTCTAGTTAATAATATCAAGTGTTTTAAACCTTTAACATATTTAATAGGCTTCCCAAAATCAAATTTTAGCTTCAAAATAGTCTTCTTTGGGTTCTGTTTTTTTGTAGCCTGATGCTAACGTTTTCTTAAAGATCTCAAGGACATGTTTTCTTCTAGCATAATATTCTGTGCAGTACAGAAGGTCTTTTCTTTTCCTTTTAGTAACTGGCCTAACGAATTTTACATTTTACCAAAATAATTCCTATGCTATGATTATTGAGTTAGGTTTGCTTAGGAAAAACTGAGATTTAAAAAAAATTAATTAAGGTTATTAGATTCTTGAATCTTCCTGTCATCTCAGACCTGGTAGAAGATGCCAATCAAAATTAACTGCATTAAAGCCTCATCTTTAATTAACTGCATTAAAGCCTCAAAATTATCTGCGTTCCTGAAACACAGGGTCAGAAATTAAAGTTATTCAACTCCTCAAGGCCCAGGGACAATCATGGAAGAGGGGGGCATGTGAGATTGTAAGGGCCAATTTTGAGAGATAAAATAAGTTATTTCTCTATAAACTAATCATTAATGTCAAAGGCACACTGATGCAAGACCAGCATATGAGCCCCCATGTCAGATTAACAAGGTTTTCATAAAACATTAGATGACTCCTTAATAAAGGTTACAAAGGTTATAAAGACTTATGGAAGTTATAAATTAAAATCAAGATGAAATTTTATAGATTGTTTATAAAATTTTGGAAAACAAATTTAATTGGCTTCATGCTGTTTTATTAGGGCTTATTGTTTGGAAAATTAGTCTCTCTCAAAGAATGAATGTTTTTGCCTTTTTTTTAAAAAAATCCTTGAGTTATCACTTTGGTTAAATGAATGACTTATTTTACAATGACCTGTAATCCTATTTTGTAATATCGAGTGTTTTAAACCTTTGGTAATTGACAAACTTTCCAAAATCAAATTATAAATTTTGTATCTTTCTGACCTAATTAATCCTTTAAGATGTTATTAATAAGTTCCCTAAACTCCAAAAATAACATATTTCATTTATTTGGTATAAAAATTACACAGGAAGCATTGTCAAATATAAAATGGTGTTTGATTTTCTTTGGGTTGTATTTGATGACATATTTGGCTTATTTGGTATAAAAATTATACAGGAAGCATTGTCAAATATAAAATGGTGTTTGATTTTCTTTGGGCTGTATTTGTATAACTATGTTATTCGTATGTATTCTAAAATTATGAGAATTTCTATAATTTTGATGTGACTTAATGTATGTTATCAGTAATAATTATAATTGTTATGTTAAATTATTGTGTGCCACAAGAGGTAACAAATTTCCTTGTCAATTGTGTCTTTGAGTATGGCTGCCCTGAAACTTTTTGCCATCCATGGACAATTACTGTCTTGTTTTGGTCCTCTTTAGAAGATGGTTTTATAGTCCTCTATAAACTCTAACAGGTGCTCTTGAATGCAGGTTTCTGATAACTTTCAAGATTGTGACATCAGAATAGAGGAAAACTTTCAGGACCCATGGAGAGCTGAAATGTTCATGAATATCAAGCAGAATAGGAATTAACTTCATGGACTAAACTAGTAGAAGGCTGAAGTAATCTTTTTAAGTTTTGCTTAAAACATTGGTGATCCTTTGTTTTGCTTTTCAGAGTCAACAACTTGTAAGCTATTTACAAATTTTAACAATTGAATAAAGTATACTCCTATGAACAAAATTTGGAGCATATTTTTTTCTCTCTACCTTATTTCTACAGAATATGGAAACTATTTGTGAGGATTCTTATCTTGTGACAATACAATTAGTAGCATAAGTGCAATAAGAATCTGTTTTCATTTGTAACAGGACACAGTTGGAGAACTGGTTATTTTACCAAGGCTTTTACTGGAATGGTGTGTTTTCCATTTAGGAATCAAACTTATTGAGCCAATAAAACTCCTTGGAAAAACTGTCTGCTTACCTTTGTCTACACAGTTCCTGTACAGGGTTCCTGACCTGTGGTAAGTAAGGAATGTACTTTCTGACAAGTCCAGGACCCCAGGTTTATCTTGGAACCTCAAGAGGAGAGGAATTCACCCAACTCATAGGTATTTAATGGTATAAATACATGACTGGGCTTGGCTTATTCCTTCTATGGAATAAAGTTCCATCAAGACCAATTTAAGAGCCTATGTAGGCCAGGCATGGTGGCTCATGCCCTTAACCCCAGCACTTTGGGAGGGTGAGGTGGGTGGATCACTTGAGGTCAGGAGTTTAACACCAGCCTGGCCAACATGGTGAAACCCTGTCTTTACTAAAAATACAAAAAAAAATTAGCCAGGTGTAATCCCAGCTACTTAGGAAGCTGAGGCAGGAGAATCACTTGAACCCAGGAAATGGAGGCTGTGGTGAGCCAAGATCACACCACTGCACTCCAGCCTGGGTGACAGTGTGAGACTGCATTTCAAAAGAAAAAAAAGTTATGTACAAATTAATTATTCTTGCTGCACTGTATACAAATAATTAGGCCAAATATAATAAAGCAAATTAGTCCTACTATGGTTTCTCTTTAGTAAAAATGGGAAACGGGAGAGAGAAAAATTAGGTTCCAAAAACTGTAGTACACCTGTTGTTAGATTCTAGTCTTGCCTAATGCTTTTCAATTTTTATTATTTTCTACAGTTTGGATCAAATTCTAATTTTTCTTGGCTAGAAGACTTTAAAATAATGTTTTCATTTTTTTACCTTTTTTCCCATTTTTCCTAATTCAGAGTCACTGACAACTAAGCTGTGCTTTCATAAAGCCCTGCAAACTGAAGCTAGACAGCTTAAACTTCAGAAGAAAATAACAGCTGCCTTAATATTTGTAGGCCCCTTCCAGATGGAAGGCCCCTTCCAGATGGAAAATTCTATGGCTCTCTAATTTTCCCTTTACTATTCACTGCTTCTCCCTCAAAGATCCAAATCCTAAGACAAAGAAATGCCTCTCTGTGAGCCAGGTGCAGAGAGGCAGCAGGTGAGTGTACCTTACCTTCAAACAGAGACACCATCCCTTTAATTTGGTTAAGAAATGTTCATATGAGTGTCCCATAAACACATAGAGTTTTGAATATGTGGCATGGTATTTAGATCCTGGCTCAATAAACACAGTTGTCTTGTCTCCATCTGTTTGCTTTCCTCTTCTAACCCTGTAGTGTCTAACACCAGATAGCAAGTCTGACACCATTAAGTGTAAATGTTCAAGCAAGACACCTGGTTAAAGGGTAAGCTACTTAAATATTTGCTCTGAGGACTTGACATGCTTATTGAGCAGAAGGTGAACTAATCCTAGTAATGATTATACAATGGTACTTTGTAGCCAATAAGATAAAATTATGCCCCTTATTAAATTCAGTTATTGGATGAGTCAATTTGTCATTGGTTTAGTTTCACTGAATAGCAGCATTGCCACTTCCCTGACTTTAAGCTAGGTAATTATTTCTTGGAAGGACTGTTCACAACAGAAACGTAATAAAAGACAGGATTGTTTTGTTAAGGAAAAGGAAAGCTCTTTTTGTTGATGAAAGTTCTGACCAATGATACTTCTCTTTTAAAAATACTTAGGTCTTAAGTGACCATGTCTCACTTGCATAGGTTTTAAGTGACCATATCTCACTTGCATTTGGTAAATACAATGTACATTCTATTTATTGGGTTTGAATTTACAGAATCATTCAATATCTTCCAAAACTTCGGTAGAGTGTTGGGTTGCATACTCAATTCCTGCCATCCTCATTCTCAATGAATAGCTGGCCTCCCATTTTATTGACAAATCATGACAAAACTTGATCTCCCTCAGTCCCTGCTCACTGTGTACAAATTTGTCTCCATCCACTTTTGCAAACTCTTTTCTCCGGAGAGGACATGTCTCTCCTTGTATTCAAGGCCCTTGATTCTATCCTTCACACTTCTCTCCAGACCTTGCTCTCTAACTTTCTGCACCCCCATATATTCAGCTGCTCTTTCTTTACTAGCTGCTCTTTACCTGCCTTGGCCTCCAGAGTGCTGGGATTACAGGCTTGAGCTATTACACCTGACTTAATTTATCTATTTTTCTTTTGTCACTCATGCATTTGGTGTCATATCTAAGCCAGCTTTACCTAATCCAAGTTCATGAAAATGTAATGCCTATATTTTATTCTAAGATTTTTACAGTTTTAGTTTGTACATTTAGGTCTATGATCCATTTTGAGTTAATTTTTGGGTATGGCATAAGAAAGGAATTCAGCTTTATTCTTTTGTTCCCCTCTGTCCTGTTCTGTTGCTATTCACTAACTTGGACTTCAGTCTCAAGCCATGATGAACTGCTTAACTGTGTTGAGTGAAAGACACAACGAATAGCTGATTACATGTGATACCAAATGGACAATATGCTAGGTGACCCAAGTCATTTCTATTTAGAGGATTGTAGTTTTGGTTCGTACTTTGTGTCCACATGTGTAAAAAATCATTAAGTTTACTTCACTATTGCCATTCAAATGGATAAGCCAAAGTGATATATTCTCTTCAGAGGTAGAAGACAAATGGGAATGTAGTTATGGTAGCAGTCAGTTAAAATGATAGTACTTTACATCTTTTGTGGAAGACAAGAAGCTTCTTCAAATTCTTCCTAAGAAATACATAAACAATACATAAACTGAATGGGGGGATAATGGGTTATTTTATATTCTCTCTACATTTTCCAGAATTTAAAAATTGTTTGTAGAGAAAAAATGTTGTTTGATGATCAGGAAAAAAATCCAACATTGTTTTACAAACTCATTCCTGGCTTGTTTCACACAGGTCTGAAACCATCGCTTTGTGTGTATGTCAGTTTCGTTGTACATTGGATCTATCAGGAGCCAGAAAAGGGTGTGTTCCCTTTACTACTTGGAGCAGGGTCTGCCTAGGATTGAAACCAGAAACAAAGCCTTTCCTGGAGAAGCTAGCAGGAGCTATCCTGTGCTCTACTTCATTTTACTGGCCTTGCTTTTTAAGCAATATTGGAAAAGCTGCCAGTAGCCCCAAGGTTAGCTCTAGGGCAAAAGCATCTCTTTCCACATATCTTGTGTGAAGCCCTGCTTAAGCCATGGAAATGGAAAAATGGGTCTGGCATAATTTTTTTCCCTTTGTCAGCTCTGCAAACCCAACTGAAAAGTTGAAAGTCAGCAGGAGTCTTCCTCATTGTTATGTGGCACCATAATTCTATTTTCTTCAGCTAAAGGATGTTATAGCTGTAAGGCTAAAAATATATGCACTGGGGTAAGATAAACCTGGGTTAGTAGCCCAACTTTTCCACTAGAAAAGGATATACTTGGACAGGTTATTCCACTTTCTTGAGCCTTAGTTTCCCTCTCTGAAAATGGAATAATTATGCTTATACATAGGGCTTTGTAAAAATTAAATATAGTAAATATTTCTAAAATTGTAGCCATTTTAATTAATAATTAAATGTAATCTCTATTGACCCTGACCAAAAAAAAAAAGAAGAAAATGCTTTCTATGCTTAATAATAGTGATTTAAGAATATGAAGTCTATTTAGCTCAGTCTGTATACTTCATAAATAGAAATCAAGACAAATTGAAGCTTTGACACCATCCCTTGTCCATTCCCAAAATAAATTGCCCATTCTGATCCATGTCATCTCTGAGACTTACTGCATAGTTAGTAATCATTTTTTGTTTATTGTCACTCAGATATAAGTTGAAATATAATACCCAGTTCTTTTTGGCGGATCTCAACAGTCCAAGACATAAAGATATATGTCTAGAGACATTTCTGACTTTATATAAAAGATAAGCCTACAAAAAGGCATTTCAGAATGAAGTGTAAAGAACACTGAGTCTTCAGCAGGTTATTTAACTTCTTGGGCCTGAAATTCTTTATTCCTGAAATGGGAGATTTAGATTAGTTAATCCCTAAAATCTCTGCTTTTTTAAAGCTCTGTGATTTGTGTCTAGATCTTGAGCCTCTTTTGAAAAACATTAATTACAGGCCAAATGCAATAGAAAATGCTTTAGAAAATGGTGTAGCTAAGGAAGAAAGGGGTTTGCAGTTCAATAGACCTTGCTGAAATTCTGAATTCTTTCACATTCTAGTTCTCCTAGTCTCCTCATCTAGAAGCCAGTGTTGATAATAGTAAAGTTGCTGGGTTATTAGGGGATTGGTGATATATAAAAAAGCACGTGGCACTCTTAGATACTCAATTAATGCAAGAATAAAATCTCTATCATTATTGGGACTAGGACTATTCAATATAACTGATAAATCATTAAGAAAATATAAAATGTTAGCAGCAATATGTAACCCAAGGCAACTGCCGAAACCATTATGATTAAAAATATTCATTTATGGAAATTTTAACTGGAGAGTCTCCTAATGGAGTAACATATTAGAGATGTTTAAAAATACACGATAATTCACATCACATATCCTCCAAGAATATAAGTACCTATAATAAATATATGATACAAAATAAACTCACTTTGAAGGTGTTAATCATGTACTGGTATGTACTGGTATTATAAAAGTGCTCAACTGCATAATTAAGTCAAATATTTAAAAACTGTGGATAGTAAGACACGTGAAATTGTATACTGAAAATTGCAGCTTCATTGAATTCTAAGGCAGATTGAAAATTTTTTGAAGATTTATCAACCCGAAGAAAACATGGAACAATTCCTTTTTCTGCTTAAACATAACCTTACTCGTAGCACCAAATAAAGATCATTACATCATTCAGAAAAAGACATGGGTATTAAGCTCAGAGGTTGACAGGCATGTAGAGAGACAGGAGAATTTACAAAACACGAAGAAAGTATATCAGTTTTGGGAAATATCTAAATTCTAGAGGAAGGGTGGCATTAGGTCTGGAATATATGCATGAATGAACTCTTTGCTCTGCAGAGACGGAGGGAGATAACATGTATACATTTGTCTCTTTATGAAGTTTTTTCATTGGTGAAGTGAAAATTGGGTATAGAAAACAGGTAGGCTCATTTTCCAAAATACAATATAGTTGAAAGTGTTTTCAGTTAAGTGCATCCTAGTGATAACAGACTGGGACACTTACATTTTTGTAATTTTTAATGCCTTTTTAAAACGTGTGATTCATAATGTTAAACAATGCAAAATGTAGCTAGTGAAAATCCTTTGTAATCTTACCCTCTAGATTTAGAAACTACTAACAATTTGGTGAAAGATTTCCAGATTGTTTCAATTTATGGCTAATATGAGATGATACAACAAAGAACATCCTAGTGCATGAATCATTTTGCAATTTGTTAAGTATCTCTGCCTATAAGTAAATTTGCTGGGTCAGAGAATATGCAGTAAAAGTTGGCCAATAATATGTCTCTATCAATGATGTGTGAAAGTGCTTAGAATATTTTTCATACCTTACACTGATGTTATCAATCATAAATAAAAATATTCAGGATCTGAGTTTCAACCGTTTTCCAAGATATAATTTAAAATAGAATCTGAAGGAAAATCTGAAGTATTATTAGTATTGTAATGACAGTGTACCTGGTATTTCTTAAACAATATTCATTTATTGCTTTTTCTTCCCCTTCCCTGCCTCCACATTTTTTGTAGCTGTCTGACTTCACCTGAATGTAGGCTTTAGAAGATTCTATTCTGCTGGCCAGTGGAACAGAGTCAGTAGAAAATGACACCCTCAAAACTCTGAGTACTTTGAAGACCTTAGAACTCTGGAAAAATAAGTTGAGTCCCTAGTGCTCTCCCAGCCAGTCTTGAAGTGTTAAAACTAAATGATAACTCAATAAATGTCCTACATGGATCAGATTTTGAAGGACTTAAGAAATTAAAATTCCTCAAACTTAAAAACAACCTGATCTCTTCCCTCTCTCCCAGCACTTTCTCCTCCCTTGTCAGTTTGCAAAGTTTGATGTTGGATGGTAACAACGTGGAGGCCATAGCTGGACCCCTGATACTTCCCCATCTGACACATATGAGCCTGGAGAATAATAAGCTACATCTTATACAATAGCTTCTTCACTCTTCTATAGTCTTTGCAATTTCTCAGTTTCAGTGGTAACTTTCTGACTAAAGTTCCTATCAATCTACCCAAATCCTTGCTATCTTTAAAGATGGAAAGAAACCACCTCAGAATAGTAAGGTTTTGAGACACAAGACACTTGGAGAATCTTTCCCATCTTTACCTGTCAGAAAACTTACTCTCTTCCATCAATGGGGCACAGTTCCTTACCAATTTAACTGCTCTTGAGCTGTCCCAAAACCAGCTCCAAATATTGCCCTTCAGACTACCAGTAAAGCTACAAAAACTTGATTGTAGCAATAATCTGATTCAGAGAGTAACAGCACAAGACTTCCAGGACCTCCAAGACTTGAAACATTTGATTCTGGACAACAACAATGCGAGTTTCTTCGAAGCTGGAGCCCTGCAGAGGTGTTCTCAGCTCTCCAACCTGGCGCTGGAGCAGAATCTGCTGTTGTCCATACCCCTAAGGTGAGTGAGTGTTTTCATTTATTGTAGCTACCATAAAAATTTTCTGAAGATTTGGACAATTCAGCACATTATATAAGCAAGAGACTTAGAGCAAACGTGAATTATCTGATCAAGGCTACACAAGGATTCAGGGATACAAGTTTTAAACAGAGGTGTGGAATCTCCAGCCCTCAAACTCACTACTGCACTAACTTTATCTATCTTGTCTATGGGACAATGTGACCAGAACTGGTTCCTTCCAGTGAGTTCTTGGTCTCGCTGGCTTCAAGAATAAAGCCGCAGACCCTCACAGTGAGCGTTACAGCTCTTAAAGATGGTGCGTCTGGAGTTTGTTCCTTCAGATGTTCAGATGTGTCCGGAGTTTCTTCCTTCTTGTGGGTTCGTGGTCTTGCTGACTTCAAGAGTGAAGCTGCAGACCTTCGCAGTGAGTGTTACAGCTCATAAAAGTAGCGTGGACCCAAAGAGTGAGCAGCAGCAAGATTTACTGCAAGCGAAAGAACAAAGCTTCCACAGCAAGGAAAGAGACGCAACCGGGTTGCTGCTGCTGGCTAAGGTGGCCAGCTTTTATTTCCTTATTTGGTCCCACCCACGTCCTGCTGATTGGTCCATTTTACAAAGTGCTGATTGGTCCATTTTACAGAGTGCTGATTGGTGCACTTACAAACCTTTAGCTAGACACAGAGTGCTAATTGGTGCGTTTTTACAGAGTGCTGATTGGTGCATTTACAAACCTTTAGCTAGACACAGAGTTTTGACTGGTGGGTTTACAATCCTTTAGCTAGACAGAAAAGTTCTCCAAGTCCCCACCAGACCCAGAAGCCCAGCCAGCTTCACCTTTCAACAAGACACCAACAGGTGATATCTCTATTAGCAAACATAATATGAAGACACTGTAAAGATTGTGTCTCAGTTTCATACTGTGTATTGCCTGGATAATCAACAGTCAGTAGGCCTGAGCTTAGCTATTAGCAAAACAAGGACACCAGGAAAAAATAAGGGGGAAAATATAGTAAGATATTTATAATTTAAAATGCATTGAAGTAGTAGTTATTGGGGGAAAATTAAAACTTTACAATGTAATATTGTATTTATTTTGAATTACTTGTTGGGGAGCCTCATATTCTTTTCAGTGCTGTGACCTTTAAAGAGCTTAAGCTGGCTTTGGTTATTTCTCTGTGTGTCTGTCTGTATGAGTGGGTGAGTCCACCAGGTTGGTCTTACCTTCTGGTTTTGGTTATCTCTTCAGTTTTCTCTCTCTCTCTCTGTCTCCCTCTCTCTCTCTCTCTCTCTCTCTCTCTCACACACACACACACACACACAAGCACGCCCTCACACTCAGACAATTTCTGTTCCTGAATATCCCTCTGTTTATACCCAACCTGCTGCACCTGTTCCCCCTAACTACTCATAATTTATAATTAATGCAACATGTGTTTGTATTAGTTGATCCTATTTCTTTAAACTTTATTTTATGTTCCACATTTTAAAGTAGATAAATTTTTAAAATGTAGGATGAATCACTATTATTCTCTTTAAAATGATACTATGTTTGTCTACCAGTGGATTCTTTTTTTCCTTTCAGCACTTTATTGAAAAAATAAAAGGCTTCTTGCCCTGGCTATTAGCATTATCAAATTTCTCATAATTAATATACTAACTTGTGGTTTCTGTAGAATCCTGTGGTATTCTATTTACCTAATTTTATTGTGTTTTATAATATATATATTTTTAAGACAGGGTCTCACTCTGTCACCCAGGCTGGAGTGCAGTGGGGTGATGATGGTTCACTGCAGCCTCAACCTCCTGAGTTAACGCAGCCCTCTCCCCTCAGCCTCCTGAGTAGTTGAGACTACAGGCATACACCATGTCTGGCTAATTAAAATAATTTTTTTTTAGAGATGAGTTCTTGCTACTGCCCAGGCTGGTCTCAAACTCCTGGGAGCAAGTGATCCTCCCACCTCAGCCTCTCAAAGTGCTGGGATTATAGGCATGAGCCCCTAATTATAGTCCCAGCCTATAATAAGTTTTTATCAATAAAAAAGGGAAAATTATCTTTGATATGTAGAGATGTTCTTTTTTCTAGTTGAAAAGGGGATTTTTAAATTATATAGTATGGTAACTGTACTCAGTGTAAAACATCAAAAAGTGATGTTTCCAAGAGAAATCAGTATTTCAAAATATATATTGAAGGTGATTTCAAAGTAAGTGATTTCTTTTACTGCATAAGCATAAATATACAATTGCTTTAATTTAATCAATATCTTTTGAGCACTTACCATGTGCCAGGTATTTTACCAGACACTTGGGATACATCAATGTAATAAAAGAGATAAAACTTCCTATTGTATACAGTTTAAAATCTAGCAGGGGAAGACTGATAACAAACATAATACATAAGTAAAATATATGATATTCAAACTATATTAGCTATTATAGCTTACAACAAAAAAAGGCATGATTATCAGGTTCAAGAGTGTAGTGGGTGAGGTGGCTGGTTGCAATTTTAAATAAGGTAAGAAAGGTAACCCTCATGAAAACATAACTTTTGAGCAAAGACTGGAAGAAGGTGAGGGATTTAGCTGCGAAGCTATTTGGGAGAAAGTTTTCTAGACAGGAGAACAGCCAATTCAAAGGCCCTAAGGCGAAAACACACTTGTGGTGTCTCAAGATTCTACTACTTTTTATTTAAATAACTTCTTGACTATGTTACAAGCCTTATTATTTATTTATTTATTTATTTATTTATTTATTTATTTATTTATTTATTTATTTTGAGATGGAGTCTCGCTCTGTCGCCCAGGCTGGAGTGCAGTGGCTCGATCTCGGCTGGCTGCAAGTTCCGCCTCCTGCGTTCACACCATTCTCCTGCCTCAGCCTCCCGAGTAGCTGGGACTACAGGCGCCTGCCACCACACCTGGCTAATTTTGTTTTTGTATTTTTAGTAGATACAGGGTTTCACCGTGTTAGCCAGGATGGTTTCCATCTCCTGACCTCGTGATCCTCCCGCCTTGGCCTTCCAAAGTGCAGGAATTATAGGCGTAAGCCACCGCGCCTGGCCACAAGCCTTATTTTTTAATTACTGACTGCCCCAACTCCAAGGGAAAAAAAATAGTGTATAAAATAAAAACTCATACAACAGGTTAGACAGTAACTATATAATGTAATAGATGTGACAGCAGGCTATGACAGCCATGGGCAATATTGTGAACTTGGTGGGTTTTTCTACTCAAGTGACTTTTAGAAAGAATTTTGTTGAGTAATCCTGCTAAGTTTTAAGAGTGGAAAAAGTAGCTTAATTATTTACTCTTGTCAGAGTATTTGTGTTTTAACAAGTGACTACAGAAAGCACATTGTTTTACCCAACGGAATGTATAGTGGAATTGCAAGCATGAGCTAGCCATAGGTCTCAAATCTGGCTTCACATTAGAATTATATGGAGAAATATTTTTAAAAAGCATACTTATACCTAGGCCTCACTTCAAACCAATTAAATCAGATGCCCCTGGACTCAGGCATCACTACTTTTGAAAACCTCCCCAGATGAATTTAATGTGCAGCTAGGATCAAGAGCTACTTTGCAAGGACAATGGGGCCAGTAACATGAGGTAGGAGTGGGCTTTTCCTGTGATGCTTAAATTAAGCAACACAACTGTCTGCTCTGTCAAAGTACTTGGACAGCTGTGATAGCAAAGTTCTTTGCTTTGAAATACCCCTATCAACACTGCCTCCACTCCTCAGCTCTTTTTTGTTTTGATTGAGAAGTGGGAAAGACCCAGTAAGTTTTCCCTGTGGTTTTCCTCTCACTAAAAGTTAAAACATGGTTGAGCACAGTAGTTCATGCCTGTAATCCCAGCACTTTGGGAGGCTGAGGCAGGCAGATCACTTCAGTCCAGGAGTTCAAAACTAGCCTGGGCAACATAGTGAGATCCCATCTCTACAAAAGTTTTTAAAAAAATTAGTTGGATGTGGTGGTGCATGCCTGTGGTCCCAGCTACACAGGAGGCTGAGGTAGGAGAATTGCTTGAGCCCTGGAGGTTGAGGCTGCAGTGAGCCATGATTGTGCCTCTGCACTCCAGCCTGGGTGAAAAAGCAAGACCCTGTCTCAAAAAACAAACAAAAAAAAAGTTAAAACTTGAAACATCATAATATCTATTCCTTATATTTTAATTTAAAAATTTTTACTTATGGCCTTTAAACATTACAACTTTTAAAAATTTGCATACTTCTTCTTCATACACAGTATCTATAATATACAATTCAGTTTTCTACAAGTAAACTATTAACACAGGCAACCTGCTTCTATCACCAACGATATTTCGGCATATCTTTTCTTTTGCCTACCATCCTCCATTCTACATTTCATCAAGAAAATAGTAGTATATGGTTTTAGGTACACATATATTCAAAGACCTACTACATTTGCCTCATTACACTAATTGAGATAGAAAATAATACCTAACATTTATTAATTGCTTACTAAAATCAGCAGTGAACTTAGAAACATACAATAATTCTGTGAAGGTAGGTACACTGGTTTACCTAATAATTTACAGACTAGGGTGTTATGGCTTAGAGGTATTCAGAAACTTCATAGTCATATTCATAGTTTAAATTCATAGTCAGAATTTAAACACAGTAGTTTTAACTCCAGAGCCAGGGAAGTTTAGCCACTGCATAGTCCTGCCTCTAGGATTTACTCTACTGTCAATAAAATAACTATACTACTTCAAATGCCCAGGAACTGGACTTCAATTGTTGCTGCTTCATATTTCATCAATTGCAGCTTAGTGAATAAATATAAATTAATTATCTCTTTTTATCCACTCTTCAGATAATTGAAATCTAGAATGGCTTCTTACAACCTAATGCACATAGCATTTTATCTTACACCCAACTGCTATCTACTGCAAAATGGGCTGTGACCCTTTTTACTCTAAAAAGCAATAGCTACCCAAAGAACATGATAGCATTTCTAGAAAACTGTTTATTTTAAAATCAGAGCTACTTTAAAATATAAGTCAGACTTATAAAGACAAATTATATCAAAGCAATAAGTGGCTGTCAGAAAGTCACAAAACCAGGATAAATAGTGATTTCTCTTACAATGTCATTTTGGTGATGACTTCCATACAAACAAGACAGGAAAAAAAAAAGGCAAGCTAAGAACAGGCACAATTTTTGGATACATATCCAAGAACTGGATAATTGTATTTGTTTCCTAGAAAACTTGACTTGCTCATTTTCATTCTCTTAACATTGGTTATGGGACTTCTGTGTACTGAATGGTTCATCTGTAGGGTGGAAAATTAGGATCTTTAAGAAGCAAAATGACTTACCTAAAACCACACAGTGGTAAACAGAATGGCTTAAGTTAGAACACAAGTCTTAATACATTGGGACTTTTTGACACCTGTTTACTCTAGTGGATCTTTCCCAGTTAGGCTTCATTGTCTTCTGCAATGGGAACAAAGTCTTGCTTACTACTACACAATCCAACAATAATCTATTTTTCCTTGGCAGGGGGGAACCTATACATAAGAGATTTTCTGTATACCACTTAGAAATTCACCTTAGATAAGCTGATGTGTGCACAAAATTATATTTTCTTGGACATTAACTTTGAATTGAATTTAATTATCAAACTGTTAGAAGGCATAAAGTGATTTTCCCTGGTAAATTAACCTACTTTATTAGGTAAAATTTATTCTATCTAGGAAGAAGACACTTTAAATGATTGAGTATTTTTACTCAAAAAGCGTAAATACTTATGTGTACATACTACTGTATAGGATATGATTACAAATATAAAATGACAAATTTAGTTTAAAAAAGAAAACCTCGAAGGCAAAATGTAGGCTAAGTGCTAAAAACCCAAAATACTGACCTTTTGGGATAAAATACATGTAATAACAATACTATAACAAGCAAAAGATAATATTGGCATAGAATATGGCTAAACCTATTTGTTTTCTCTTTTTGATATAACACTTCTATAACTGGGACTGCCACAATAAACTACACTGAATACTAAAATTCATGAATATATATCCAGTATGTTCACTTTGTATGAAAATAGCATTCAGGTGGTATTTCAATTTGAAGGGCTTTTTTTCCCTATTAAACTTTCAGATGTTTTGTATTTCATAAAAAGGAAAGCACTTACTACAAAGTTTCTGTGTAGGAAAAAGATTTTCACGTTCACCATTGTGATTGTTTCCTATTTTTAAATCAACAGGCATGAGCATGACATTTTTCAAATTGACATTCACAGTTTTAAAAAACCTGTATTTTCTTCCTGATTATAAAGCAATAGCTGTTCAAGTTTGAAAACTTAATATGCTGAAAAATTAAAAAATCATCCAGAATTGTTCAACCAGAGCCTTTGTCTAGACAAAAGCACATAATTTGTTTTTACATATTTGGGATCATTCAATTTTGTATTCTACTTTTTCCACTTAACATAATGTTTTTTTTCTCTCTCTCTTCTCCTTTTCTGTTTTTTTTCCCAAGTATCACTATGGACCCATGGATTTTAATTTATTTGGTATGTTTTGATCACTTACAGTTGCTAGTCTCTTTTGGTGCCCAAATTGTCACAAATATGGCTAGTGGGAGCCCCTCCAAGGTAGTTCCTCTGTTCATGAGACATGACTCCATTAATCTTTTTTTTTTTTTTTTTTAGTTGTGGTAAAATACACATAAGGTAAAATTTATCATCTTTAAGTGTACATTTCAGTGATGTTAAGTGTGGTCACATTCTTGTGCAACCAACCTACAGAAGTTTTCATCTTACAAAACTACAACTCTATACCTATTACAAAACTCTCCGTATTCCCCTCCTTCTAGCCCCTGACAACCACCATTCTACTTTCTAACTTTAGGTTTCTATGAATGTGACTATTCTAGATATTTCACATAAGTGGACTCATATAGTATTTGTCTTTGTGATTGGCTTCTTTCATGTAGCATAATATAATATCCTCAAGGTTTATGTATGCTGTAGCATGTGTCAAAATTTCCTTCCTTTTTAAGGGTGAATAATACTCCATTGTATGTATAGACCACATTTGGTTTATTTATTTGTCTATAAATGGACACTTGGGTTGCTTATACCTTTGGCTATTGTGAAGAATGCTGCTATGAACATGGAGGTACAAATATCTCTTCAAGACTTTAAGTTCTTTTGGATATATAGCCAGAAGTGGAATTGCTAAACTATATGCTAATTCTATTTTTAGTTTTTTAAAAATAAAAAATTATTATTTTCACAGCAGCTGCACCATTTTACATTCCCACCAACAGTGCAAAAGGCTTCTAATTTCCCCACATCCTTGCCAATACTTTTTATTTCCATTATTTTGACAGTAGTCATCCCAATGGGTGTTCCATTAATCCTTAAAAATTTTATCACATTCTGGCTGAGAAACTCTGCGGGTTTTTTTTCCCTAGACACAGAATCAGTCATTTCTCCAAGAAGCTCTGGTTCTTTCCAGTAAAGATTGGAATTCAGCAGCTAAGATCTGTGTGCTTGGTGTGCTCATGTCATTGGGGTAGCATTGCTACTAGAATATAATATTGTTTCTAGGTCCTTTCAGCAAACAAGAGCTAGAAAATATATTTTTTAAAATTATGAATTCACATTGACATTTTCAATTCATATTTAACATCAGAGAGGGTTTTCTTTATTTTATTTTATATTTTTATCTTTTTCTCTTACAATGAAAGTATAGTTTCCTAATGACATGAATATATTTACTTATTTGTTTTGCCAGATAATATTCATAAAAAATTTCAAAATTTCATTATTAAAATTAGTATTAACAATAAACATACTAAGAGAAATTTCGAGATCTTTTTGTCCTTGGAATCTAAGGCTTAAATATATCCACTAAGGTTGTTCAGTCAGAGTACTTTTTCTTTTCTCTGTACGACTATGTTACAAATATAAACATTGGATTAATTAATTAGATATGCTTGTTCCTGTTTGTTTTCAGTTTTAGGACTTGATTTTGTTTTTGTGAACATGTAAAACATTAACATGGTTGAAAAGTTAAAATCACATGGAACCAACCACTCCCTATATGTAACCATTTTTATTGATTTCTGGTTTATCATTCTCCTTCAGTTGCCCCAAATAAGTAAACGTGTATATGTAATTCTTATTTCTCCTTTTCTTACACAAAAACTAGTGTACTATATATACTGCTCTGTTTCTTGCTTTTTTTCTCTTTAACAATACTTTCTGGAAATCACTTCATGGTAATTCATAGAGACCAGCCTCTTTTTTTATTATTTTATTTTTTTTAAGGCTGCATAGTAGTTCTTTACTAATGTACTGGGTTGCTTCCAATCTTTTGCTGTTATAAATAATATCATAATAAATGCCACACATACTGTTTATATTTGTAAAGTCATATCTTCAGGGTGTATTCCTAGAAGTGAGATTGCTGGTCTAAAGGATAAATATGTATTTTTTTTGTTAGGTTTTGCTAAATTTTTCTCCATACGGGCTGTGCCATTTTAGACTCCCATGAGCAATATATGAGAATATCTGTTTCTTCACAGCTTTGTTCGCAGACCAGATTGCTAAAGCTTAGAATTTTTACCAATCTGTTAAGTGTTAAGTGGCATCTCTGTGTAGCTTTAATTTAATTTCTCTGTTCTGCATAAAGTTGAAGAGTTGGGGGCCCTTTGCTTTGCTTTTTATGTGAACTTCCATTTGTTTTTTGCCCATTTTTCTGTTTTATTTTATAATCTTTTCTTCTCAATTTTAAGGGCTTTTTGTATATTAAGGAGATTCTTTGTTTGATATAAAGTGCAGACATCATGCTTATCCCCAGTTTATCATTTGTCTTTTGACTTTGCCTGTCTTTTGCTATACACAATTTCTTTTAAAATTCTTTTTAATGTTGATGCTTTATCAATTTTTTATAGCTTCTAGATTTTTTTAGTCATAGTTACAAAAGCTTTTTCGTATAACTGTTATTTAAAAAATTATTTTAAAACATCAGGCCAGGTGCGGTGACTCACACCTGTAATCCCAGCACTTTGGGAGGCTGAGGTCGGTGGATTGTTTGAGTCCAGGAGTTCCAGACTAGCCTGGGCCACATGATGAAACCCTGTCTCTACCAAAAATAGAAAAAATTAGCCAGGTGTGGTGGTGTGTGCCTGTGGTCCCAGCTACTCAGGAGGCTGAGGTGGGAGGATCACTTGAGCTGGTGAGCCAGAGGTTGCAGTGAGCCGAGATCTCACCACTGCACTCCAGCCTGGGCCACAGAGACAGACCCTGTATTAAAAAAAAAAAATCAAAACCCATGATTTTTGTAACCACATAATAGTCCATCATCTCAGAATTTAAAATCATTGAGCATTAGTCTTTTTTTTGCTGTTATAAATATCAAATATGTGACAAACATCTTTGTCAATATTTACTTTTTCTATTATTTCCTAGGTCAAAAGGCATGATATTAATTAAATTTGATACATATTACTAAATTGTTTCCTAAACGGTACCAATTTACACTTCTACCAACAGTATTTACTATACCTACAGCAGCAGTGTTTTAAAATTAAAGCCATGTTTTAATTTGCTATATTAAAATATTGCGTTTTTTCATTTGCCTTTTATATTCATGAAGAGCAACACTTTTTCATACTTTTATTTGACATTTTTACTGCTTCTGTAAATTATTGATTAATGGCCTTTGCCACCTTAGAAATGGGGAACTTAGTGTTTTTCTTATCAATTTGTTTGAGTGATCTCATTTCACAAGAAAAAAAACTAAAGATTTTATGAATAGGAGCCAGAAAAATCAGAGGGTTAGAACATAAGATCTATGAGAAAAAGTTAAAGATCCATAGACTAACACTGAGATTTGTGCTTATAATTAATTTTCTCAAATAAATCTTGTTTCCTAGCTTGAGAAGAGACAGAGCTGTACGAAAAGGCAATGCTGCTCAGTTACTGTTGCCCTGACAGTTGTGGAATGATGGGCATGGCCTCCTCTCACATCCTGTTTCCATGCTTTGCAGGCTCCCAGGGACCTTAACCAGGCTGGACCTAAAAAGCAATGTCATCCAGAATATTGCTGAACGGGAGATCAAGGACCTCAAGCAGCTTCATGTTCTAAACCTGAGGAACAATAAGATCTCTGCCTTAGACCTAAAAGCCTTAGAGGGTCTGCCTCACCTCAGGCACCTGTACCTGGATGGAAATCCCTGGAATTGCACCTTCAGTCTCTTAAAAGCGAGAGAAGTCCTGATGGCCAAGGGCACAGATGTAAGGGGAGGACAATGTGCAGCACCAACTGAACAGCATGGGGAGAGCTGGATGTCTTCCAAGGAGATCATGAGGCAATGTAAGCATCACTTTCATCTGACCGAGAAAAGTAAAGAGACCAAAAAGAAATCAAAACCTGAAGACCCCTCCAGCATCAGAATCAACATGGATGATGGATGATTATAACTATGAAACAGATTAAGTATGAACTTTGCTCACAGTTTAGAAAGTGTTTCTTAATGTTCAATCTCTTAAGTAGAAATGTGCTATACACTTAGATATGCAAGACTCTCTTTTGTAGTGGTTCTCATTTTTGTTTGAAGAATGTCTTAAGAATGAGGGTTAAGATGAGATGGGGGAAGAAAACAGAAAAGAACAATGGTAAGAAGATGTAAGATTCCTTCCATTTTAAACGTAATTTGTGTGGCTAGCAAGATGGCTGAATAGGAAGAGCTCCAGTCTGCAGCTCCCAGAGAGATCAATATAGAAGGTGGGTGATTTCTGCATTTCCAACCAAGGTACCTGGCTTATCTCATTGGGACTGGTTAGACACTGGATGTAGCCCACAGAGGACAAGCCAAAGGAGGGTGGGGCATCACCTCACCAAGGAAGTACAAAGGGTTAGGGAAATCCCTCCCCAAGCCAAGGGAAGCCATGAGGGACTGTGCCATGAAAGACAGTGCATTCTGGCCCAGATGTTATGCTCTTCCCACAGTCTTCGCAACCTGCAGACCGGGAGATTCCCTCAGGAATCCCTACACCACCAGGGCCCTGGGGTTCAAGCACAAAACTGGGCAGCTGTTTGGACAGACACTGAGCTAGCTGCAGGAGTTTCTTTTTTTTTTTTTCATACACCAGTGGCTCCTGGAACTCCAGTGAGACAGAACCATTTGCTTCCCTGGAAAGGGGGCTGAAGCCAGGGAGCCAAGTGGTCTAGCTCAGCTGATCCCACCCCTACAAAACCCAGCAAGCTAAGATTCACTGGCTTGAAATTATCACTTGCTGGCACAGCAGTCTGAAATCGACCTGGGACACTGGACCTTGGTTGGGGGAGGGGCGTCCCCCATTACTGAGGCTTGAGAAGGTGGTTTTCACCTCACGGTGTAAACAAAGCTGCCAGGGAAATTCAAAGTGGCAAAGTTGCTGTAGCCAGACTGCCTCTCTAGATTCCTCCTCTCTGGGGAGGGGATCTCTGAAAGAAAGGCAGCAGCCCCAGTCAGGGACTTATAGATAAAACTCACATCTCCCTGGGACAAAGCATGTGGGGGAAGAGGCAGCTATGGGTGCAGCTTCAGCAGACTAAAACGTTCCTGCCTGCCATCTCTGAAGAGAGCAGCAGATCTCCCAGCACAGTGCTCAAGTTCTGCTATGGGACAGACTGTCTCCCCAAGTGGGTCCCTGACCCCATGCTTCCTGACTGGGAGACACCTCCCAGCAGGGAGAGCTCTGGCCGGCATCTGGCGGGTGCCCCTCTGGGATGAAGCTACCAGAGGAAGGAACAGCCAGCAATCTTTGCTGTTCTGCAGTCCCTGCTGGTGATACCCAGGCAAACAGCGTCTGGAGTGGACCTCTAGCAAACTCCAGCAGACCTGCAGCAGAGAAGCCTGACCATTAGAAGGAAAACTAACAAACAAAAAGGAATAGCATCAACATCAACAAAAAGGAGGTACACAAAAACCCTATCAGAATGTCAACAACATCAAAGAACAAAGGTAGATAAATCCATGAAGATGAAGAAAAACCAGTGCAAAAAGCCTGCAAACTCCAAAAACCAGAATGCCTCTTCTCCTCCAAAGGATCCCAACTCCTTGCCAACAAGGAAACAAAACTGGATGGAGAATGAGTTGGATGGATTGACAGAAGTAAGCCTCAGAAGGTGGGTAATAACAAACTCCTCCAAGCTAAAGGAGCATGTTCTAACCGAATGCAAGGAAGCTAAGAACCTTGAAAAAAGGTTAGAGGAATTGCTAATTAGAATAACCAGCTTAGAGAAGAACATAAATGACCTGATGGAGCTGAAAACACAGCACAAGAACTTCATGAAGCATACACAGTATCAATAGCTGAATCGATCAAGTGGAAGAAAGAATATCAGAGATTGAAGATCAACTTAATGAAATGAAGCATGAAGACAACATTAGAGAAAAAAGAATGAAAAGGAATGAACAAAATCTTCAAGAAATATGGGACTATGTGAAAAGACCAAACCTACAATTGATTGATATACATGAAAGTGATGGGGAGAATGGAACCAAGTTGGAAAACACACTTCAGCATATTATCTAGGAGAACTACCCAAACCTAGCAAGACAGGTCAACATTCAAATTCAGGAAACATAAAGAACACCACTAAGATACTCCTTGAGAAGAGCAACCCCAAGACACAGAATCATCAGATTCACCAAGGTTGAAATGAAGGAAAAAATGTTAAGGGCAGCCAGAGATAAAAATAGGGTTACCTACAAAGGGAAGCCCATCAGACTAAGAGTGGATCTCTCTGCAGAAACCCTACAAGTCAGAAAAGGGTGAAGACCAATATTCAACATCGTTAAAGAATTTTCAACCCAGAATTTCATATCCAGCCAAACTAAGCTTCATAAGTGAAGGAGAAATAAAATCCTTTACAGACAAGCAAATCCTGAGGGATTTTGTCACCACTAGGCCTACCTTACAAGAGCTCCTGAAGGAAGCACTAAATATTGAAAGGAACAACCAGTACCAGCCACTGCAAAAACATACCAAATTGTAAAGACCATCAACACTATGAAGAAACTGGATCAAAAATGGGGAAAATAACCAGCTAGCATCATAATGTCATGATCAAATTCACACATAATAATATTATCCTCAAATGGAGATGGGCTAAATGCCCCAATTAAAAGGCACAGACTGGCAAACTGGATAAAGAGTCAAGACCTATCAGTGTGCTGTATTCCGGAGACCCATCTCACATGCAAAGACACACATAGGCTCAAAATAAAGGGATGGAGGAATATTCACCAAGCAAATGGAAACAACAACAACAACAAAAAGCAGAGGTTGCAATGCCAGTCTCTGAGAAAAGAGACTTTTAACCAACAAAGATCAAAAAAGACAAGGGCATTACATAATGGTAAATGGATCAATGCACCCAATACAGGAGCACACAGATTCATAAAGCAAGTTCTTAGAGACCTACAAAGAGACTTAGACTCCTATACAATAATAGTGGGAGACTTTAACACACCACTGTCAATATTAGATAGCTCAACAACACAGAAAATTAACAAGGATATTCAGGACTTGAACTCAGCTCTGGACCAAGTGGACCTAATAGACATCTGCTGAACTCTCCACCCCAAATCAATGCGAAAATATACATTCTCCTCAGCACCACATTGCACTTATTCTAAAATTGACCACATAATTGGAAGTAAAACATTCCTCAGCAAATGCAAATGAACAGAAATCATAACAAACAGTCCCTCAGACTACAGTGCAATCAAATTAGAACTCAGGAGTAAGAAACTCACTCAAAACTGCAGAACTACATGGAAACTGAAAAACTTGGTCCTGAATGACTACTGGTAAATAATGAAATTAAGGCAGAAATAAATAAGTTCTTTGAAACCAATCAGAACAAAGACACAACGTACCAGAATCTCTGGGACACAGATAAAGAAGTGTTTAAAGGAAAATTTATAGCACTAATGCCCACAGGAGAAAGCAGGAAAGATCTAAAATTGACACCCTACAATTAAAAGAACTACAGAAGCAAGAGCAAACAAAATCAAAAGCTAGCAGAAGAGAAGACATAACTAAGATCAGAGCAGAACTGAAGGAGATAGAGACACAAAAAACTCTTCAAAAAATCAATGAATCCAGGGGCTGGTTTTTTGAAAAGATTAACAAACTAGACCGCTAGCCAGACTAATAAAGAAGAAAAGAGAGAAGAATCAAATAGATACGATAAAAAATGATAAAGGGGATATCACCAATGATCCCAAAGAAATACAAACTACCATCAGAAAATACTATAAACACCTCTACACAAATACTCTAGAAAATCTAGAAGAAATTGATACATTTCTGGACACATACACCCTCCCAAGTCTAAACTGGAAGAAGTCAAATCCTTGAATAGATCAATAACAAGTTTGGAAATTGAGGCAGTAGTTAATAGCTTACCAACCAAAAAAGCCCAGGAACAGACAGATTTACAGCCAAATTTTACCAGAGATACAAAGAGGAGCTGATACCATTCCTTCTGAAACTATTCCAAACAACAGAAAAAGCGGGACTCCTCCCTAACTCATTTTATGAGGCCAGCATCATCCTGATACCATAACCTGGCAGAAACACAACAAAAGAAAATTTCAGCCAATATCCCTGATGAACATCGATGCAAAAATTCTCAATAAAATACTGGCAAACCGAATGCAGCAGCACATCAAAAAGCTTATCCACCACAATCAAGTCAGCTTCATCCCTGGGACGCAAGACTGGTTCAACATATGCAAATCAATAAATGTAATCCATCACAAAAACAGAACCAATGACAAAAACCATGTTTATCTCAATAGATGCAGAAAAGGTCTTCGATAAAATTCAACATCCCTTCATGCTAAAAACTCTCAATAAAGTAGGTATTGATGGAATGTATCTCAAAATAATAAGAGCTATTTATGACAAACCACAGTGAATATCATACTGAATGGACAAAAATTGGAAGCATTCCCTTTGAAAACCTGCACAAGACAAGGATGTCCTTTCTCACCACTCCTATTCAACATAGTATTGGAAGTTCTGGCCAGCACAATCAGGCAAGAGAAAGAAATGAAGGGTATTCAAATAGGAAGAGAGGAAGTCAAATTGTCTCTGTTTGCAGATGACATGATTGTGTATTTAGAAAACCCCATCATCTCAGTCCAAAATCTCCTTAAACTGATAAAAGAAATTCAGCAAAGTCTGAGGATATAAAATCAATGTGCAAAAATCACAAGCATCCCTACACACTAATAATAGACAAACAGAGAACCAAATCATGAGCGAACTCCCATTCACAATTGCTACAAAGAGAATAAAATACCTAGGAATACATCTTACAAGGGATGTGATGGACCTCTTCAAGGAGGACCACAAACCACTGCTCAAGGAAATAAGACAGGACACAAACAAATGGAAAAACATTCCATGCTCATGGATAGGAAGAATCAATATCATAAAAATGGCCATACTGCCCAAAGTAATTTACAGATTCAATGCTATCCCCATCAGGCTACCATTCACTTTCTTCACAGAATTAGAAAAAACTACTTTAAATTTCATGTGGAATGAAAAAAGAGCCCGTATAGCCAAGACAATCCTAAGTAAAAAGAACAAAGCTGGAGGCAGCATGCTACCTGACTTCAAACTATACTACAAGGTTCCAGTAACAAAAACAGCATGGTACTGGTACTCAAAACAGTTATACAGAATAATGGAAGAGAACAGAGGCCTCAGAAATACCACCACACATCTACAACCATCTGATCTTTGACAAACCTGACAAAAACAAGCAATGGGGAAAGAATTCCCTATTTAATAAATGGTGTTGGGAAAATTGGCCAGCCATATACAGAAAACTGAAACTGGACCCCTTCCTTACAACTTATACAAAAATTAACTGAAGATGGATTAAAGACTTAAACTTAAGACTTAAAACCATAAAAACCTTAGAAGAAAACCTAGGCACAACCCTTCAGAACACAGGTATAGGCAAAGACTTCATGTCTAAAACATCAAAAGCAATGGAAACAAAAGCCAAAATTGACAAATAGGGTATAATTAAACTAACGAACTTCTGCCCAGCAAAATAAACTTCATCAGAGAACAGGCAATCTACAGAATGGGAGAACATTTTTGCAATCTATCCATTTCACAAAGGGCTAATATCCAGAATCTACAAAGAACTTAAACAAATTTATCAGAAAAAAAGGAAACAGCCCTGTCAAAAAGTGGGCAAAGGATATGAACAGACACTTCTCAAAAGAAGACATTTATGCGGCCAATAATCATATGAAAAAAAAGCTCATCATCACTGGTCATTAGAGAAATGCACATCAAAACCGCCATGAGGTACTATCTCATGCCAGTTAGAATGGTGATCATTAAAAAGGAAACAACAGATGCTGGAGAGGATGTGGAGAAATAGGAACACTTTTACACTGTTGCTGTGAGTGTAAATTAATTCAACCTTTGTGGAAGACAGTGTGGCAATTCCTGAAGGATCTAGAATCAGAAATACCATTTGACCTAGCAATCCCATTACTGGGTATATACCCAAAGGATTATAAATCATTCTACTATAAAGACACATGCACACAAATATTTATTGCAGCACTATTCACAATATCGGAGACTTGGAACCAACCCAAATGCCCATCAATGATAGACTAGATAAAGAAAATGTGGCACATGTACACCATGGGATACTATGCAGCCGTAAAAAAGGATGAGTTCATGTCCTTCACAGGGACATGGGTAAAGCTGGAAACCATCATTTTCAGCAAACTAACACAGGAACAGAAAACCAAACACCACATGTTCTCACTCATAAGTGGGAACTGAACAATGAGAACACATGGACACAGGGAGGGGGACATTACACACTGGGGCCTATCGATGGGTGGGGGGCAAGGGAAGGGATAGTATTAGGAGAAATATCTAATGTAGGTGATGGGTTGATGGGTGCAGTAAATCACCATGGCACATGTATACCTATGTAACCTGCACGTTCTGCACATGTATCCCAGAACTTAAAGTATAATACAAAATAAATATATCAAAATAAATTATGAAAAAAAGAGAAAAAAAGTAATTTGTGCTTGATAGTGAAACCTAGGTGTATTAGTGAGGGTTCTCTAAAGGGACAGGACTAATAGGATATATGTATATATAAAGAGGAGTTTATTAAGGATTATTGACTCACAGGATCACAAGGTAAAGTCCCATGATAGGCTGTCTGCAAGCTGATGAGCAAGGAAGCCAGTCTGAGCCCCAAAACCTCAAAAGTAGGGAAGCCGACAGTGCAGCCTTCAGTCTATGGCCAAAGTCCTGAGAGCCCCTGGCAAACCACTAGTGTAAGTCCAAGAGTCCAAAAGCTGAAGAGCCTGGAGTTCTGACGTTCAAGGGCAGGAAGCGTCCAGCACAGGAGAAAGATGAAGGCTGGAAGACTCAGCAAGTCTGCGCTTTCCACTTTCCTCTGCCTGCTTTATTCTAGCTGTGCTGGCAGCTGACTAGATGGTGCCCACCCAGATTGAAGTTAGGTCTGCCTCTCCCAGTCCACTGACTCAAATGTTAATTTCCTTTGGCAACACCCTCACAGACACACCCAGGAACAATACTTTGCATCCCTCAATCCAATCAAGTTGATGTTTAATATTAACCATCACACTTGGCAAATCATAATGCTAAATAGAATCATCATATGGATAACTTCCTGGAAATAGAGTAGCTGATTTTATCAAATATGAAAAATAATTTTTGTATGTGATGCTGGTGCTATTGGCATACACTACAGGCTTTTGGTTGCAAGCAATAAAAACAGACTAACTGACTTAAGCATGAAAGAAGTTATTGAAAGGACTTGGGATAGCTCACAGAATCAAAGGAAAAGATGAGGATCTTGAAAGGACAGGGATCAAAGCTGCTCCAGGGCCCCAGGCAGAAATACATCATGGAAGAGACCCTCAGTTTCTTCAGGGCTCTCCTCTTGGCAGAATGCAGCGCCTCCGACTATTTTCATTGTTAGCTCCCTCCTCTCAACATTCATATCCTCAGAGGGGAAGATTAATGGGCTTAGTTTGAGTCACGTTTGCCAGGCTAAGGAACAGTAGGTCTTGTTTGACAGTCTTACCCAGACCAAAATGAAACCAGAAAGGGAAATGCAAACAGGCACCTTCAATCCTACAGATACCCCTACAATGGCCTTCCTGAAGAGTTGTGCTCCGAGTTCTATGCAGTTCTCACTGAGGTGACCACAATCCCCATCCTGCCTTTCTTTTGATTAAATATATGCTTTTGAGAGTTGCCTGTTTGGGAATGGCCAAAGAATAATTTTGTTCTGTGAATCCACTTGTGAATACAGTCTATTTGCAAATAAATCTGAAACTCTATCCAAATTAGCTCCTATAAGATTTATCTGTTGCAGTACTTTACATTTTTCTGTTAAAATATCCCCAGTGAGAAAGTAAATAATAGAGAATGAATGGATAAGCAAAGATGTCCACCAGAAGCCAAACCTTTTTTCAGAATGTCATGTTTTAACTTACCATTTTATTCACATTTTGCAGTACTTACTTTATATTTTCCTCTCTCAAAATCTTTATAAAATTGACCCTCTTGGTGGGGCGTGGTGGCTCAGGCCGGTAATCCCAGCATTTTGGGAGGCCGAGGCGGGCGAATCACGAGGTCAGGAGATCGAGACCACAGTGAAACCCCATCTCTACTAAAAATACAAAAAATTAGCTGGGTGTGGTGGCTGGTACCTGTAGTCATAGCTACTTAGGAGGCTGAGGCAGGAGAATGGTGTGAACCCAGGAGGCGGAGCTTGCAGTGAGCCGAGATCGCCCCACTGCACTCCAGCCTGGGCAATAGAGCGAGACTCTGTCTCAAAAAACAAAACAAAACAAAAAACAAACAAAAAAATTGACCCTCTTGCAGAAAAGCCCTATTTGTATTGGGGTTTTTCTTTCTCCTTGGCACACTGACATGTATCCCAAGTATATAAAGCACAGAAGTATAGAAATAAGGGAACTCTTACATGATTTTTCTTACTATTGTGTGGGACTTCAACTCTTATGTGCTAGACCTACAGTTCTTTCTAAGGAAGACTAATAATGCATGATGAGTAATAATTTATACCCACTGACATTGCCTGGATATTTATCATTAGAATTCCCGAGCTGTGAGGGCCTTGAGAAGGAATCTAGCCTTTTACAGATAAAGGAGCTCAGGCTCATAGGGGTGAAGTAACTGTCATATTCACACCTACAGGAAGAGGCAGAGCTAGAACTTGATTGTACCTGAGTTTTCTTACTTCCATCCAGCACTCTTCTGACTACAGCATTTGCAGCAATATAAGATTCACTCAGTACATTCTACTCACAAACAGTATCTAGAATAGTCATATGTCCAATAAAGTATCTGCAGTCATCTGTTCTGGTGGCCATAACTAAATGCCATAGACTGGGTGCTTAAACAACAAATTAATTTTGTCACAGTTCTGGAGGTTGGAATTCCAAGATTAAGGTGCTGTCAGGGTTGGTTTCCGGTGAGGCCTCCCCTCCCAGTCTCTTATCTGTGCACGCAGGGAAAAAGAGAGAGCATGCAGTGCATTTTGGTTTCTCTTCTTCTTATAAGGACACCCAGATTAGGGCCTCACCCTTATAACATTATTTAGCTTTATTTACCCTCCTAAAGGCCCCATCTCCATGTACATTCACACTGGGGGTTAGGGCTTCAACATATGGATTTTGGAGGGACCCAATTTACTTAATAATATAATTTATCTATATCTATCTATCCATCCATCCATTCATCTGTTCTTCATTGAGTTGATTAATTACTTCACTAGAAAAGAGAACAAAAGATGGGGAGAAGGATAAAGTAGAAAAGGATAAGCAAATTTTTTAAAGCCTAATTATCACCCACTTATACTTAAGTAGAATATTTTTTTCTAATTAGATAATTACCTATCAATCTTGGAAAGCAGCTGGAGACCAGGATTGGGATGCAGGGCTGGTGACATTTAGAAGGAAGAATGAAATACAGAATATGAGATGTTGTACCAAGGCCCTGGATGGTAGGTGTAGGTTGAGTGTCACTTGAGTTGGAGAAGGGAGAGTCATTTTGGGCATTGAGAAAAGGGACTACTTGGGGGTAGATAGGTAAAGGGAAGATAAACTTCCAAAGACTAGTTTTTCTTGATACCTTTCAGTGTTTGTTTCTTCATCTGTAAATTAAGGATTATAGTAATATCTCCTAGAGTTAATTTTCTTGAATAAAACTTATATAAAAAAGGACATTTTTTTCTATCTGCTCCCCATAATTTGCAAATCTGCTCCTCTCTCCCAATGGAGACATTGCTCAATATCCCAGATGCCAATCATATGGTCACATGTAAGTGGTACCCCCCAGGGTTATGCAGTGGACAGCATGTGTCTATGCTGAAGTCCCTTGTCTTTTCTCCATGGACCCCAAACATTGCAAATTACAGTTGCTTAGCCCTGCCAAGAGTCAGAACTGAGCCATTGCCTGGTCATATACCTCCTATGGGCTGCTCCCTTGGTAATACAAATTCTGGTTAGAGCCTTTAAGTTGGCCCCTGTAAGGGCTTGCTTGTTCTTAGATGGATTAATCTCCCATTCAGCCTTGGGTTAGTGGGTGACAATGTCATCCCAGTTTGGAACCTAAGAAGCAAGAGCTGAAATAAATGAAAAGGAGCTAGTGCTTTTTTCTGGCATACATACAGTCTCACTGGAAATTACTGCTTTGATCAGAGCTGATATTTTCACTAAACAGCTTTCTTAGTATCTACTCAGAATTGCTCAAAATATCAAGTTTAAAGGGTTTCTTTGGACACTTTAAAAATTTCTGCTATGCAGCATATACGACAGCAGGAAATGCTGTAGACTTATCTACCTCTGATGTGGGCTTTCTGCTAATGCCTTTGCAAAGGGGCTCAAAAGTCTTCTCCAAATCTGCTTGGTTGCACCTGTGAGTCTCCTCCCTTACTTCAGAGAGAGGATGTTCATGGATGTCTTAGCTGTAGAAGGGTAAGTTAACTTCAAGGCTGATGGTCAGAAAACTCTCCTTCCTTACACGGAATTGTTTTTTCTCTATAGGTGTTTCCTATCTCCCCTCAGCAAATAATGCTCTGGTGTTGAGGCTACAGCTGAAGAGTCTGGTCTTATTATAAAATAGCCATTAACGTAGGGGAAAGGAGGTTAGAAGGGTCTGATGGCATTTAGCTCTTTCATGATTTTTATCTGTAGGTTATATGAGTTTCACCAACACTAAGAAACTGAATAATAACAATTTTTTTTTGAGACGGAGTCTTGCACTGTTGTCCAAGCTGGAGTGCAGTGGTGCGATCTCGTCTCACTGCAATCTCCGCCTCCTGGATTCAAGTGATTCTCTAGACTCAGCCTCCCAGTTAGCTAGTATTACAGGTGCTCACCACCATGCCCAGCTAATTTTTTGTATTTTTAGTAGAGATGGGGTTTCACCACATTGGCCAGGCTGGTCTCAAACTCTTGACCTAGTGATTTGCCTTCCTCCACCTCCCAAAGTGCTGGGATTACAGAATAATAATTTTCTAAAGCTCTCTTCATCATGCATCATGGCTCAGTTATGTCACCCATCATTTAGTTAATTTGATATTTTGCTCTTAGCTAAATTTGCTTAGCCAAATATGCACACAAATGAAATAACTGCCGTCTTTACAAGTCACCCAGAAACTCAATGTTTTTGCATCACATACCATAATTGATGGGGAATTAAATTGGATTCTTGCTGGCATATCAGTCTGAAGCCCCAGGGAATGGTAAAAGTGCCCATGTTTGTGAGAATAAACCTTGTGGAACTGGTGTCATTCCAGTTAATAAAAATGGATTATCTTAATGGTTTGATTCAGGGGTCTTACTAGCATAGTCTCAGCCCTAGGATTGCCTTCATTCTAGGTGGTATCTGTTTTTGACAGGACAGAGGTGGTGTAATGGATTTCCCCATCTTTTTCTAAAACAAGATATTGTTTTAACATTCTCTATGGGTTTCCACAAAACACGGTTTTTAAGAATCCAATATAAAGGATTTTATTTAATACCTATTTTCAACATTCAAAACAGTCACTGACAATTGCCTTCAGAGTGGGAGTGTTCTTAACCCAATCAATCTCCATATTAGAAAAACACTTAGTATATAGTCCTTTTGCTCAATCTATTCTCTTCCACACCACACAACCCCACAACTGCCACAACCTCCCTCACCCTGGATTAAATCACTGTTATTCAGGCCTATAGTACTAATTTTTTACTTAGAATTTATCAACCACTTTTTTTTCCCCTCAATTCCCAATGTCACTGAAAATTGTCTGAATAGGCAATAAATTTCTGTGTATTGTATGAAAAGTAGCTCATGATTCACCTGGAAATGTAATGAAATTCCAAACTGGGATCCCTGTGTTGGTTATGTGTTTTTTGTTTTATTTTTTGTTTGTTCGTTCATTTTTAAGAGACAGGATCTTGCTCTGTCACCCAGGCTAGAGTGCAGTGGCATGATCTTGGCTCACTGCAGCCTTGAACTCCTGGGTGTCAGGCCTCTGAGCCCAAGCTAAGCCATCATATCCCCTGTGACCTGCACGTATACATCCAGATGGCCTGAAGCAAGTGAAGATCCACAAAAGAAGTGAAAATAGCCTTAACTGATGACATTCCACCATTGCTATTTGTTTCTGCCCCACCCTAACTGATCAATGTACTTTGTAATCTCCCCCACCCTTAAGAAGGTTCTCTGTGGCTGGGCGTGGTGGCTCACGCCTGTAATCCCAGCACTTTGGGAGGCCGAGGCAGGCAGATCATGAGGTCAGGAGATCAGGACCATCCTGGCTAACACGGTGAAACCCCATCTCTACTAAAAATGCGAAAAATTAGCCAGGCGTGGTGGCGGGCGCCTGTAGTCCCAGCTACTCGGGAGGCTGAGGCAGGAGAATGGCATGAACCTGGGAGGTGGAGCTTGCAGTGAGCCAAGATCGTGCCACTGCACTCCAGCCTGGGCGACAGAGCGAGACTCCATCTCAAAAAAAAAAAAAAAAAAGAAGGTTCTTTGTAATTCTCCCAACCCTTGAGAATGTACTTTGCGAGATCCACCCCCTGCCTGCAAAACATTGCTCCTAACTCCACTGCCTATCCCAAAACCTGTAAGAACTAATGATAATCCCACCACCCTTTGCTGACTCTCTTTTTGGACTCAGCCCACATGCACCCAGGTGAAATAAATAGCCTTGTTGCTCACACAAAGCCTGTTTGGTGGTCTCTTCACATGGATGTGTGAGACACTGGGTTTAAACTATTCTCCTGATTCAGTCTCCCAAGTAGCTGGGATTACAAACTCTCAGCACCTTACCCAGCCAATTTATTTTTATTTTTATTTTTTTGTAGAAATAGGAGCTTGCTAGGTTGCCTAGGCTGGTCCTGAACTTTTGGCCTTAAGAGATCCTCCCACCTCAGTCTCACAAAGTGCTGGGATTACAGGTGTGAGCCACCGTGCTCAGCCTATTTTCAATTGTAATTAATCCCAACCGATAATTTTACAAAGATTACTTCCTCCAAATGTTGTATTGACTCACACTCAAACTCTTAACAGCAGCGTTGTGGGTCCCTTTTTATGGGCAGTCATCAGCATCTATGCGCAGTCTTTACTTTTTGCCAATCCGATGGGTGAAAATAATGGTATCTCATTAATTCATTTTTTACTTTCCTGACAACTAGTAAGATAAAAAGGTTTTTATATATTTGTTAGCCTTTGCATCTCCTCTTCTGTTAATTACCTATTCATATACTTTGACCATTAAGCAATCGAGCTCTTCATCTTTTCTAAAAATAAATTTGTAAGGTTTATTTTTATGGTAGGGATATTATCTTTATTTTGTCAGATATATTACTAGCATTTTATCCCAAAATATTTTCCAAAATGGCTTGCATTATGATGTCTTTCATCTTACAGAAAAAGTTATCCTGGCTGGGCGAGGTGGCTCACACCTGTAATCCCAGCACTTTGGGAGGCCAAAGCGTGTGGATCACCTGAGGTCAGGAGTTCAAGACCAGCCTGCCCAACATTGTGAAACCCCCTCTCTACTAAAAATACAAAAAATTAGTCGGGTGTGGTAGCGAGTGTCTCACATGTCCGTGTGAAGAGATCACCAAACAGGCTTTCTGTGAGCAACATGGCTGTTTATTTCACCTGAGTGCAGGCGGGCTGAGTCCGAAAAAGGAGTCAGCAAAGGGTGGTGGGATTATCATTGGTTCTTATAGGTTTTGGGATAGGCAGTGGAGTTAAGAGCAATGTTTTGGGGGCAGGCGGTGGATCTCACAAAGTACATTCTCAAGGGTGGGGAGAATTACAAAGAAACTTCTTAAGGGTCGGAGAGATTATAAAGAACATTGATCAGTTAGGGTAGGGCAGAAACAAATCACAATGGTGGAATGTCATCAGTTAAGGATATTTTCACTTCTGTGGATCTTCAGTTGCTTCAGGCCATCTGGATGTATACGCGCAGGTCACTGGGGATATGATGGCTTAGCTTGGGCTCAGAGGCCTGACATTCTTGTCTTCTTATATTAATAAGAAAAATAAAACAAAATAGTGGTAAAGTGTTGGGGTGGTGAAAATTTTTGGGGGTGGTATGGAGAGATAATGGGCGATGTTTCTCTGGGCTGCTTCGAGCGGGATTGGGGTGGCGTGGGAACCTACAGTGGAAGAGAGTTAACTGAAGAAGGATTTTGGGGTAAGGGGTGACATTGTGGGGCTGTTAGGAGCATTTGTAGTATAGAATTATTGGTGATGGCCTGGATGCGGTTTTGTATGAATTGAGAAACTAAATGAAAGACACAAGGTCTGAATAAGAGAAGGAGAAAAACAAGTATTAAAGGACTAAGAACTGGGGGGACTCAGGACATCTAATTAGAGAGTCCAAGGGCGTCCAAGGGGGGTTAGCGTAATTACTTGCTTGGTTGGCAAGTTTTTGGGGTCTATCCTTGAGTTTTTTAATGTTGTCATATACCAGGCCAGATTGATTTATGTAAAACCAACACCCTTCATTTAAAAATATACAGAGTCCCCCCCCCCTTTTTTTTAAGCAGTGAGTAAGTCAGGGCCTTGGTGATTTTGGAGGAAAGAGAAATGCAAAGCCAGCAACTGTTTGTTAAAGAAGGATTAGAAATGGCTAGGAGAGAGTGAGATTGATAGTGTGGTGGAGATAGCTGGGGAGAGGTAGAGGATGGCATAAGAACGGGAATGAGAATAAGAGTAAATATAAAAGTAAAGAACAGGACTTCATCAGGGTGCAAGTACTAGAGGGTACCTTGCCACTGAAGATCTTCTATCCACATAAAGAGAGACTTAAGGGTGGCAGTTGAGGTAAAACCAGGCGCCATTAAATACCAAGAGCCTGAGAAACTGCTTGGGTGATTTGACTAATAAAGGCTGGTCTGTTATTAGACTGTATAGAGGTGGGAAGGCCAAACTGAGGAATTATATCTGACAGAAGGGAAGAAATGACTGCAGTGGCCTTCTCAGACCCTGTGGGAAAGGCCTCTTCCCATCCAGTGAAAGTGTCTACCCAGACCAAGAGTTATTTTAGTTTTCTGACTCGGGGCATGTGAGTAAAGTCAATTTGCCAGTGCTGGGCAGGGGCAAATCCCCGAGCTTGACCCGAGCTTGATGTGTAGGGAAGGGAGGGGGCCTGAACAATCCCTGAGGGGTAGTAGAATAGCAGATGGAACACTGAGAGGTGATTTCTTTGAGGATAGATTTCCAGGATGGAAAGGAAATGAGAGGTTCTAAGAGACAGGCTAGCGGCTTGTAACCTACATGGAAGAGGTTATGAAATGATGACAGAATAGAATGGATCTGTGAGGTTGGAAGGAGATATTTCCCTTGGTTAAGAACCATTTGCCTTGTGTGGAAAGAGATTGATAGGTGGAAGTTTCAGCAGGGGAGTAGGTGGGAGTGACCGATGAGAAGGAGAAAAACTGGCCATGAGGGACAGAAGTTGGAATTCTAGCTGCTTCATTAGCTACCTTATCAGCATAAGCATTGCCCTGAGCGATGGGTTCTGATGCCTTTTGGTGGCCCTTGCAGTATATGACTCCAGCTTCTTTTGCAAGTAAAGCAGCCTTGAGAAGAGCTTTTATTAAAGAGGCATTAATGATGGAGGACCCTTGCGTAGTAAGGAAACCTCTTTCAGCCCATATAACAGCATGGTGGTGCAGGATATGGGGTCAGTATAAATATTGACGTGTAGTCCCTTTGCAAGAGTGAGGGCCCGAGTTAAGGCAATGAGTTCGGCTTGCTGAGAGGTAGTGGAGGCGGGCAGAGCAGTATCCTCAATGATAGATGTGGAAGATACTATAGCATAGCCTGCCTTTGCTGATTAGTGGCAATTAGGCCTGGTGGAACTGCCATCAATATACCAAGTGTGATCAGGGTGAGGAACAGAAAAGAAGGAAATATGGGGAAACGGAGTGAATGCCAACTGTATCAGAGAGATACAGTCATGGGGGTCAGGTGTGGTATCAGGAATAATGTGGGAGGCCAGATTGAAGTCCGGGCCAGGAACAGTGGTAACTGTGGGAGACTCAGCAAAGAGTGAATACAGCTGAAGGAGCTGGGGAACAGAAAATATATGCATCAGGTGTGAGGAAGAAAATAGATTTTGGAAGTTATGAGAGCTGTAGACAGTGAGTTGAGCATAGTTTGTGATTTTGAGGGCCTCTAAAAGTATTAGGGCAGTGGCAGCTGCTGCATGGAGACATGATAGCCAGCCTAAAACAATAAGGTCAAGTTGTTTGGACAAAAAGGCTACAGGGCGTGGTCCCAGTCCTTGTGTAAGAATTCCGACTGCACAGCCCTGCACTTCGGCTGTGTGTAATGAAAAGGGTTAGGATGAGTCAGGGAGAGCTAGTGTGGGGGCAGTCTCTAAAGCTGTCTTCAAGGAATGGAAAGAGGAGTGGGGAAAGGATTTAGGATCTATGGGGTCAGCTAGGTTTCCTTTTGTGAGTTTATATAATGGTTTTGTTAGGATGGCAAAACCAGGTATCCAAAGGCGAAAGTATCCAACCATGCCTAGGAAGGAAAGGAGTTGTTGTTTTGTAGAAGGTGTTGGGGTTTGAGAGATCAGTCGGACACAATCTGCAGGGAGAGCCCGTGTGTTTTCATGAAGAATTATGCCAAGGTAGGTAACAGATGGAGAAGAAATTTGAGCTTTGGAGGGGGATACTGGATATCCTTTGGAGAATAAATGTTGAAGGAGCAGGAGGGTGTCTTGTTGAGAAGATTCAAAGGAGGGGCTACAAAGTAGAAGGTCATCAAATATATTGAATAAGGTGAGAAGCAGAGAGGTGGAAAGAAAGTAAATCATGGGAAAGAGTTTGGATGAAGTAATGAGGGCTGTCCCTGAAGCCTTGCGGCAGCACAGCCCAGGTAAGCTGCTGGGACTGATGGGTGTCAGGGTCAGTCCAGGTAAAAGCAAAGAGAGGCTGGGATGAGAGGTGCAGGGGAATAGTGAAAAAAGCATCTTTAAGATCAAGAACGGAAGAGTGAGTTGTGGAAGAAGGCATTGAGGACAAAAGAGTGTAAGGGTTGGGCACTACAAGGTGGATACACAAAACAATTTGGTTGATAAGGCGCAGATCCTGAACTAACCTGTAAGACTTGTCTGGTTTTTGGACAGGTAAAATGGGGGAATTGTAAGGAGAGTTTATAGGTTTTAGAAGCCCATGCTGTAACAGGCAAGTGATAACAGGCTTTAATCCTTTTAAAGTGTGCTGTGGGATGGGATATTGGCGTTGAGCGGGGTAAGGGTGATTGGGTTTTAATGAGATGGTAAGGGGTGCATGATCGGTCGCCAAGGAGGGAGTAGAGGTGTCCTATACTTGTGGATTTAAGGTGGGGAGATACAAGGAGAGGATGTGAAGGAGGCTTTGAAATGGGGGAAAAGGTGGCAATGAGGTATGGCTGTAGCCCAGGAATAGTGAGAGGAGCAGATAATTTAGTTAAAATGTCTCAACCTAATAAGGGAGTTGGGCAGATGGGGATAACTAAAAAGGAGTGTATAAAAGAATATTGTCCAAGTTGGCACCAGAGTTGGGGAGTTTTAAGAGGTTTAGAAGCCTGGCCGTCAATACTCACAACAGTTATGGAGGCAAGGGAAACAGGCCCTTGAAAATAAGGTAATGTGGAGTGAGTAGCCTCCGTATTGATTAAGAAGGGGATGGACTTACCCTTCACTGTGAGAGTTACCCGAAGCTCAGCGTCCGTGATGGTCCAAGGGGCTTCCGAGGCGATCAGGCAGTGTCAGTCTTCAGCTGCTAAGCCGAGGAGATCTGGGAAGGAGTCGATCAGAGCCTTGGGCCAGTTGGACAGTCCAATTTCTAGTGGGGTCCTGCACAGATGGGACATGGCTTAGGAGGAATCCCGGGCTGTGGGCATTCCATGGCCCAGTGGCCAGATTTCCGGCACTTGAAGTAAGATCCTGGAGGGGGATGTTCTGGAGGAACCCCTGGCAGCTGCGGTTCAGGTGTTTGGAGTTCTTGTGGCTGGAGATGTGGCTGGGGCTTGTCTCACAGTGGAGGCAAGGAACTGTAACTCAGAAATACATTGCTACTTTACTGCCTCTACTCTGTTACTGTACACCTGGAAGGCGAGGTTAATTAAGTCCTGTTGTGGGGTTTGAGGGCCAGAATCTAATTTTTGGAGCTTTTTCTAACGTTGGGAGCAGATTGGGTAATAAAATGCATATTGAGACTAAGACGGCCTTCTGACCTTTCAGGGTCTAGGGCTGTAAAGCGTCTCAGGGTTGCTGCCAAACGGGCCATGAACTGGGCTGGGTTTTTATATTTGATGAAAAAGAGCCTAAATGCTAACTGATTTGGGAGAGGTTGGATAAAGAAAAAGGAGCATTAACCTAGACTATGCCTTTAGCTCTAGCCACCTTTTTAAGAGGAAATTGCTGGGCAGGTGGGGGAGGGCTAGTTATGGAACGAAACTGTAAGCCGGACCAGGTGTGAGGAGGGGAGGTGATAAAAGGATTATAGGGTCGGGGAGCAGAGGCTGAGGAAGAATTGGGACCTGGCTCGGCCTGGTGAGGAGCAGCCTGGGGAGAAGGGGAGAGGTCAGATGAGTCCGTAGAAAAGAAGGATTCAAAGGACTCAGAGCTTGGAGTGGAGACTGAAGGAACAGACAGGAGAGAAAGAAGAAAGATTTGGGATGAGTCTCACTGGGAGCAGAGACTAGGGAGGGACCAATGTGTAAAATAATGCCTGGATGTCAGGCACTTCCGACCATTTGCCCATTTTTCAACAAAAATTATCTAGATCTTGCAGGATAGACAAATCCAAAGTGTCATTCTCTGGCCACTTGGAACTATTGTCGAGTTTGTATTGGGGTCAAGCAGTATTGCAGAAGAAAATAAGACACTTAGATTTTAGGTCAGGTGAGAGTTGAAGAGGTTTTAAGTTCTTGAGAACACAGACTAAGGGAGAAGAAGGAGGAATGGAGGGTGGAAGGTTGCCCATAGTGAAGGAGGCAAGTTTAAAGAGAAGGGTAGAGACATGGAGAAGGGGGGTGGAGAGCAGCCCTGGGCTGCAACGTGGGTGAGCAGCCAAAGCAGGTGTCCCCACAATTGACTTGTCACCAAGGGAACGTGGGTGAATGATCAAGGTAGGCATCCCCGTGGAGATCAGACACCAATGGAACATGAGTGAATAATCAGAGAGGCATCCCGCAATGATTAAACACCATGGGAAGGCTGCCTTCCCGAGTCCGTGACTGGCGCCAGAGTTTTGGGTCCACGGATAAAATGTGTCTCCTTTGTCTCTACCAGAAAATGAAAGGAATTGAAATTAAGAGAAGGGAGAGATTGAAGGGTGGCGCCAAGATTGAAAGGAGAAAGAGGTTGAGGGATAGTGAGAGAGGTTGGAGAAGAGAGTAAAAAGAGGCTGCTTACCTGATTTAAAATCGGTGAGATGTTCCTTGGGCTGGTTGGTCTGAGGACCTGAGGTCGTAGGTGGATCTCTTCACGGAGTGAGGGTGAGGACAGGGGACTGGTCTCCAAAAGGAGTCCCACTGACCCGGGTCTTTGGCACCAAATGTTTCATGTGTCCGTGTGAAGAGATCACCAAACAGGCTTTCTGTGAGCAACATGGCTGTTTATTTCAACTGGGTGCTGGTGGGCTGAGTCTGAAAAAGGAGTCAGCAAAGGGTGGTGGGATTATCATTGGTTCTTATAGGTTTTGGGATAGGTGGTGGAGTTAAGAGCAATGTTTTGGGGGCAGGGGTGGATCTCACAAAGTACATTCTCAAGGGTGGGGAGAATTACAAAGAAACTTCTTAAGGGTGGGGGAGATTATAAAGAACATTGATCAGTTAGGGTGAGACAGAAACAAATCACAATGGTGGAATGTCATCAGTTAAGCTATTTTCACTTCTGTGGATCTTCAGTTGCTTCAGGCCATCTGGATGTATACGTGCAGGTCACTGGGGATATGATGGCTTAGCTTGGGCTCAGAGGCCTGACAGCGTGTGCCTGTAATCCCAGCTACTTGGGAGGCTGAGGCAGGAGAATCGCTTGAACCTGGGTGGTGGAGGTTGCAGTGAGCTGAGATCGCACCACTGCACTCCAGCCTGGGCAACAAGAGTGAAACTCCATCTCAAAGAAAAAAAAAAAGTTATCCTGTAGCAGGATGAGCCACAGACAAAACTCTTCAGACACCGAGTTAAAGAAGGGGGTGTTTATTCAGCTGGTAGCATTGGCAAGACTTCTGTCTCAACAGCCGAGCTCCCAGAGTGAGCAATTACTGTCCCTTATAAGGGCTCACAACTCTAAGGGGGTCCACGTGAGAGGGTTGTGATCGATTGAGCAAGCAGCGGGTATGTGACTGGGGGCTGCATGCACCAGTAATCAGATCGGAACAGAATAGGACAGGGATTTTCACAATGCTTTTCCATACAATGTCTGGAATCTATAGATAACATAACCAGTTAGGGGTCGATCTTTAACTACCAGGCCCAGGGCGCAGTGCTGGGCTGTCTGCCTATGGATTTCATTTCTGCCTTTTAGTTTTTACTTCTTCTTTCTTTGGAGGCAAAAATTGGGCATAAGACAATATGAGGGGTGGTCTCCTCCCTTAATCCTTCAGATAATCAAATTAGTCAATCTTTTATACATAGAGCACATACTATAAATACATAGATACATACAGTAAAATATATTTGTGTGTTTATATACATTTAGTGTGTATTTATGTGTGTTTATGTAGATCTGAGTTTCTAACCTATCTCATTTGCCTTTTCTCTGAATAACTTCTTTTAACATTCTTTGTAAGGCAAACCTACTAGAAACAAACACCCTCAATTTTTGTCTGTCTGAGAAAGTTTTCTTTTTCCTTCACTTTTGAAGTATAATTTTGCAGGGTACAGAGTTCTAGGTTGGTGTAATATATATATATATATACACTAAATGTATATACATGCACATATGTATCAATGTGTATATATAAGAATATATGTATATATGTGACCAATGTTTCAGTATTCTATGTCACTTAGAAGTTATTGATGCAACTTATATCAATTAGTCAATTAACTAACCTGATTTCATATTATTCCAGGTCTTAAAGTTAATTAAAGATTTTGGAAATTCTATTTAAGATGATACATTACAGATCATAATTAATGTTGATATAAAAAGTTTCTCAGAATTTATATAGTTCTAAACTGTTGAGTTTATAATTTTATATTTTTCCTAATTTAAAACATTATATGGGAGTAAATGTATCTGATCAGTAACTCAGTGCAAAAATTCAGGAAGTTTATACTGACTAGTTTCTTTATGTGAAGATAAATCCAGGGAATGAACTTAGAAATTTTTTTAAAAACCCAAACTATCAAGCCAGTGTGATTTACCTAAGGATTTTGGATTGTTAAATAAAAATGCTTGTGACCTAGTAGTTTTTGTCAAAAAGGGATTTCACCCCCTAAAAAACTAGCACATATTAATAGTTTCTTATTATCTGGGAGTTCTAGGGATATTAGATGTATATAATACTTTTTAGCCTCTAAAGCTAATAAGAATAAAGTTCCTTTTACTGAAGAGACTTTATAATCTAAATCAGGTGTTGGCAAACTTTTTATGGGTACAACCCAATATATATATATTTTAGACTTTGTAGGCCTTGAGTTCTCTGTTGTTACTACTCAACTCTGCCATAAACTGCTGTATTCATAAATGAATGGATGTGGCTGTGTTCCAATAAAACTTTACAAAAACAAGTACCTTACAACCACATTACCAATAGTAGATATACAGCAGTTCCTTTTACCCAGCACATCATGTCTGGCTATCAACAAAAAATTGCAAGGCATGCTAACATGCAAAAAATACAGTTTGAAAAAGAGCATGAATCAGAATCAGACCGAGATATAGCACAGATGTTGAAATTATCAGACCAGGAATTTAAAACAACTGTGATTAATATCCTAAGGACTCTAATGGAGAAAGTAGACAGCATGCAAAAATAGATAGGCAATGTAAGCAGAGATGGAAATTCTAAGAAAGAGTCAAAAAGAAATGTTAGAGATCAAAATTACTGTAACAGAAATGAAGAATACCTTTGATGGGCTCATTAGTAGACTGCGCACAGTTGAGGAAAAATATCTCTGAGCTTGAGGGTATACCACTAGAAATTCCAAAACAGAAAAGCAAAGACAGAAAAGATTAAGGAGAAAAATAAACAGGATATCTAAGAACTGTTGGGACAACTAAAAATTGTGTAACTATGTTAAGTGGAGATTCCAGAAAAAGAAGAAAGAGAAAAAGAAAAAAAAACATTTGAAGCAGTAACAACTGAGAATTTCCCCCAAAGTAACATCAGATACCAAACTTCAGGGTCAGGAAGCTCATAGAATACCAAGCAGGATAAATGCCCCCAAAACTACACCTAGGCATATCATATTCAAACTTCAAAAAGTCAAAGATAAGGAAAAAGTCTTGAAAGAAGTCGGAGAGAAAAAACACCTATGAAGGAGGAAATATAAGAATTACATCCAGCTTCTCAGAAACTATGCAAACAAGAAAAGAGTAAAGTGAAATATATTAGTGTTGAAAGAAAAAAACCCCACCAATCTAGAACTCTGTAGCCTGCAAAATTATACTTCAAAAGTGAAGGAAAAAGAAAACTTTCTCAGACAAAAATTGAGGGTGTTTGTTGCCCGCAGATTTGCTTTATAAGAAATGTTAAAAAGAAGTTCTTCAGAGAGAAGGCAAATGAGATAGGTTAGAAGCTCAGATCTAAATAAAGCAACAAAGAGCAATAAAGAATAAATAAGTGAAGGTAAAATAAATGAATTTATTTTTCTAATTCTTAATTGATCTAACAGATAACAGTGTGTTCAGAATGGTAACTTCAACAATGTATTCAATTATGTGAACATATATATTTGATTATGTATGCATAGATATTATATATGTATGCATATGTATAAGTGAAATGAATGATAGGAATTATAAAAGGAAATTGGAAGAAGGAATTAGGATTATTTTGTTATTATAAGGTACTTGTACTACCCATGAAGAAGTATAGTGTTATTTGAAAGTGGACTTGGATTATTTATAAATATATATTGCAAAGTCTAGGGCAACCACTAAAAACAGTAAAAAAAAAAAAAAGAGGTATGACTGGTATGCTAAGAGAGTATATGGAATCATATAAAAGGCTCAATTTAAACCATAAGAGACAGAAAAAAAGTGGAAGACACAAATAGAAACAAAAAACAAGTACAGCAAATAGAAAAAAGTAACAAATACAGTAAATATTAATTCAGCTATATCAATAATCACTTTAAACATTAATGGTCTAAATATACTAATTAAAAATCAGATAATTTGTTCCTCATTTGGGTCAGTTAAAAAAAAAACAGAGATTGTCAAAGTGAATCTAAAAACAAGATCCAACGATATGCTTTCCATAAGACCCCCACTTTAAATGTAAATATACATAAATTAAAAGTAAAAAGATGGATAAAGATATACCAGGCTAACACTAACCAAAAGAAAGCAAGAGTAGCTATATTAATTTCAGACAGAGGAGACTTCTGAGCAAGGAAACTTGTCAGTAATAAAGAGAAGCACTGTATAATGATAAGGTCAATTCTTCAAGAAGATAGAAAAATCCTTATTATGTATGTTATGTACCTAACAAAGGAATTGTTTTGTTGTTTCAGGAGAGGAGAGGGAAGAACAAAGGGTACTTTGTCTTGCAACTTGGACACCAGCTTAGCCACAGTAGAATAGAGCATTAGGCAGACTCATGAGGCTCCATTCCAGGCCCTAGCTCCCAGATGACATTTCTAGATATACCCTGGGCCAGAGGGAACCTGCTTCCTAGAAGGAAAGGATACAGTGCTGGCAGAATTTATTACCTGTTGACTAAAGAGACCTTGGGGCCTGAGTCAATTAAATTTATGTCCTTTATAAACTACCCAGTCTCAGGCATGTCTTTATTAGCAGTGTGAGAACAGACTAAGAGAGTAAATTGGCACTGAGAGTGGGATGCTGCTGTAAAGATACCCAAAAATGTGAAACCGACTTTGGAACTGGGTAACAGACAGAGGATGGAACAGTTTGGAGGGCTCAGAAGAGGACAGGAAGATGTGGGAAAATTTGGAACTTCCTAGAGGCTTGTTGAATGGCTTTGACCCAAATGCTGACAGTGACATGGATAATAAAGTCCAGGCTGAGGTGGTCTCAAATGGAGATGAGGAGTTTGTTGGGAGCTGGACATGTGGCATTTTGCCCCTGCCCTAGAGATCTGTGGAACTATGAACTTGGGAAACACGATTTAGGGTATCTGGTAGAAGAAATTTCTAAGTGGCAAAGTGTTCAAGAGGAAGCTGAGCCTGAAAGTTCGAAACGTTTGCAGCCCGACAATGCAGTAGAAAAGAAAAACCCATTTTCTGGGGAGAAATTCAAGCTGGCTGCAGAAATTTGCATAAGTAACGAGAAGCCAAATGCTAATGACCCAGACAAGGTGTCGGGGTGGAAGTGTCTCCAGGGCATGTCAGAGAACTTCACAGCAGCCCCTCCCATCACAGGCCAGGAGGCTTAGGAGGGAAAAATAATTTCCTAGTCCTGGTCCAGGTCCAGGGCCCCTCTGCTGTGTGCAACCTCTGGACTTGGTGCTCCATGTCCCAGCCATTCCAGCCCATGGCTAAAAGGGGCCAAGGTAAGAGGCTGTTACTTCAGAGGGTACAAGCCCCAAGCCTTGGGAGCTTCCACGTGGTGTTGGTACTGCAGTGTGCAGAAAACAAGAATTGAGGTTTGGGGACCTCAGCCTAGATTTTAGAGGATGTATGGAAATGCCTGAAAGTCCAGGCAGAGGTGTGCTGCAGGGGCAGGGCCCTTATGTAGAACCTTTGCTAGGGCAGTGTGAAAGGGAAATGTGGGGTTGGAGCCCCCATACAGAGTTCCCACTGGGCACTGCCTGGTGGATATGTGAGAAGAGGGCCATTGTCCTCCAGACCACAGAATGGTAGATCCACTGACAGCTTGCACCAGGCATCTGGAAAAGCTGCAGATACTCAACACCAGTCCATGAAAGCAGCCAGGAGCAGGCCTGTACCCTGCAAAGCCACAGAGGCGGAGCTGCCCAAGGCCATGGGAGCCAACCTCTTGCATCAGTATGGCCTGGATATGAAACATGGAGTCAAAGGTGATCATTTTGGAACTTTAAGGTTTAACAACTGTTCTATTAGATTTCGGTCTTGCATAGGGCCTGTAGCCCCTTTGTTTTGGCCAATTTCTCCCATTTGGAATGGGTGTAGGTACCCATTGCCTGTACCCCTACTGTATCTAGAAGTAATTAACTTGTTTTTGATCTTACAGGCTCATAGGCGGAAGGGGCCTTGTCTCAGATGAGACTTGGGGCTGTGGACTTTTGAGTTAATGCTGAAATGAGTTAAGACTTTGGGAGACTATTGGGAAGGCATGATTGGTTTTCAAATGTGAGGACATGAGACTTGAGAGGGGCTGGGGTGGAATGATATGGTTTGGCTGTGTACCCACCCAAATCTCACCTTATACTGTAATAATCCTCATGTGTCAAGAGCAGGGCTAGGTAAAAATAATTAGATTATGGGAATGATTTCCCCCATAATGTTCTTTTGGTAGTGATTAAGTCTCACAACATCTGTGTTTATAAATGGGAGTTCCCCAGCGCAAGCTCTCTTGCCTGCCACCATTTAAGACGTGACTTTGCTCCTCATTCACCTTGTGCCATGATTATGAGGCTTCCCCAGCCATGTGGAACTGTGAGTCAACTAAACCACTTTCCTTTATAAATTACCTGGTCTCAGGTATGTCTTTATTAGCAGTGTGAGAACAGACTTATACAACTACCAAAGGCACAAAAAATGTGAAAAAAAATTGGTAAGTTTGATTCTATTAAAATTTAAACTTCTGTTCTGCAAAAGATACTGCCAAGAGAATGAGAAGACCAGCCACAGACTGGGAGAAAATACTTGCAAAAGACATATCTGATAAAGGACTATTATCCAAAATGTACAAAGAACTCTTAAAACTCAACAATGAGAAAACAAACGACCTCATTTTAAAATGGGGTTTTAACAGAAATGAACAGACACCTCAACAAAGAAGATGGACAGATGGCAAATAAGCATACAGAAAGATACCAACATCATAAATCATTAGGGAATTGCAAATTCAAACAATGAAATACTGCTATACGCCTATTAGAACAGCCAAAATTCAAAACACTACAACTGAAATCCAAAACACTAACAACACAAAATGCTGGCAAGGATGTGGAACAATATGAACTCATTTGTTGCTGGTGGAAATGCAAAATAGTATAGACACTTTGGAAGACATTTTGGCAGTTTCTTGCAAAACTGAACACACTCTCGCTGTATGATTCAGCAATTGTGGTCCTTGGTATTTTTTTTCTTTTTTTTTCAGAGATGGGGTCTCACTCTGTCACCGAGGCAGGAATCCAGTGGTGTGATCTCAGCTCACTGCAACCTCAACCTCCCGGGCTCAAGCAATCCTCCCACCTCAGCCTCCCAAGTAGCTGGGACCACAGGCACATGCCACCATGCCCAGCTAATTTTTTGTATTTTTGGTAGAGTCAGGTTTTCACCATGTTGCCCAGGCTGGTCTCAAATTCCTGAGCTCAAGCGCTCAGTCTGCTTTGGCCTCCCAAAGTGCTGGGATTATAGGAGTCAGCCATGCCTGGCCTTCTCCTTGGTACTTATCCAAATAAGTTGAAAACCTATATCTACACAAAACCTGCACATTGATATTTATAGCAGTTTTATTTATAATTGCTAAAACTTGGAAGCCACCAAGTTGTCCTTCAGTAGGTGAACAGATAAATTCTGTGGTACATCAGCAATGGAATGTGGTACATCCAGCAATGGGATATTATTCAGCACTAAAAAGAAATGAGGTATGAAATCATGAAAAGACATGGACAAGCTTAAATGCATATTAGTAAGTGACATAAGGCAATAAGAAAAGGCTACATACTGTGTGATTCCAACTGTGTAACATTCTGGAAAAGGTAAAACTATGGAGACAGTAAAAGTAGCAGTGGTCGTAAGGATTAAGATAATGTAAAGCATTTTGTAAACTGAAAAGTAAATGAAATACCATCCCCATAGTGTTTTGGGCTTAAGAGTCTGAGGCTGGATAACTCTTTCTGTATTTTCCTGTGCTTCATAAAATTTTGGGGTGGAAGGTTAAATGGTATTTAAGAAATCCAAACATTATATTCAGAACCCCTAAGTTCCTAAATGTGCCACATTTACTGCTTTTTTGAAATGACAAAAGAAGAAAATCTTTAGAAGAGAGAGAACTCCATAAACTTAAGATTCCAAGTATGTCCAGAGCAAGACATCCAGTGTGGCTTTCCTGTTATTCCAGAATTGTGGCTGAGAACAAAAGGCACTGAGTCCACCTCCTTCTAAGAACAGTGAAGCAGCCTGAAGTTGACAGCAACCACCAGATGCAAAGCAGGTTCACTGTGCACTGGTTACCGGTTCAGCCCACTGCATTTTGGACTGCACTTTTCCTATATCCAGTGTCCAGTGACGCAGAACACTCACACACAAGTTACACGAAGTGGGTTTATTACTTACAGACAGGCAGCAAGGGACAACAGAAGCATGTCATAATGACCATATCTCCCAAGGCCGAGGAAAACTTCTTAGGGAGGATGGCGTCTCATCTGCTCGTGCACTGCTTGCACCGCAACTAAGGGACCCCAGAAAGCAGTCTGCTCTCAGTTTTTACTACAGGGCAATGGGATGTGCTGGGCTAGTACTAGTTGAAGGACATCCTATTTCTAGAAGAGACTGGAACAGAGCCTGGGCTGTTCTGGTCAGTTCCTCCTTGTCTATAGTATATTGCATTCCAACACATTCTACAGTTATTCTCGAGAACTACAAGTGAGAAAAGGGGAAGAACTGTGTTGGTTCAAGGCCCCCAGAGAACTGTTCTGTATGAGACCCTCCATCCCTAGCCTACTGACAGCTGACAGAGAAGAAAAGTGGGTACCGCCGCCCCACCACTCTTTAGGAGGCTGAACATCCTGGGAGCTAGGGGACCTGCTACTAGGAGGAAACTCTAGGAGGAAAGCAAGCAAATGTCTGGGGAGAGACGCCAGGATCTGCATGTGAGTGTGTCAGATGGACATGTGGCTAGAATCCTTTTGCTTAAGTTTGCAATTCAAAGAAATACAGGGGCCGGACGCAGTGGCTCACGCCTGTAATCCCAGCACTTTGGGAGGCCAAGGCGGGCGGATCACCTGAGGTCAGGAGTTCAAGACCAACATGGTGAAACCCCGCCTCTACTAAAAACACACAAAAAATTAGCCGGGCGTAGTGGCGGGCACCTGTAGTCCCAGCTATTCGGGAGGCTGAGGCAGGAGAACGGCGTGAACCCGGGAGGCGGAGCCTGCAGTGAGCTGAGATCGCACCACTGCCCTCCAGCCTGGGCGACTGAGCGAGACTCCGTTTCAAAAAAAAAGGAAAAAAGAAATACAGAAGATAGAGCCTGTTTGTGCCTGCACACCTGAGAGCAGGCCACGGGAACATGAGATTGATGTCTTTAATCTTGTCAGAACGGATAGACATTGGGGCAAAGAAATGAGTACGGTAGAGAAATGTGGCAACATAGTCGGCATGGGGGGTGGGGTGGGGTCTGCAGAATACGTGGCCAAATCTCAATGGGACACTGGTGTCTAGGGAGCTTCCTTAACAAGCATCATGTAGCTGCATAAACTACAGCAATGGGCAGTGAGGAAGAAGACTGTAGGCTTCCCTGATCATGGCCTTTCGCCTCTCCTTCTTTGTCCATCATCAGAGGAGCTACCGCAGAGGAGACCTGGAGAGAAAGAAGTGTGTGAAGGGTGTGCCTGGTGCCCAGCCCTCAGTTCTTCAGGCTGCACTGCCAAAGGGAGGAAAATTGCACTGCGAAAGGGAGATGGACATGAGATTCAACTTTTAAAGTAAAGTTAAATGAGTCTTAGAAACCAAAATGAGACTAGTTGAAAAAGTGACAATGTTAGAAAAATTAAGTCACATAGCCAAGACGTGAACAGATGTTTCCCAGGGGGAAAAAGAGGCTTTAGCGAACAAAGAATAGGTAGGTATTACAAAAACGCAACTGTTTACACACACACACGTGTGTAAATATGTGTGTATACGTGTGTATGTGTACAGTTGCATTTTTGTAATACCTCCCTAATCTTTATATATATACTTATATAAATATAAATGCAAATAATATAAATATTATTGTTGCACACACACATATATATGATGATAGAGGATGTAGCATGTAGGATAAACCTTGAGAAATGGGTTGGAATGTCGGCAATACCAAGTCGGGAATCAGGAATTCAGGAGAAGAGCTTGAACAAAAAGGGCAAAGACAGTACAGACTTACCGCGGGGAAGTACAAAACCATTCTAGAGGACCACGTCGAAGTCCACATGGACAGAAACATTAGGGTGTTAAAGGGGATGATAAGGCTTGGATGGGCAGTTTGCTTCAAATAGTGGCGGTCATTGAAGTCAGGCACAATTTCTATTTTTTTTCCCCACTGTAAACCTAACCCACGGCGGTTGGTCAAAGTCTTGCCGAATAAAAAAAAAAAAAAAAAAAAAGAATTAAGTGACTGGACTGCCAAGCTGTAGAGCCTCTATTAAGCAATGTACAGCCAGGAAAGGATACCTTAGATGAGAATGACATGGGTAGAGGGGTGTTTCAGGAACATGGCTAAAGAGCCTCGCTCCCAGCCTCAGCCGGGAGGCTGAATAAAGGACAGTAGCAGGATCACTCCAGCCTTTGAGGACACTTTTGGAAACCCTGGTGGATTCCCAGCATCAACACTTACTGAGGGCTGCTTTCCATCCCTAGGTTCTTTCCGGCATTTGTAATTTCCAATCCACTTAGGACACTTCTACTCCTCAGAAACCGTTTCTGTCGGGGCCGTGAGAGGAGACAGTATAAGACTTCCTGGACCCAAGGGACGCCGGGTCCCCTGGAAGCGCCCATCGCATTGAAGACCACGTGTGCCTTGCTGGGGTCCCATTCAGACAAGTCCCGGGTCGTTCGCTCATCGCCCTCCACGCGACCAGGGGGCGCCCGCGGTATCGGCCCGGCTAGTTCGCAGGCGTGCGCCTTCCCTCACTGCGCCGGAACGGGCCACGTTCTCGGACCCAGAAGCCGCGTCAGAATTCCACGCTGGCCAATCGGAACTGTCCATGTACTACTGGGGGCGGGGCTGCCAAGGGAGGAGGAAGATGGCGGCGGGGGCGAGGTGAGGTGTTGGCAGTGGAAAGGGGTTCGGGCTCGGGGGGCGGGGGGACGCGGAGCGATGGCCCGCGCCGGCCGCAGGGGCGGATAAAAAGCCGTCGCGCTGCGGGAGTGGGCGGGAGGGAGAGGGGGTGTCTGAGGGCCACAAGAGTATGACGGGGCTGTACGAGCTGGTGTGGCGGGTGCTGCACGCGCTGCTCTGTCTGCACCGCACGCTCACCTCCTGGCTCCGCGTTCGGTTCGGCACCTGGAACTGGATCTGGCGGCGCTGCTGCCGCGCCGCCTCTGCCGCGGTCCTAGCGCCGCTCGGCTTCACGCTCCGCAAGCCCCCGGCAGTCGGCAGGAACCGCCGTCACCACCGGCACCCGCGCGGGGGGTCGTGCCTGGCAGCCGCACACCACCGGATGCGCTGGCGCGCGGACGGTCGTTCCTTGGAGAAGCTGCCTGTGCATATGGGCCTGGTGATCACCGAGGTGGAGCAGGAACCCAGCTTCTCGGACATCGCGAGCCTCGTGGTGTGGTGTATGGCCGTGGGCATCTCCTACATTAGCGTCTACGACCACCAAGGTGAGGCCCGGTGCGGTGGTGGGGGGTGGCCGAGGCGTCTTGGACCGCTAGACCGCTGGTCTGGCGGGTGGTGCCCATGGCACGAGTTGCCGCGGCCTCTCTGCAAATCACAGCGCTAGCGCTTTCGAGGAAGGGAGATCAGCTTTATTGAACACCTACTAATTCTCTGGATTTGACTCAGTAGCTTTTTAACATTTTAAAAATATCCCTTGGCCGGGCGCGGTGGCTCATGCCTGTAATCCCAGCACTTTGGGAGGCCGAGGCGGACGGATCACCTGAGGTCGGGAGTTCGAGACCAGCCTGACTAACATGGAGAAACCCCGTTTCTACTAAAAATACAAGTTTAGTCGGGCGTGGTGGCATATGCCTGTAATCCCAGCTACTAGGGAGGCTGAGGCAGGAGAATCGCTGGAACCCGGGAGGCGGAGGTTGTGGTGAGCCGAGATCGCGCCACTGCACTCCAGCCTGGGCAACAAGAGCGAAACTCTGTCTCAAATAAGTAAATAAATAAATAAAAATAAATAAAAAATCTCTTATTCGTTATAATACTGCAGTAATGTAGATGGTATTTGTATACCCTTGCCAAGGTTTAAAAACATTAACTGATTTGCCCAAGGCCACAAGATCGTAATGGGGCCACAAAGATCGGAATGAGGATATTGGAATTTTAGCCATTCTGTGCTTTTTCACAATCTTTGCCTTTGGTTACACCACACTGTTTCTTTAAGAGAGCTTCCAGGCGCTGTTCTTAAGTCGCAGTGAGGCTATAGAGGACTTAGGCATGGGCTGTGTGATAGGTACTGCAAATGGGAGCGGTGGGGGTCAGGTGGTATTTGAACTGGGTTTATGAAAAATATGTGAGAGATTGGATAGGCAGAAAAGAAAATGGTCCCTTTCTGTCTTGGAAGGCTGGGATGGTTTGTGATCCTTCATCATCAGTGCCCAACACAGTACTTGATAGAATTGTCCTCTCATATGTTTTGATTGAGGGAATGAATTTCACCATAGGGAGTTTTTGTAAGTACAAAAATTCAGTACTTATTGGGTAGCTACAAACCTAAAGCACTGTGCTAGGCATATTCCTTGGAATCTTGCATTTAATTCCATGGACTCTCAGGCTTGTTAGGAGGTAGGCACACACTCACATATTTGACATGGTTAATAACAAGAAGTGTTGAGAGTAAAATTACTATTGTGAGAAGAGAGGAGAGAAATTGTGAATGAAGGAACTTGAGAAGTTCATGCAGTGGAGGTGGGATTTAAGCAGGACCTTGAAGAATAGGTAGGAGATAAGTTGAGGAATACTCAGGTTTGGGATGTCAGGTTTGATTTTCAATCAGATCTTGAAAGCATTGGAATTTCTTTAAAGATGTGAGAAGAATGATTTAAGAGTATTGGTATGAAGGGAAGAAAACAAAAGTTTTATTCTCTGTTCAATAAATTACCTGTGTGCTCTAGAGAGGCATACATCTTTGTCAGATTGGTAAATTTAAGTGCAGGGTTTTGTCAGAAAGGGAAGGCATAGGCCAGACAGTAACGCTTACAGGCTGATCTCTGATTGCCCTATCATCTTTCCTGCAGCCCGCAAGGAACATGATGACGCAGTAGCCTGTCATCACCAAATGATGATTTGCCCTATAGGGTAAAGTTTGATATATTCAGAGACTGACATTTATGGAACTTGCTAAAGAACTCAGCAGACCAATAGAAATCATGAGACTGTTAGGAGATGACACAATCCATGCCTAAACCAATGCAACCAGTTTTGCTTGGGGAAAAAAATAGGTGAAGCAAAAGTGGACATAAAGGCATTAAGCAACGTGGTGGATTGATGTACAGCCAGGTGATTCTTTTAAAGCAAGTATCTTTATCTTCCAGTAGGGAAGGAAAATGTATAGCTAAATTGTTTGACTTGATGACCGTGCCTACTAGTACAGACTATAATGTTGCCACATTTCCTTGTTTCTGCAAGTCCTGTGTTTAAATTGCTGATGTGATTCAGAAGTATCCTGTGTCATAGTTGCTAAAAGAAAAATGATTAGTAATTAAAAGGAAGAAGTAAGCTAAGCCAAGTTTTGGCTGAGAACTGAAAGGCACCTTAAGGAGCATTTTCAGTGAAAGGGCTTACAGGATTTTGTATCTTAACTGTAAAATCAGTTTTTTTGTTTGTTTTTTTTAAAAGAATAAGAAATATTCCTGAAATAAGAGACCTTCAATTAGTCCATTCTTGGTTTTGATTCGTTCATACATTCATTTACAGGTGACAGTTGGGGTCTGTTAAGTACCAGATACTCTTCCAGACATGGGAATGCAGCAGTGTACTCATGGAACTTAGATTTCAGTGGGAGTCTGACAAATAATATACGTGGGTAAATATGTGGTAATGTAAGTGCAATGAGGAAAAGTAAAGCAGAGAAGGGAAGATAGGAATGTTGAAAGTCAGTGGTGTAGGAAGGGGTACAGTTTTAAATAGGGAGGCCAAGGAGAGGCTCTTTGAATATAGACTTGAAAATATAGGCCATGTGGATATGTAAGAATCACTCAGAGGGAGTATAGACATGTAAGCTTTATTTAGTGTTTCTTTTTCAGTGGTTTTTTTTTTTTTTTTTTTTTGAGACGGAGTCTCGCTCTGTCACCCAGGCTGGAGTGCAGTGGTGTAATCTAGGCTCACTGCAACCTCCGTCTCCCAGATTCAAGTTCTCCTGTCTCAGCCTCCCCAAGTAGCTGGGACTACAGGTGATGCGCGCCACCCCGCCCTGCTAATTTTTGTATTTTCAGTAGAGACAGGGTTTTGCCATATTGGCCAGGCTGGTCTCAAACTCCTGACCTCAGGTGATCTGCCTGCCTCAGCCTCCCAAAGTGCTGGGATTACAGGTGTGAGCCACTGCGCCCGGCCATATTCAGTGTTTCTAAATAAATGTCTATTTAAGCTTATTTCTAGATAGATATTTAACTATGAAAAATCCTATTGACATACTCGTAAATGCCACTGGGATACAAGAAGTACAAGAAATGGTGTCTCTTAAAGAGTTTCCACTCAAGTAAGGATGTCCATTAAAAATTAACACAAGCTAATATAGAAATGCTAAGTGAATGGCAGATACTTTAAGGAGCGAAAAATGGAAAATTTCCCGGGTTACCTCCATATTTGTCTGGTAAGGAAGGGAGCAACACCTGAGCTGGACCTAGTCAAAAAGATAGAATTGGGATTGGCGTGAACAGTGTTCTCTGTGTGTGTGAATGGGGATTTCCCTAATGGCAGCATTCTCATTAGACTAGGTTCAGTAATAGCATTGAGTAGAGTGTTGGGAGCAGTGAATTTATGTAATGAACAGTTGGGAAATGAGGTAGGATGAAGGCTTGGACAGCTATTCTGGTTACCTACTGCTTTGTAGAAATCTACCCAAAGCATAGTGTTTTAAAACAACAATTTATATATTGACTTAGTTCAGTTGGGCAGTTTTTCCTTTGGGTCACTCATAGCTTTCATTCAGATAGAGTCTGGGACCCAAAGGTTTCTCCTTATGTCTGGTGCCTGGTTTTTGATGGCTGAAATAGATGGGGCAGGTTGGTCATCTGGCTTCACATGGTCTGGAGGTTGACTTCAGGGTAACCAGTTAACTAACTTCCCCCAGAACAAATGTTTCCAGAGACTTGGCCAAAGGCTGAAGCTGAAAGATGTCTTAGGACCTAACCTAGGAAATCATGCAGTGTTATTTTTGCTATGTTCTCTTGGTCAGAGAAGTCTCACATCTGTTCTGCATCAAGAAAGTGGAGAAATGGACTTCACCTCTCAATGAGAAAATGGCTTGTGTAGAAAGGTTGGGTGAGGATTTGAAGGGAGATGGACGGGCAGCCACTTTGAAGACAAGCTTACCACCTTACATTTTATTCTGTCCTACACCCCTTTGCTCTCAAATTTGTACTTAAATTCGTTCTAATTATGGTTGGATCTAGATAACAACATTTAATCCTTAGACTAAAAGATCTATTATATTGACCTTAATTTGACTGCCAGCAAACTGATCTTTTTGTTTTTCACTACCTGCAATATTTCTTGATTATAATAGAGTCTGCAAGTAATTCTTTCATCTTTCAAAAATTCAGGTTGTTCTCTCAGGACAGTGATCAGGAATTTTTTGAGTTCAGAATTCTAGCGAGATTTGGCTGTTCTGTCTATATGATTATAATTTAAGAAATGACCATAACTGGGATGGTACAAGAACCAGGGGTTGGGGTAAATGGATTTTATTGTTCTAGCCTTAGCAGTGTTGTTTGCCTGTGTCTCACATGCAGGTACACTTGGCTCCAAGTTATCTGGATATGTATTGTTATCTTAAGTGATGGAACTTGTTCTTATTTCCTGGCTTTATTGTGCCTTGCTGGGAACCTTGCTGTTGATTGGTATTTTTCAAAACCTGTCTGTGGACCATCTGTGAATTAGTCATTGGGGATGCTTATAAAAAATGCAGATTCAACACACTTAGTAATCAAACTTAATGAGGGAACTGGGACCTGGGCGTCTCTGTTTTTATCAAGCTACCTGTATGATACTTCTGCACACTGAAGTTTAACCCTAACACAGATCAAAGGATACTCTGCTACTTGCCTTACATTAGATTATTTATATTTCATGTTCCTTTTCATGATTGAGGATAATTTGGGGTAAGCCTTAGGATTATTTGCTGTAAATTGGAATGATCCAGAATAAGGCATTGCCTTCTGTGTGAGAATTCAACAGTAAGACAACAAATTTTTTTTGTGTGCTGCTCTTTCTAGTGCTATTTCCTTAGTTTATTTAAATCGAAGCTAGGTTGCTTTTGAAATGGTTTTTGGGTACAGGTTTCTCACAGTAACATTTTAAAAGTCTGCCCAGTGTATCCTATCTTTTCAACCTGTTTCTCAATGCTTTGCATACCTTTTGCTATGTCTGTATTTAGGTATTTAATGTTCCAGTTTCCTGGAACTCCCTCTTCTCCTTTTTCTGGCAAATGGCTGTATGCCTACCAAGAGGCTATTGTTCATCTTTTCCGAGTCAATCCTAAATATCACCTTGTATATTTTTGCCTTTCTTGACTATTCACTCCGTTCCCTATCTTACTATATCTCTGAATCTCCTCAGAACTTCAAACATCTCTAAAGGTACTTCTGTTCTCTGCTTTGTGTAGTCATATTTGTATGTATATGTGCATAAACTTTCTTACTAGATTATAAGCTCCACAGATGCTATCCATCCTTCTCATTTTTGCTTTTCTTACAGAGTGTATCTTGGTGTTATGCATGTAATGAATAGTTAATATGTGTTCCTTGAATTCAAAGAAGGGCCGCATTTCCTGTAGATAAGAATAATGAACTGAGTTGCACTCTCTGCTTCCCAACACAATACCCAGAAGCCTTAAAGTAATGGAGGAAAATGAACATAGTTTACCCTAGTTTACTTAGTTGGCACAGTGACACAGATGCTATTGAGAAGTATGATTTTCTTAAGTTTATTCTCCTTATGTTGAAATACAGAGGTGCCGGAAATGTTGAAAGTCTAAATATAAATGTGATTACATTTGACATACTGAATAGTACAACCTAGTGTTTATCTTCCCTCATGTGGAAACTCATGTAAGGGAGCATTCTATTCTTAATCTCTACCTTTGTGTAGTTGACTTTTTGTACAGTTTCACATTTATCTTAACATCCTGAAATGTCCTCTTCACCTTTTTCTGGCAAAGGGCTAGCTACCTGTCAAAAGACTGTTGATTCTTTTCTTTTTTGACATGGAGTCTGGCTCTGTCGCCCAGGCTGGAGTGCAGTGGTGCGATCTCGGCTCACTGCGACCTCTGCCTCCGGGGTTCAAGCTATTCTCCTGCCTCAGCCTCCTGAGTAACTGGGATTACAGGCATATGCCACCATGCCCACCTAATTTTTTGTATTTTTAGTAGAGATGGGGTTTCACCATGTTGGCCAGGCTGGTCTTGAACTCCTGGCCTCAAGATCCACCTGCCTCAGCCTCCCAAAGTGCTGGGATTACAGGTGTGAGCCACCGTGCCCAGCTTGTTGATTCTTGTAAGTTCATCCTAACTATCATCTCTGAAGTAGCCTCTCTCGACTGTTCCATCCCCAGTCTTACTCTGTCTTTGAAAAATTCTATCCTGCTTTTGTTAACTTTTTAAATGACTTTATTCTCTATGTACCCTTTTGTTTAACTATAGTACTGGATCTGTGTATTAAAGTAAACCTTTGCTGAGTGTGGTGGCTCATGCCTGTAATCCCAGCAGTTTAGGAGGCTGACATGGGAGGATTGCTTGAGCCCAGGAGTTTAAGACCAGCCTGGGGAATATAGTGAGACCCGCATCTCTGAAAAATAAAAATAGAAAATGAGCTAGACATGGTGTGTGCCTGTAGTCCCAACTACTCAGGAGGCTGAGGTGGGAGGATTACTTGAGTCCTGGAGGTTGGGGCTACAGTGAACCATGGTTGCACCACTGTACTCTAGCCGGGGTGAGACCCTGCCTCAATCAATCAATCAATAAATCAAACCTGTATCTTAAGCGTAATAATTATCCTTTGTTGAACTTTTAGTCTGTACTGGATACTATAGAAAAGTGCCTTAAGTCATTAGCAGTTTTACAGATAAACTGAGATTTAAAAAGCCAGGTTCCAAATCTAGTAAGGAGCAGATCTAGAATTTGAACCAGATTTTTATTCTAGAGCTTTTGTGCTTAACCGTTACATTATTTTGATTTCCACTGGTAAAAGAATGTGACGACAGTAGTCACTTTTAGTACTGTTTCTGATTCTTTTGGGTCATCTTCAAGCTTTGGTAAACAGGCACTTATCTACAGGTTATAGAAATTATTTGTAAAAGATATTTAAAGACTAATAGAGATTTCTTCATCCCACTAGTGTACATGTTCATCCTTTGAGTTATAGGACACATTTTTTAAAAAACCAGCTAAAAATTTAATGTTATGGTGCTCCAGCTTTGTGTTGAGCTGTTAGTTTGTCAGGTGAGCAGATTCTGTAAATATATTCTCATTTTAAAAATGTCCAACAAGATGCCGAAAAAACCCACATGGATTGTTCATTTTACATATCTCTTGTGCTGACAAGCTAGGACTTAAATCTAGCCCTCATTTTGTTATATACTTTGTCACCATTACACATACCTGTTCTCTTACTACAGCACTGCAGTATAATTTTCTACAGTATAATTGTTGTTCTGTGAGGTGTCCTGAAGGGCTCTCTCCTGAAATAAAATAGCTTAATGGCCTATGTATTTTGTTATGATTTATTTTCTTATGACTACTTCAGTCATGTAAAATTTTAATGGTAGATTTTTTTCATTTTAAATAATTGCTCCATAAATATATGTTTTCTTCTCTGAAGATTGCTCTCTAGTCGTTTTATAATTGAGTTGTTAGAGGTAACTTAGGTGACTAGTTTAAAAAGAAAAAGAGGTAGGCCAATTTTTAGAACAGGCATTTATTTATAAATAGAGATTACTTTAATTCCATAACCAGTGAAGTGCTTAATAATGAGGAGAGATTGTTTCAATGCTTATCTCATTTTTTTCTCTTGTTTGTTCTTGTAAGTACTTGCTATTATTTCTTAAAAAGTCTGTTTCTGTAGAAGGGAATAAATAATCACAGTAAAAATTCCAGTTTCAGATTTAAAAGAGATAGTAAATGTATTTTAAAAGTCTCATTTTATAGACTTGATTATACATTTCACATACCTTTTAAAATAATCAGTATTTGAGGAATGCAGATAAGATTTGCTGATGGAATACTTGTCTAATTAAACTCCTTGTGACTTGGTTCCCTTAATTTAAAAAAAGTATGCATGTCATGACTTTATTATTCAGTTAATGTGTAAGACTGAATACAGTATGTAACCTAGTAGGTAGATTAGGCAAATTAACTTCTACTCTACTCTGTTTTCTTCTAATCCATATGTGTGGCTTCTCCTCTGTTGTACTTCCAAATGTTGTGGTGTCCTAGAGTTTGGAGCTGTATGTATGCCTTTGTCTTTCTGTTACTCACTTTGTTGCAACTACTCAACTCTGCTAGTGTAGTCAAAAATGGCCATAAGCAAATGTGGCTGTTTTCCATAGCAGTAGTTTGCTGACCCCTGTCCTGCAGATAATCTCCCCAATCCCATGGATTTAAATGTCACGTGTGTGCTGACACACAGGTTTGGGCTGGAAATACAGTCCTGATATCTCCCATAATTCCAGACTTCTATATCTAACTCCTTGTCTAAAATAATTTATTAGGTCAATCCTATGCCTTGTATGTCTAAAACAGTACTTTTTGAGACCTAATCCTTGTTTTAGTCTCCATTGCAGCCATCCAAGTTTAAATTACCATTGTTCTTTCACCTGGATTACTGTAGTAGCCTCCTAATTGATCTCCATTTTTCTATCCTGGTCCCTGTATAATCCATTCTTCACCTACCAGCGAGGTGATCTTTTTTTGATGGCATCATTTGGACTGAATAAAACCCTCCAACAGCTTCTCGTTGTAGTTGGAATGCTTTCGAAATTCATTACCAAGGCCCACAGGCCCCTTCATGTTACGGCCACTGCTGACATTTCTGGTGTCCATATGATACTCTACTTTCCTCGAATGTGATGAGAAACCTGACTGCTGAGAGAATATGCAATAGAGTGATTCCTATAATAGCAATCACCTGGGGAAGTATTGATTTTTATATTTTAAGAACTGAAAAAAACAGCAAAAAACTTTTTGTTTAATACAGTTGTTAAAATAATCATGAGACTAGCACCAAGGAAGGATACATATTACACAAGTAAAAAAAGCAGGATACAAATTGCATAATCATATACACTAGGATTACATATGCATGTGGACAAAGACTAGAAAATATTGAGAAGTCGAAATAGTTGTGTTACAATGGTAAGGTTAGGGACATTCCAGTAGTTATGGGGAAGGTTAGGGAACATTCCCTTATTATCTAAACATTGAACATCTTATTTTTTAAGACTAGAATTTAAAACAAATGTTTCTTAGAATCTAAAATGAAGTCTTCATTTGGCCCCCAAAATGCATACCTGCTGTTTATTAAGAAATAACAAAAGCATGGTAGTCTTTCTGAGGTATAACTTTGCTAGAATAATATTCTTCTTTCACGGAAGTTGAAGATTTTGTGGTTTTACTTTTATTTTTTTCAACTTTTATTGTAGATTCAAAGGATATGTGTGCAGTTTCCTTACTTTGGAAATTGAAGATTTTCTCGTGTGTGTTTTGTCATAATGGCTATTTGATATATCTTTTCTTTCTTTCTTTTTTTTTTTAGAGACAGGGTCTTACTTTGTTGCCCAGGCTGGAGTGCAGTGGTGCGATCATAGTTAACTGCAGCCTTGAACTCCTGGGCAGCCTCCTGAGTAGGTTGTACTACAGGCACAAGCCACCATGCCTGGCTAATTCTTTTATAAAGACAGGGTCTTGCTACATTGCTCAGGCTGGTGTCAAATTCCTGACCTCAAGTGATCCTCCCATCTCAGCCTCCCAAAGTGTTTGGGATTATAGGCATGAGCCACCATGCCCAGCCCATTTAACTTTTTTCTTTATATTTCATATAGTTTACATTTGGGAAATTGAGAGTACGTGAAATATAATTTTAAAGCAACAAAACATAAAGTAAAAATCTTTAAGTCATTATTGCAAAAACTTATTTTAGATTCCCAAGTCACTCCTAAAGAATTCAAATATCTGTTTGCCCTGTGAAACCTCCTTAAAAGCCTTTTTAAAAAGAGCTCTGGAGTCAGGAGAATCACTTGAACCCAGGAGGTGGAGGTTGCAGTGAGCCGAGATCGCGCCATTGCACTCCAGCCTGGGTGAGAGAGTGATACTCCGTCTCATTAAAAAAAAAAAAAAGGGCTGGGCGCCGTGGCTCACGCCTGTAATCCCAGCACTTTGGGAGGCTGAGGCGGGCGGATCATGAGATCAGGAGATCGAGACCATCCTGGCTAACACGGTGAAACCCCGTCTCTACTAAAAATACAAAAAATTAGCCGGGCGTGGTGGTGGGCGCCTATAGTCCCAGCTACTCGAGAGGCTGAGGCAGGAGAATGGCGTGAACCCAGGAGAAGAGCTTGCAGTGAGCCGAGATCGCGCCACTGCACTCCAGCCTGGGCAACAGAGCAAGATTCCGTCTAAAAAAAAAAAGCTCTAGTCCTAGTTTTTTCGAAAAATACTACTCATTTATTAAAAGATAGGTTGTATTTATTTTATAAAATTCAACTTTTTTGGAGGAATTCAAAATTTAGTTGTATAGTGGAGTTTAGTATTGTTCCTTTATCAGAGTTAGAAATAGTAACTGAACTGAATAATTTGAGGGATACCTGGATTTCAGGCCAAATTCTTAGATGCTTGGCCAAAGACAATTGCTTGACCTTTATGGATCTTTTTCCTCACCTGTAAAAGGTTGGAATAAAGTGATTCTTGAGGTGCAATACTATATAATTCTGTAAAATACTGTTTTCTTAAAAATTTGAGTATTTTCAAGTGTTTTCCCTTAATCAGTTATTTCTGAATGAATATGGCCTTAGCTTCCTTTTACATAAAATAACTTTTGTAATAGTTTCTTTATCATTTTGGCTTTAGTTTGGATCCTAGAAGGGAAACAGGATGAATTATAATATGAGAAAAAGAATCTGTACATATACTATGATATTACTAGAGGAATTGCCTGTTTTAGTCAAAGCCAACCTTATGTCTTGTATTTCTTGTGTATCATGTGAAGTGTGTATGTGTGTGTGTGTGTGTGTGTGTGTGTGTGTGTGTGTGTGTGTGTGTAGACATTGAATCCTGAAGAAAACTGTAAGCTGATAATATTGCTTGTGAATAAGTATGATCAGATTTCTGGGTGGGGGTCAAGTTATGAGTTATTAGGAATCATCTTGCCCATAGTGTCTTATCTACACTCTTAGCAATTCTCAGAAACCATACCTTTAAATTTTACTTCTGCATCCAAATCAGCCAAGAAAGATTCTGTTCCAATAACTGTATGAAAGTCTTTATAAGAGACATTTTGTAACTGTGTCTCTCTGTAATATTCTTTCCTTTTAGTGGAACTTCTGCCTGTGTGCAATAAGGAAGTGTCTGCTTTTATTGTGGGATGTTCCTGGAAACTTAAGAAAAATTCCATTCAGTGACATGTTCCTTTATGTTTCATTATTGTTAAGCAGCACTTTGTACATTGGTAATTCAGTTGATTAAATAAACATTGAACTGCTATATGGAAAATATGGGAAAAGAGATGAGTAAGACACATTCACAAATAAGACTACAGTTGAGGGGAGGGTGGAGAGATTTAAGCTATAATAAAAAGTAGAATATTCGTTTATTAACAAGTTTAAATGAGTGTATGTGGAGGGGTTGAGAGTGAGGGTAAGTCAGAGGAGGAATGGGGCACATCTGGCTGGGGAATTGGGAAAGGCCTCTTGAAGGTAAATGACATTTCAGCTGGCCTGTGAAGAATTAGGAGAATTTAACAGGCATGGGCTTGGGGAAGTGGCATAAAGGATGGAGGTTGGAGTCACTCCATGTGTTTTTGAGGAACATAGGCAATTCTAATTTGTGGGGATAAAGTATTACTGGGAAATGGAAAACTTCATTTGATTTCTGTTCAACAAGCATGGAAGCATAGGCTGGAATGTTAATGTTGGGCTGAGCAGTTCGTTCTTAATACACTAGGCATTTTAGGAAACATTTAAGATACTGAAGTTGGAATGTGCCAGGATTGAATAAGCTGGTGGTGAAGCTAGCAGTACTTAATAGAAGGGGGCAGGAACACCCACAGAAGTTGCTTATAATATTATAAGGAAGTAGGCTGGGCCGGTTGCTCATGCCTGTAATCCCAATACTTTTTGAGGCCCGAGGAGGAAGGATCACTTGAGGGCCAGGAGTTAGAGACCAGCCTGGTCAACAAAGCAAAACCCTGTCTCTACAAAAATAAAAAATAAAAAAATTAGCTGGGCACAGTGATATGCACCTGTAGTCCCAGCTACTCAGGAGGCTGAGGCAGGGGAATCACAAGCCTAGAGGCTGGAGGCTGCAGTCAGCTATGATAGCCCCACTGCACTCAGCCTGGATGACAGGGTGAGACCCTGTTTCTTAAAAATATGTGTGTGTATATATAATAAAGAACAGCACAATGGCTTGGAGCAGTGTGGGCAATGGACAGAAAGGAATATGGATATAGGAAACATTGCTGTAAAAGAGTATATGGGCTTAGCATAATTAGTAGGGCTTTGGGGGTTGATAATGGGAGAGTAGAGAGAATGCCTGGGTGACTGGGCAGATACTGATGGCTTTTTTAGAAATAGAGCGTCAAGAAGGAGGACTTTTTTTTTTTTTAAATTATAAACCACTTTATAGCAATTACAATTTTAAATCACCTGCTGTCCTACTACCCCTATACATTTACTGTTCTCATTTTGCTTGTCCTCTTCCAGTCTTGTTCTTAAGTGCAAGTAAGTTATACACTTAAAGTCCTGCTCCTTTTAATTTATTTTCTACCCTTGATGTCATATAAGTGTTCCGAGAGCTAGCTTTATTAGATAAGCCGCCAAGGTTTGGCTTTGTTCACTCTCGGATGCCTACAGAACTTCAAGGTAGAGTTAGATGTTTGAATGAACTAGAAATGTTAGGAACCAAATGATCCTGTTTCTACTTAAAATTTTAATGTTTTGTTCATCATGGATAGTTTGGCATTTTAATTTTTAAAGATACTGCATTGTTATTCATTATCTTAATTACTGAGTTTTTTTGGCACCCCCTTAAATTTTTGCACCCCAAATTTTACCTCACTTATTTTTGTCTGGGCTTTCTTTGTTTTCAAGACTGGTGAGTGACTAGAATCAGAAAAGAAGGACCACATGGACAGAAAGAGAGGGCTGAGACGGGAACCCTGAGGAATAATCTTTATTTAGGGTGAAAAGAAGAAGAGGATTCAGTGGAAAGTGAGAATGGGCCATTCAAGGAGCCAGGTTACGTGTTGAATCAGGAAGAGAACATTGAGACAAGTTGGGATAAAGATAGAATTTTGAGAAGGAAGCATGGTGGTCATTAATGGTAATGCTTCAGAGAAGCTGAGGAGGGAAGAATTAAGATTGAGGAGAGGTAGTGAATATTCTGGTGATAAGGTTGTCATCCATTGCTTTGAAGAGGGCAAGAGTTCCTGAAAAGATTTACCATTTTAATCTGGAGGCTAAGGTAAATATGAACAAACTGGTGAGAACTGAAGGCTAGGTTTTTAAAAAGAGTATCAAAGGAGGGGATTGGTGTGATGTGAATAGACAAAGCAGGCTTTCCTAGTATTACCCGACACTATTAAAATGAATAAATCTTAGTTTTTATGGGAAAGGGAGTCATTTACCATTTGATTTTTAATAAACTTGTATGTTCTGGCTGGAGTGTTATGGAGATTTTACATTTTTTTTTGTTTTGTTTTTTGTTTTTTTTTGTCTGTTTTAAAGAAAGAGTCTTTCTCTGTTGCTCAAGTGGAGTGTAGTGGCATGATCATAGCTCACTGCAGCCTTGAACTCCTGGACTCAAGCGATCCTCCCACCTCGGCCTCCTGAATAGCTGGGACTAAGAGCGTGTGCCACCACGTCCAGCTAATTAAAAAACATTTTTTTTGTAGAGACAAGGTCTTGCTATGTTGCCCAGGCTAGCCTCTAGTTCCTGGCCTCAAGTGTTCCTCCTGCCTTGGCCTCCCAAAGTGCTGGGATTACAGGTGAGAGCCACTGGCACCCAGCCCATTGTTAAATTAAGAAATTTTTGAAGTTTATATGACTTCCACAATTTATACATATAATACAGACCAAAGTGTGGTCTAACTTGTATAGATAGTTGGAAATCTTGTAAAATTTATAAGCTGGCATCATATATTTTATATGCTGTTTTGGAATATATGCTTTTTATATACATGTGAATTTTATGATTGATATGGGGATATAATGATTATATCCTACACTTCTGCATTACTCCACAGGTATTACTGTTCTAAAGATTGCCATTCAAATAGCTCCTGATATTAATCACCTTCCTTTAAAAATTTTGCTAATATTTAGTGATATATTTTTTGCTTAATCTTGTTCTAGATATGGCTGTTTCAAAATGTTCACTTTTATATTTCCACGCTTAGAGTCTTATGATTGTGGGCTTTCATAATTATTGTGGGCATTCATACGTAGTGCCATCTTAGCCTTCTACTTTTCTCTATATATACCTAATTATATTTGAAATCTTACTAATCGTTATTCTTGTGTATATGGCTGTCCCACGTTAAGGAGGCTGACTCCCAAGTGTATATATATCTATGTCTCAGTTTCTGAGCTCCCATATTCTTTCAGCAGACATTTATTTATTGTTTGCTCTGTGCCAGGCACTGTGGTTGGCCCTGGTGAGCAAAACAGATAAGATCCCTACTCACATTGGTGCTTATATGACCTCTTTTGAACTCCTTCTGTGTCATCTCTCTTAATCACTTCTATAGTAATCCTCACCTAAATTTTCTATCATCGGCTGTCTAAAACCGAACTCATCCTTTCCTTCAAACAAGTTCTCTTTGTGGAATTTTCAACTTTTAAAAATGTTATCGGCTGGGTGTGGTGGCTCACACCTGTAATCCCAGCACTTTGGGAGGCCGAGGTGGGCGGATCACGAGGTCCGGAGGTCAAGACCATCCTGGCTAACACGGTGAAACCCCATCTCTCCTAAAAAAATACAAAAAATTAGCCGGGCATGGTGGCGCATGCCTGTAGTCCCAGCTACTCAGGAGAATCGCATGAACCCAGGAGGCGGAGGTTGCAGTGAGCCGAGATCATGCCTCTGCACTCCAGTCTGAGTGACAGAGTGAGAGTCTGTCTCAAAAAAAAAAAAAAAAAAAAAAGATTATCATTTTCTGCTACCTAGGATAAAAGCCATGGAATTTTCTACATTCACTTCTAAGTCAGTCATGTACCATATTCTCTCAATTCTTCCTTTGTGGTAAATCCTTTTTCCCCTCATCGCCTCGACAAATTATGTATGGACTAATACAGTAGTCTGCTGCTTGCCCTTCTATATGCTGTTGCCAGATTAATTCTTCTAAATATGCACATTTTTATGTATTTCCATATTGCTCAGAAATTGTTGCTTATCCATTTGATAGGCAGAATGAGATAAAAACTAGGACTATCCTCTTACCAATTTTTTCATATCCTTTGCATCAGCAGCATTGGTCTGTTTTTTTAACATTCCGAACTCATGCTTTTTCTTAAGCATTTTTTCCCACCTGATATCTTCTCTAGTTTTTTCTGGTTTAACCTTCAGAGTTCATCTCAGCTCAAATCTTATTTTATAAAGCCTTCCTCACCAAAGGAGACTTTTGTAACTACTGTTACACATATACTTCTGGCTTGGCATTTGTATACAGTATATTCAGCAGGTTCTGTGCCATAGATATAGATATATATATATATATATATATATATATAGTTCAAAATATATATTCAAAAGTGATATAATTTTGATTGTTTAATTATATATTGATTTAATATATTTATATTATATATATTTAATATTTATTGATTTATATATTTAATTATATATTGATTGATATAATTTTAATTGATTGTTCAGAATACTCACCAGAATTTGCAAATAGTAATGACAAAGATGATCAAGGTAAGCATGAGTGTATAATTGAACATGTAACATATGAAGATGTGTGTTTTGTGTTTCATGGCAATTTCTGTTACTCTGTCATTTATTCATCACGTTGCTCTGTTACTCTTTAATGTCAACATCTTTAATCATCAGATTTAGACTTTCCCATCTTAATCTTGGTAAAAAGTGAATACATGGTAAGGATTTTATTAAACCAGGCAAATTTTTAAACTAGTTCCACAGAGAATCCATAGAATGGACACATTTGTAGGGATATTGAAATGAATATATAAATAGAGGTACAACTGGTTGTTCTATGGGGTGAGGAAAGAAATTGAATCTTTGCTGGACAAGAAAGTTGGAAATTCTACAAAGAGAACTGGTTTGATGGAAAAGATTTAAGCAGCTTTATATGTATATATTTATTATATATATGTGTATATATTAGCCTGTGTTCTCTCTCCCAGTTATTTTGTTAAACTACTTTAAAGTCATGCCTGACTGAGAGTGCAGAGTAGGAACATTTGATAAAGATTAAAAAGGCAATGGCTACTAGAAAGCTGCCTCTGCAAATTGTCAAAGACTTGTTCCTTTTTTTTTAGTCAGAGCTCTTACTAGTTTTACATTAAATGTATGTCACATAGTTCCTTTGTCTTTCTCATCTTTCTCAATAACATGACAGTAGTTAACAGTGTTAACTTTTCCCTGCATAGAGGACCATACATTGTTCTTTGTATTTTATTTCTGTGCTTTGTTTTAAATTTACTAAATTGTTTTTCTGTTCTCTTTTTACGTAATCCTTATTACTTCCTCTTATGATTTAAAAAACTAATCAAATTGAGGCAAGATTATTTAATACAAGTAGTAAATCTGCAGAAAAGGTACATTAGACTGTGAGTGAGGAACATAACAGGCTCTAGACCACTGCTGCAGTTTATAATTTCTTGGAGAAGAACCTTAAAGAGTTTAGGCCTCAGTTTCTGAATCCATAAAGATTTTAAGTAAGTGATCTCTTAAAATTCCTAAGTCTAAATTTCTGTCATATTCACATGCCACTACTTAAGTAGTTACCTCTGTTCTTTTTTTTGCTGGAAGCCAGACTCTTGTATTAACAAAGTTTTGTTGTCATGTTTTCCTTTTAGATTCTAGTTTAGGACTAGTCATTACAGCTTTGTTTGACATTCGTTTAGTTCTGGATCTAGTGTTGTTTTCATAGCAAGCATTCACTTGAAGAGGAAAAATTAACCTAGTTGTGTTTTACTTGCCTTTTTCTTTTTTAAAGGTATTTTCAAAAGAAATAATTCCAGATTGATGGATGAAATTTTAAAACAACAGCAAGAACTTCTGGGCCTAGATTGTTCAAAATACTCACCAGAATTTGCAAATAGTAATGACAAAGATGATCAAGGTAAGCATGAGTGTATAATTGAACATGTAACATATGAAGATGTGTGTTTTGTGTTTCATGGCAATTTCTGTTACTCTGTCATTTATTCATTCACGTTGCTCTGTTACTCTTTATTGTCAACATCTTTAATCATCAGATTTAGACTTTCTCGTCTTAATCTTGGTAAAAAGTGAACACATGATAAGGATTTTATTTAACCAGGCAAATTTTTTAACTGGTTCCACAGAGAATCCATAGAATGGACACATTTGTAGAGATATTGAAATGAATATATAAATAGAGGTACAACTGGTTGTTCTATGGAGTGAGGAAAGAAATTGAATCTTTGCTGGACAAGAAAGAATTTGCATGTCTATAGATAAGAATTTTGCAGTGTTATCTGAGAATCCCATCAATTGTAAGATAGCTCCTATAAAAGTAGAATTGATAAAGGTATGTATGCTATAGGCAATGCATATTCCACTCTAACAGTTTTTTCTTAGTCTTTATTTTTTCTTTTATTCTGTGTTACTGCTAACGATATCGCAATTATACAGGAAATTTTAGATGCGTGAAAATTTGTTAGCTAGCCTATAAAGTTTCTGTTTTCTAGAGGATGTAGTCACAATGTATAGTCATTCTGAACACTTTGAAAAGAAGGCAGTGTATAAATATATACATGGATGTGATTTGGGATATATGGATCCTTTCAGAGGAGAATAGCTAAGTATGTTTTGATATTGAAATTGAAGGGCTTAAAAAATTCTTGTTTACTGTAAGAACTGTATGTTTATTTTGGTTTAACCTTGTATTTCTTAAAACTGCTTTTGAAATATACCTGGAAGAGAGTGTTTTTAAAATACATTGTTTGTTTTTTCTTCCAGTTTTAAATTGCCATTTGGCAGTGAAGGTGCTGTCTCCGGAAGATGGAAAAGCAGATATTGTAAGAGCTGCTCAGGACTTTTGCCAGTTAGTAGCCCAGAAGCAAAAGAGACCCACAGATTTGGATGTAGATACGTTAGCCAGTTTACTTAGTAAGTTTTTTTATATATATATACATATATATGTATATGTATGTGTGTGTGTTTAGTTTTGTCACACGAGGATACAGTATGAAAGAAAATATTTTTGTTTCTTTCACACCATAAAGCCTGATTCTTTTGTTGTTAATACCTGTTAAATTTCTGAAATTTAAAGACCTATGTAAAAATGGTTTCGAGACAATGAAATTTGTAGCCACTCACTCGCATGAGGATTTAATGGTAAAGGAGATGACCTTTGAGGATCTTTTTTGTAGTGATGAATATTCTTGAAAATAGGACTTCTGCTTGTTAGCCTTCCTCTCCCTCTTCCCCTTTCTTTTTAGTTTGAACTTTCCCTTAACTTTGAACTTAATCTTTTTATGAGGTGATCCCAGGAATATAATCTTACTGTTACCATGATTCCTTTTTAATTATTCTTTCTATTATGCTATACCAAATATACAACTGTATTTGTCATGTTATACCAAATATAACTTTTTTTCTTCAGCTGTTTAAATAAGCCTTTGGTTTGCATATTCTGTCTAGAGAATTCCCTCTAGGACCTTTTTGCCATAATGTCATGGTTCTTCTTGCTTACTAGCATTAGCCTTGATCCTTTTGAAGAAAGACAATCTCTCTAGTAAATTCATGTTCATTAATAGCTTCTATAGGCATACAGTTTTAGACATTCATTCATTTTTTATTACTTAGACTATCCATTTACTTATTAATCGTGCATTTTCAGGCTGGATGGGGTGGCTCACACTTGTAATCCCAGCACTTTGGGAGGCTGAGGCAGGTGGATCGCTTGAGCGCAGGAGTTTGAGACCAACCTGCGCAACATAGCAAAACCCCATCTCTACAAAAAATAAAAAATTAGCCAGGCATGGTGGCTCACGCCTGTGGTCCCAGCTACTCAGAAGGCTGAAGCAGGAGTATAGTTTGAGTTCAAGAGGCAGAGGTTGCAGTGAGCCAAGATCGCATCAGTACACTCTAGCCTGGGTGACGGAGTGAGACCCTGTCTCAAAAAAAAAAAAAAAAAAAAAAAAAAAAGAAAAAGAAATGCATTTTCTATCTTAACTTATTTACTTAACTCTCCATTCTTTGTTTCTTCCACTTTGACATGTGTCCGTCACAGAGCAAAGTCCATCTCCCACTTCTTGGTTTCGCTAACTTCCTACTTTTGTTGACTACTTGCTTCTTACCCTACCCTGTCATTGCCTAATTATATTCAGGCTCAGTGAGTAGTAGACCATTATGGGGCCTCTCTGCTCAGATGTTACTGGGATGTTGACTGTTTCCTGCACCCTATGAGACCCTAATAAGAGAGTAATTTCATAAGGACATTCTAAAAGTTGATGGAGATCCAAAGATGACCTTCAGGTAGTCCATGGGAAAGCGCTAATGTTTATTAAGCCCAGTTGTTGCCTTCAGGCATTGTAAGCTTAGGATAAATGAAAATGTACACAATTCTTAACTTATTAATTTGACAGAGGCAAGCATTCTGAATACCATCACCATCAAAAGTTCCTTTGTGACTGCATTTAGTCCCCACTCCTGCCCCCTAAACCAGCAACCACTGGTCTGGTTTCTGACTATACTTTCGCTTTTTCTATAAATTTTATATAAAAGGAGTCATACAATATATAGTCTTTTATGTCTTGCTTTGTTTACTTACCATATTTTTGAGGTTCATCTATGTAAAATGCATTAGTTATTCATTGTTTTTTATTGGTGAGTAGTATTTTCTAGATATACCACGTTTTGCTTATGCATTCATCGGTTAATGCACATGTGGTTTGTTTCCAGTTTTTGAATAATGCTGTATGACTGTTTGTGTACAAGTTTTTGTGTGGATGTTTGTGTGTTTTCAAGAATTCAGAAAGTCAGAATTCTATCAGATAAATTTAACAAAGAGAGTGAAATAATTAAAAAGAATCAAGCAGAAATTCTGGAGTTGAAAATGCAGTTGACATACTGAAAATGCATCAGAGTCTCTTAATAGCAGAATTGATCAAGCAGAAGAAAGTTACAAGCTTGAAGATAAGCTATTTACAAATACAGAGAGGAGACAAAAGAATGAAACACACCTACAAAATCTAGGAAAAAGCCTCTTGAGGGCAAATCTGAGTTATTGGCCTTAAAGAGGAGATACAGAGAGAGAACGAGATGGGTTACAAAGTTTATTTAAACCTAGAGAACTTCCCAAACCTAGAGAAAAATATCAGCATTCAACTACAGGAAGATTATAGAACACCAAGCAGATTTAACCGAAAGATGACTACTTCAAGGCATTTAATAATCAAACTATGAAAGGTCAAGGATTTAAAAAAAAAATGGATCCTAAAAGCAACAAGAGAAAAGAAACAACATACAATAGAGGTTCAACATATCTGGCAGCAGACTTTTCAGTAGAAACCTTACAGGCTGGGAGAGAGTGGCATAACATATTTTAAAAAGTGGTGAAAGAAAGAAACTTTTACCCTAGAATAATAGTATGCCCAGTGAAAATATCCTTCAAACACGAAGAAGAAATAGACTTTCCCAGACAAACAAAAGCTAAGAGATTTTATCAGCACCACACTTTCCCTGCAAGAAATGCTAAGGGGAATTGTTTAATCAGAAAGGAAAAGATGTTAATGAGCAATAAATCATCTGAAGGTACAACTCTCACTGGTAATAGTAAGTACACAGAATGTTACAGAACTGTAACTGTGGTGTATAAAACTGTCAAGTAAAAAGACTAAAAGATGACCCAGTCAATAATAATAACTAAAACAACTTTTCAAGACATAGACAGTACAATAAGATACAAATAAAAACAACAGAAAGTTTTAAAATGGGGAGATGAATGTAAAGTATACAGTTTTTATTAGTTTTCATTTTGTTTATTTGTTTATGCAAGCAGTGTGGTAATCAGCTTAAAATAATGGGTTATGACAGATAGTATTTGCAAGCCTCATGGTAACCTCCAATCAAAAAACATACAAGAGATACACAAAAAAATAAAAAGCAAGAAATTAAGTCATACCACCAGAGAAAATCACCTTTCCTAAAAGGAGGACAGGAAGGAAGTAAAGAAGGAAGAGAAGACCACAAAACAACCAGAAAACAAATAACAAAATGGCAGGAGTAAGTCCTTATCGATAATAACATTGAATGTAAGTAGACTAAACTCTTCAAAAGACATACAGTGGGCGGATGGATAAAAAATAAGACCCAATGATCTGTTGCCTACCAGAAACACACTTCACCTATAAAGACACACAGACTGAAAATAAAGGGATGGAAAAAGATATTTTATGCCAACGGAAACCCAAAAAGAGCAGGAGTTACTATACTTATATCAGACAAAAGATATTTCAAGACAAAAACTCTAAGAAGAGACCAAGAAGTCCACTATCTAGTGATAAAGGGGTCATTTTAGCAAGAGGATATGACAGTTGTAAATACATATGCACCCAACATTGGAGAACCCAGATATATAAAGCCAATATTAATAGAGCTAAAGAAAGAGAGAGAGAGAGACCCCAATACAATAATAGCTGGAGACTTCAACACCCCACTTTCAACACTAGACAGATAGAGACAGAAAATCAACAAGAAACATTGAACTTAATCTGCACTGTAGACCAAATGGATCTAATAGATATTTACAAAACATTTTATCCAATGGCTGCAGAATATACATTCTCCTTGTCAGCACATGAAACATTCGCAAGAAGAGACCATATGTTGGGCCACAAAACAAGTCTAAAACATTCACAAACATTGAAATAATATCAAGCATCTTCTCTGACCACAATGGAATAAAACTAGAAATCAATAAGAGGAATTTTGGAAACTATACAAACACCTGGAAACTAATCAGTATGCTCCTGGATTACCAGTGGGTCAATGAAAAAATTAAGAAGGAAATTGAAAAATTTACTGAAACAAGTGGTAATAAAAATACAACATACCAAAACCTATGGGATGCAGCAAAGCAGTACTAACAGGAAAGTTTAAAAGATCAGAGCAGAAATGAATGAATTTGAAATGAAAAAGTCTATACAAAAGATAAAAAATTTGGTGGTGTTTTAGAAAAGATAAAATTGAGAAATCTTTAGTTAGACCAAGGAAAAAAACCAGAAGACCCAAATAAATAAAATCAGAGATGGAAAGGAGATACTGCAACTGATGCTACAGAAATTCAAAGGATCATTAGTGGCTGCTATGAGTAACTATATGCCAATAAATTGGAAAATCTAGAAGAAATAGATAAATTCCTAGACCTACAACCCACCAAGATTGAACCATGAAGAAATCCAAATCCTGAAGAGACCAATAATAAGTGATGAGGTTGAAGCTGAAGTAATGAAAAGTCTTAGAGCAGTGGAAAGCTCATGACTTGATGGCTTCATTGCTGGATTCTACCAAACATTTAAAGAAGAACTAATACCAATTCTACTCAAACTATTCTGCACAATAGAAAGGAGGGAATGCTTACAGATTCATTTTGTGAAGCTAGTATTACCATGTTACCCAAACCAGACAAAGACACATCAAAAAAAGAAAATTACAAGCCAGTACCACTGATAAATGTTCATGAAGAAATCCTCCACAAAATAATGGCAAACCAAATTCAACAATATATTAAAAAGACGATGACCAAGTGGGATTTATCCCAGGGATGCAAGGATGGTTGAACATACACAAATCAATGAATATGATATATTGACAGTATGAAAGATAAAAATCATGATCATTTCAATTGATACTGAAGAAGCATTTGATAAAATTAAACACTTGCATGATAAAAACCCTAAAAAATCTGGGTATAGAAGGAACACGCTACAACATAATAAAAGCCATATATGATGGACCCATAGCTACTATCTTTCTGAATGGGGAAAAACTGAAAGCCTTTCCTCCAATAACTGGAACACAAGGATGCCACTTTCACCACTGTTATTTAGCATAGCACTGGCGGTCCTAGCTAGAGCAATTAGACCAGAAAAAGAAGGAAAAGGCATCCAGATTGGAAAGGAAGAAGTCCTTCTTTGCAGATGATCTGATCTCAAATTTGGAAAGACCTAAAGATTCCACCGGACAACAATTAGAACAGATAAACACATTCAGTAAAGTTGCAGGATACAAAACCAATGTACAAAAATCAGGAGCATTTCTATATGTCAATAGTGAACAATCTGAAAAAGAAACCAAGAAAGTAATCACATTTATAATAGATACAAATAAAATTAAATATCTAGGAATTAACCAAAGAAGTGAAAGATCTCTACAATGAATACTATGAAACATTGATGAGAGAAATTAAGGAGGACAGCCAAAAAATGTAAGCCTATTTCCTGTTCATGGATTGGAAGAAGAATCAATATTGTTAAAACGTCCATAGTACCCAAAGCAATCTGCAGTCAATGCAAAATATCAATGCAGTCTATCAAAATATCAGTGACATTCTTCACAGAACTAGAAAAAACAATCCGAAAATTTATATGGAATCACAAAAAGACCCAGAATAGCCAAAGCTATTCTAAGCAAAAAGAACAAAACTGGAGGAATCACGTTACCTGACTTCCAGTTATACTACAGAGCTATACTTATAGTTACCAAAACAGCATGGTACTGGCATAAAAACAGACACAGAGAATAGACAATCTAGAGACAATCTAGAGACAAATGCATACATCTCCAGTGAACTCATTTTTTGACAAAGGTGCCCAGAACATACAATGGGAAAAACCAGTATCTTCAGTAAATGGTACAGGGAAAACTGGATATCCGCATGGAAAATAATGAAACTAGAACCCTATCTCTTGCCATATACAAAAATCAAATCAAAATGCATAAAAGACTTAAATCTAAGATCTCAAACTAAGCAACTACTACAGGAAAACACTGGGGAAGCTCTCTAGGACATTGAACTGGGCCAAACCCTACAAGCACAGGCAACCAGAGCAAAAATGAACAAATGAGATCACATCAAGTTAAAAAGCTCCTGCACAGCAAAGGAAACAATCAGCAAAGTGAAAAGACAACACAGAATGGGAGAAAATATTTGCAAACTACTCATCTGACAAGGGATTAATAACTAGAATACATAAGGAGCTTAAGCAAATCTACAGGAAAAAGATCTAATCTGATTTTTTAAATAGGCAAAAGATCTGAATAGATATTTCTCAAAAGAATACATACAGATAGCAAATAGGTATATGCAAAGATGCTCAATATCACTGATCATTGGAGAAATACAAATTAGACCTACAATAACATATTATTGTAAAATGGCTTTTTTCTAAACAGGTAATAACAAATGCTAACGAGGATGTGGAGAAAGGGAATCCTTGTACACTGTTGGTGGGAATGTAATTGGTACAACCAGTGTGGAGAACAGTTTGGAGGTTTCTCTAAAAACTAAACATTGAGCTACCACATGATCCAGTAATCCCACTGCTAGGTACATACCAAAAAGAAAAGAATATGAACTCCTATGTTTATTGCAGCACTGTTCACAATAGCCAAGATTTGGAAGCAACTGAAGTGTCCATCAGCAGATGAATCGATAAAGAAAATGTACATATGGACCACAGAGTAGTATTCAGCCATAAAAAGAACAAGATCCTGTCATTTGCAGCAACACGGATGAAACTGGAGGCCATTATGTTAAATGAAATAAGCCTGTCACAGAAAGACAAACATCACATGTTCTCACCTGTGGGAGCTAAAAATTAAAACAATTGAACTCATGGAGATAGAGAGTAGAGGATGGTTGCTAGAGGCTGGGAAAGATAATGGGGGAGTGAGCCAGCAGGGAAGTGAGGCTGGCTACTGTGTACAAAAAAAAAAATTGAATAAGATTTTTTTTTTTTTCAAAGTTGTTGTGTCTATTCAGGGTCCTTTGCATTTTTCTACAAATTTTGGGATTGGCTTTCTAATTTAAAAAAACTCTGCTGGGGTTTTGATATGGATTGAATTGAATCTATAGCTCAATTTGGGGAAAGTTGCCTTCTTAACAATATTGAGTCTTCCAGTTCATGATCATAGTATATTTCTCCATTTATTTGGGTTCTAATTTTCTTTTTTTTTTTTTTTTTGAGATGGAGTCTCGCTCTGTCGCCCAGGCTGGAGTGCAGTGGTGTGATCTCAGCTCACTGCAGACTCTGCCTCCCGGGTTTACGCCATTCTCCTGCCTCAGCCTCCCGAGTAGCTGGGACTACAGGCGCCCGCCACCGCGCCTGGCTAATTTTTTGCATTTTTAGTAGAGATGAGGTTTCACTGTGTTAGCCAGGATGGTCCCGATCTCCTGACCTCGTGATCCACCTGCCTCGGCCTCCCAAAGTGCTGGGATTACAGGCGTGAGCCACCACGCCCGGCCGGGTTCTAATTTTCTTAAATAATATTTTGCAGTTTCGGGGTATAGAATTTCTACTTCTTTTGTTAAATTTACTCCTAGGTATTCTTTTTGATGCTGTTGTTAATGGAATTATGTTCTTAATTTTCAGGTTGTTTGTTAATACTTAGAAATACACTTGTTTCTTAATATTGATTTTATATCCTGCAACCTTCCTAAGATACAAGTTCACCTAATCTAGTAGCTCTTTTTGTAGAGACTTAGGATTTTCTAAATACACGATCATGTTGTCTATAAATAAAGATTACTCCTGCTGTCTCTGCTCAGGTTTTTTTTTATTTAATTTTTTAGTCTGGCTTATGTCTACATAGCTTAGTGGTAAGCCAATGATTTCCACATTGGTTATGCTTAGATACCTTAAATTTGTAAGGCTTCCATGATTTCTGGTATTGGAAACTGAATTTAAAGTTGCCACCAGTTCTCAAGTTTCCTTGGCTTTTGATTTTCACTGGACTTTCTTCCTGCCCTGTCCCCTACCCTGCTTCCCCTCCTAGTATGTATGTTATTTCCCAGTCGGCCATGGATATGTGAGAGTTTATCTGAGCCCTTATTTCCTGGATCTCACTGTTAAATTTCTTGCCATTGTATTAACTGGGGCTACAACCTCAGGCAAGTAAAGCTGTGGGTTTTCCTATTTGTTCTCTTTTGAATTTCCCACCTTTAACTGTCAAACCATGGATTTTCATTGTTCCTTTTCCTTCTTGCCTACACCCTCCAGTTCCAGATTGAGTCCGTATCTTTTGGCAGCAAGTAGCAAATCATCTAATTTTTGCTGTCAGAGCTATACTGGTAAAATGTAAGTTCTCTCCAGTTGATTGGGGTGGGCATTGGGAGCAGTCCCAGGCAAGAAGGCCATAGACCTTTGCCATTCTTACTGAAAGCTCTAGCTTTTTTTTTGTTGTTTTCTTTAAGAATAATTGTCCGCCTTTGGTCAGTATCTAGTGTTCTTGAATGGTTGGTTTTGTCCAATTTAACATGTTTTTTATAGAGAAGATTTGCCACCCTCTTTACATCACTATTGGTTTGGAGTTCCTTCTTGTCATTTTTTATGGAAGATAATTTATTGCTTCTTAGGTAATACAGGAATGTGTGTTCCTCTGCTTGGCCCATTCACTCTACCAGTATGGACTTTTAGAAGGACTTTGTTATGGAAATAATTTTTTCAATAGTACTGCTGGACAGGACTGCCTGATCCAGTTTCCTTATTTGACAAATGAAGGAATTTAGCACTGGAGAGGTTGTATAACAGACAAGTTAGTGGCAGAATTGAGGATGTTAACAACTATTGGAACCTTAGTCTCTTGGATTATAGTATCTTTTTTCTGTACTCTTCAAATTTTATTTTTAAGCTATTGAAATACCCTTGTCCTTTTTTTCCCCAAGTCAGGTCTCATATGGAAACCAGTTCATGAAAGAGATAAAAATTGACCTTGTCCTTGTTGAGGCAGATGCTTGGTCTCCTTTTCCTCTCTGAGGCTGCTCTGGCTCTGGGGACCAAGGAAGACATTTGTGATGTATGGCTAGGAGTTGGTCTTTTTGGGTTCATAGCTGTAAAATGAGGTGCATGAGGGAAGGAAGGAGAATAGATATTTTAAAATTTCCTTTTCGTCTCTGAAGTTATTCAATTCTGTGGCCAGAATCAAGCAGTCACACCTTTAGAACTGTAGTAACTTTCCCAGGATTCCAAGAGAACACCTACATTGAGTCTTAAAAGATACATGTGATTTTGGGGGCACCTATTGGGTATAGTGTGGGAGGTGGGTTACCCTTTCTTATCAGGTAATCAATCAAGTTAAACAGACTTTTGAGAAAACTTCCACATTTGGAATGAGCATAGATATTAAAGTATGTATTACAGAGTTGGGGGTGGGGCATGGAGACATACAGATAAAACTTCTGAAGAAAACAGGTAGTTTAAAGAACCAATTTGATTAATACATTTTGCCCATGATCTGTGTGTTTCTGTGTGTGTGTGTGTGCACATGCAGTGCATGTTAAGTTCATGTGTATTTATTTATTTCCAAGGTTCAAATGGTTGTCCTGATCCTGATTTAGTATTGAAGTTCGGTCCTGTGGACAGCACATTAGGCTTTCTTCCCTGGCACATCAGATTGACTGAGATTGTGTAAGTAATTAAAAGCGTACTGACTTTGTTTAGATTCAGCAAGTGTTTCTTGAGTTCAGCACTGTACTAGATCTGGTGGGGATTTCCAAAGAATTATAATACTGGATCCTTTACCTCAGTTATTTCACAGTACCACTGGTAAAATAAAGTCATACATAAATGAGTTAGACACAAGAGAGTGTATAGTTGTGCAGATGTTTGGTATTGCCACTGATTACCTTAGGAGATCAGGAGTGAGAGATAACTGTAAAGGGTGTGGCTTGATCCGCAGATACATAAAATGGGTAGTTTTCTTATTTAGAGAAAAGGCGAGAAGGGGGGAAAAAGAAAACCTGGGGTGTGTTTTAAAGAAATAAGGAACTAGCCACACCAGAGCAGACAGTGTTAGGCAGTAGTATGAGATGAAATCAAATAGTTCAGAGGTGTCAAGGCTCAGAAATCTTTAAATGCCAGCATAGGAATGTGTGTAGTGGTAGGCAGGCAATAGGAAACGTGTTGAGCCTGTGTATTATGTGGGAATGGTGATTTTGGAAGATTTGTTTAGCAGCTTATGCACTAGAGTGGATTGAATTTGGGAAGGGATGAGATTAAAAAGACAAGTGAAGAGGCCATAACTATAATTTAAGGGAGAATACATTGAAGAGAATGAAATTGCTTATTTAGAACAGTTTAGGCAAACTTTTTTTGTAAAGGGCCAGATAGTAAATATTTTAGGCTTTTCAGGCCGTACAGTCACTTGCAACTGCTCCTCTCTATTGCATCTATGCAACTCTGCTGCTATAGCTAAACAACCATGGATGATATGTAAACAAGCATTGTGACCGTGTTCTGATAAAACTTTGTTTACAAAAACAAGTATCAGGCTCCTGGGCTGTATTTGCTGACCCCTAATTTAGAATAAAGGAGAGACATAGTAGCCTTAAAATATATGTAAATGCTGGGTCTTGGAGAATACTACAAATTCTCTCTCTCATGACAGGTATTTACCATGTATAATTGCAGGCATAGCACTTTACTAATTGCGATAAAATTAGAGATGAAATGACTCCTAAGTTTTTAAGCTTAAGTGACTAAGTGATTATGATATTATTGAGAGGAAACCAGAAAGTGAAGGGAATATTCATTTTTGAAGGGAAGATGCAGATGATTTTGAGGCCATAGTCTATTTGGATGGATACACTTAGTGTAGAACAGATAAAGATGTAGAATTGATGCTTGAGTGAGAAGTCAAGGCTAAAGATACATGTTTGGGGATCATCATAACCTGGGAAGTAGTTGAACCTGTGAGAATATAGAGTATCTCTCCAAGATGTATGAAGGGGTCTTTTAAGCTTGTGGGCAGGAGGGACAAAGTATGAAAAAGAGAAGAGAACGTGTAGCATGTTAGAGTTGGAAAGGACTCTAAATCATCTGGTCCCACCTTCTCATTTTATAGATAAGGAAAATAGGGAAGAGAGACATTGTTCAAGCTTGTCACAAAGTGAATTAGAACCCAGATCTCCAGACTCAGAGTTTCTTTATGGTGGGAGTATGTTTCTCTTACCTGGTTTTCTCCAAGGGTTTTCAAGTCATTTCAGGTTGTCTCCAAGTATGGCAGCAGTGATGCTGTGTACAGTTGGGAGTGGTTTGGAGGGAAGAACAGAAGGATTTTGGTTTGAATCTTGACTATACAGCTCTATAACTTGACTTTGGCAAGTTATTTAAACTCTCTATATTTGTACAAAGGGCATGTTAATGTGGAGTTGAGAATTTAAATCTGATAATGGACAAGATATGAAGCACGTAACAGGCTCTTCCTTTGACCTATGTACATGTCTATGATAGCTATATCACATTATACTGAGGTTTGCTTTGTATTTGTGTACCCTCTACGAGACTGAGCACTGTGATGGCAGGGAAAATGTTAATCATAATACAGAGAAGGGAAGGGTGGGGTTCTGACAGAACAGACTGAGAAATAGCAACAGAGCTTCTGAGGCATTGAGGAGTAGTGGCACTATATTGAAGAGTCGTAGGAGATGAGGTTGATTGAAGGGGTAAGATGAGGAAGACTTAGGGAAGTTGAGAGTTTGAGGACATTTGAAGCAAGCTTTAGCAAGAATAATGCATTAAATTTGTTCTTTGAGCATATTATTTCAGAGGTGTGAATAAGACTTAAGGTTGATAGCAGAGATTATTAAGAGATGATGAGGAATTAGAAGTGGATGACTTATTGCAGAATTTCTGGCAGTCTGAGGAAGGATAAAGAAAAGTATAGCTAAAGACAGGCAGGAGTCCTTTCAAGGTAGGTTTGTTCACTCTTTTTTTGTGGTGCATGTGACTGTAGGACTCTGACTGTGACTCTTCTATTCTGACCAGGTGTTTGACCCTGATACTATTTGGAATTCCCACATTATAAAGCTACATAAATTACAGATGTTTTTCATGTTACTTATTTAAAATTAATAGTTACTTCTAATACATAAAAGGGAACCCTCTGATTGTGTATTCAGTCTATCTTTAAAGTGCTTATTTTCACACTGTAATTGCCCTTGAGTAATTGGAAATGGTGGAGGTAAGTGTTGATTTCTAGGTTGCTCACAACATGGCTACAATATTTCATCATGTTTGGATGCTGTGTGGCTCTGCCCAACATTAAGCATGGCTTTCCTAAACTAAGTAATATTGGCTTTACTCTGACCAAGGAGAAATTCTTTAATGGATTTAAATGAGATCCTTTATACATAGATCTCTAGCTTTGCATTAATCTGAGCTTACGCTTTAACAAGTTATGAATCTCTCATTACTAGTTGCTTTTCTTGTGGAAAAAGAGGCATATTAATTTTTTAGTTGATGATGACATTGTGTGTCCTTGTCATCTCATTGTCCACAATGAGCTGAACAATCTTAGTAGAATTGTTTGGCATATTCTGCTTATAATTTACCCTCAGAGCAGAGGGAATAGCTATCTTCAATGAACACTCGTCAATAAACAGTGAGTGCCACTACCCCTCGGTGCCTCAGAGGCTCTCTGCTATTTCCCAGTCAGTTCTGTCAGGGCCCCACCCTTTCAGTCTACATATTATGATTAAGACATTTTCCGTGCCTGTCATGGTGCTGTCTGGTGGAGGATAATTTGGTGTATTCTATTCTTAACTTCTTTTTGGTCCTTATCTTCTGGTTCCCCCCTACATTACAGTGTATATCTAATTGCTTTTCTCCCCCCGTGTTTTCTTTTCAGCTCTTTGCCTTCCCACCTAAACATCAGTTATGAGGACTTTTTCTCTGCCCTTCGTCAATATGCAGCCTGTGAACAGCGTCTGGGAAAGTAGTGGTCATTGGTTGCATAATTTGATTTGAGGCTTGTGGAGGAAAGGAACCAAGTGACTCTGATGTTTACAAAGCACCTATGAAACCCTGTACACACCTAGTTCATAATCCTCATAATTTATCAACAAACACAAAAAAGTGTCTTACTTGAGAGTGAGTGTGTGTGTGTGCGTGTGCACGTGCACACATGTGCACGTTTGTATGTATGGAAATAAACTTATAAATGGGGACGTATTGGAGAAGGAAATACATAGACCTACAACTTTGAGCAAATAGCAGTGATGTTTTAGGAACTGAAATGTCACACTTAAAGTCTTCAGCCCAGCTACTTCCCTATTTTTGTGGGGAGAAGAGGGCCTGATTAGAACTGTTCTGGTTGTGTTTGGCGGGAGGGGAATAATTTTTGTTCAGTCCTTCTTAGTGACCAAACTTTAATTTTTAAGAATAATATATTGACTTACTGAACTGAAGCATTCTGAGTTGAAAGGAGCTCCAGAGGAGTGGAGTTCTGTGTTGCTCACATGTTAAAATCTTGCTCACCTTCAGAGCAGAGGGAATACCTATCTTCAGATATCCGTCCATTTTCATCTCTTAATTGTAGTCAAAAGTATGACTTGAGAGTGTTGCTCTGGTATTCTGGGTTCTGAAGTCTGGTATTCTGGTATTCTGGGTTCAAAAGTATGACTTGAGAGTGTTGCTCTGGTATTCTGAGAGTTGCTCTGTATTCTGGGTTCTGAAGATTATTTGAAAAATAACTCCTACTACATTGAAATGCAGACTTAAAAATTTAAACATTGGATTAGGCAGTCAAAAAAACCAAGCAAGCATAAAAGGTCAATAAGTTGTAATCTTGATAGTAAAGGTGGAAAACTTATTATAAATGGAAAGAAAGTTTTATTTCCTTTTTTGTTTGATGGGCAGTATGCCATATTATACCCAAAGTTCTTTTAAAAAATATTTCCATCAACCATTTTTATTTAAAATAAACATTTGAGGGAAGTTACCAAGGCAGCTTTTTTCCTCAAAAGTAACCTGTTCCTCTTTGGAATAGCACATTTTAGGGGCATGGTTAATACCTGAGATTTTTACTCAGTAAATCCTGATGGTTACTGTGTGTAAAATATCTTTAAGTAGGATTGAAGGCCTCTGTGGGGGAATAAAATATTACCAAAGTCTATAAAAATAAATTTTACATGTTCTCTTTTATGACAGAGAGCAGCACTGGTTCTGTTATTTTTAAAATGAATAATTGATTTCTTGATAGGTGTTTAATATTTCTTCCCTCACTGCTGATTCTTAGATAGAAACCATTCTTTATATTTGATAGACTGCTTTCAGAAAACCCTTATCAACAAGTGTACAATACTTATCTAAAACTATACATTTAGAATGGAGCAGTTTAATACTAGATCTCAGAAGTTTTGAAAAATAGCAAAGAAGACTGGATTTGGAAAGCATGGTCTACAATTGGTTGTTAAATTCTGAAGCTATGAAGAATAAATGTTTCAACTTTGGATTATGAAACCCCATTTATGATTTTTTAAATACACTTGAAATAAAAATGATTAAACTAAATTTTGGTCCAGTGACATTACTTTGCACTGCATAATCCATTATACGTTGTACGACTTTTTTTTTTTGTTTTAATTTATTACTGAGAGTTTTGTGTGAAGCTACAGCATATCTAACCAGAGAATTTCTGATTCCTTATACTGTGATTATATTATATTGAGGCATTTGTAGTGCAGCTGAAGACTGAATTTATGCCTTTTGTAAACATGATAGGTATAAATGTCTTATAAACATTCTGGAGTATGTATAGCTTTAATGAATGAAATTTAATGGACCTGATTAAAATGAAGGGATTTAATCGTTGTTAAAGTTAAGTTAGTCAAATAAATTACCTACTGGAATATAGCCCAAGCCAGTAAAGGTTTAATATTTGCATTTTCGTGCTTTTATTTTCTCCTTCCATTCATAAGTATATACTTGAAAGTACATCTGTAGCCTATGATTTGAGTCTCTTGAAGTTCTAGGAAGAGGCAAACTACAAACTACTAGGATTCTGATTTCAGATGTAGTCATTCCAGAACCTTCTCTTTATGAGTTCACCTGCTAGTACAATCTCCACAACTTGAATGGCATTGGTTGTTCTGTAATTCCTGCCAAAAGCATCACAAGTTGTACATCATCAAGGCTCCCTTTGCACTCCCAAGAAGAACTGGTAATTTTAAACAAAAGTATGTGTCTTTATTTGTATTGGAAAATACTGTCTTTAAATTGTTTCTTGTTGACACTCCCCACAATGGAAAAATTACCGAATTAAACCTGTTTTATGGATGGCAGCTTGGAGCATAGCAAGAAGTTGGAGGATTTGAATTCCATTCCCAGTTCTCATTGTGTTTTGTTTCTTAAAACTATAATAATCGGTTACTGTTATAAAGTTTAAAAGGTGGTTTTAATGTGAATAGCAAATTCTGGTATATCGTGACTAACGCTTAAGAATGCCTGTCTTTGAGAGGAAGGTGTTATAATATTAATGAACAGTGCCAAATACACTGTGCATATCTGCAATTTAATCTTTGAATGTATGTTACTGGATTAGCTCCCTCCTCCTGTGTGATGGTACCATGCATAGAGTCAATCAAATCCTTGTGATGTTTTGTATGGACTTTGACAATATGTAAATAATGTGTAAAGCCAGTTTTTATGATTAAGGAATCAAATTTATTGAATTTTATTATTGAAAGTTGAAACTTAACATGTATGAACAAAAACCAATAAAAGAATATACTCTTTTCATTGACTATAGTATTATGTGAATGCTACATTTGTTCTGAACACTTAGGGGCTGCAAAAATGTAATAAGAAATGCATATGACTAGATAGCAATAGTGTTTTTTTTAGATGGTATGCTCTTGATTGAAATATATTCTCACTTTTACCAGGTTAAACATTTGGAATCTTATAATGTTACTTGCTTTTTGATAGATAATAGTGAAATAAATTCAGCTTTGCCATTGCTGGAGTTGTCAAAATTCCACAGTAATTAAAATTTGAATTTTTACCGAATATGAAATTTCCAAATTAAAAACGTATATGTGTACTCTTTTAAAAAGGAATTTGATAGTTCTTGTCAAATGAGAAAATTTAAAGGTAAGAGTTATGGTTTGTCTTATGCTGCATAGACTATTCACCTCCTAACTTGAAGGTCTAATCATAAGACAATTGTTTTTTTGTGCATAGTTTTCATCTAAAATTAAGTTTACCAAAGGCAAATAACTGCTTACTAGGAACTTCCTTTAGCAAAAATTACTATAAAGTTCAGGACAGTTTGAAATAAAACCCAGGAAACAAGATTAATGTGAGCAGTTCTCCAAGATCCTAACTGGTGGGACATAAACTATGATGCAATGGATAGGAAAAGGTAGTGCAAAAAGAATTTCTTAAGGTTTAAAAAATACACTTTTCATTATAGGAAAAAGAAGATTCAGAGAAACAAAGGAATGTAACCTTATTGATTACATTTTTGGTGATCACCGAGAATTTTTTGTACTATATTTTAAAAAATGTATTCTACTGTAACAAGTTAATAAAGAGATTTTTTAAAAAACTATAAACTAGAAATTGAGAGTCTTGCATTCTCTTTTGTATTTGATTATTGTGTCTGGATATAAATTACAATAGCACATGAAAATAAAATGTTTTAAAAAATTATAGTCCACATTCAGTTATTCTTAATATTTAATGTTGGCCCAAATTCTTCAAATAATTTTATGCTCATCTCTCCCTCATCTAGTGATTCAAGGACTGTTAAGTGAATTTTAGCATGACGTATCCAGATGATTGCAACAAATAAAATGTACTCTGAGGTCAAACTATTAGCAATATCTGCTATTGACTGTTCATAGTCCCCTTCATTAGTATTAGTAATTTAAGTTGCTGTTACAAGGACAAGAAAAACATCTGGCTTGGAAAAGGCAATCCTGGAAAAAAAGAAAAATTCAGAATATGGATAAATGCTAACAGCATAGTTCTGTCCTTGTATAGAGTAATGTTTCCATTCCGATAAAGATTTATTTCAATTGCTATATCTTATGGATTTGGTTCTATGAGTGCTTTATTTTAATAAATGTGTATTTTTCAGTGTTAATTTATCAGTAACAGCTATACTTAATAAGTGCCTTAAATTTCTTTCTTCTTTTTTTTAGAGATGAGATCTCACTGTATTGCCCAGGCTAGGCTTGAATTCGGTCTCAAGCGATCGTCCCACTTCAGCTTCATGAGTAGCTGGGCTGACAGGTTGTGTGCCACCATGCCAGGCAAATTTTTTATTTTACGTGAAATAGAAGTAGATATAGGTAATGATAATAGTAAGCAACTGTTATCACCATGTATTTTACTTAGATTTCAGACAATTAGAAAATAGGACATTCAGAAAAATGTGGAAGCTACTTACCTGGGGATGTTTGACATGGCATTCATTTTTCTAGTGCAGTGGTTCTCACCTGGAGTGATTTTGCCCCCCAGTGGACATTTGACAACTGGAGACATTTTTGTCACAACTCAGGAGGTATACTAGTGGTATCAAGTGGGATGAGGCCAAGGATGCTGCTAAACATGCTGCAATACACAGGACAGCCCTTGCATCAAAGAATTAGCCTCAAATGTCAGTAGTGCCAAGTCTCAGAATCTTTGGTCTAGTGTGATTTCTATAATTTTGTCACTTAATTTGTGGGAAGGTGGGGTGGTACTGGATGTTGCCTAAAATTTATTCTATAGGTTAATTTTTTAAAACATCAGATTTATTTAGAATTCATTCTAGATCCTAAATTATATGTGCATATTTTAATTGTATGAAATTATATATTAACATTTGCCCACTCATTAATTATATTCATTATATTCACATTTATCTTTGACATTTGACTACCAGTTTTCCAAAGTCTGTTGGTTTGTTATCTTAAGTTTATTTGAAAGAAAATGTGTTCTTTGACAGATAGTAATGTTTTATCCATATACAAAGTTATGAGAAATCTCATGCTTCAGATAACCCATTGTATAAACATTAAATTAGCAGTTTCTCCCATTCATTCTGTAGGTAATTGTGATTTCCACAGTTTAATGAGACAGGGTCTCACTCTGTCACCCAGGCTGGAGTGCAGTGGTGCAATCTCTGACCCCCAGGCTCCCACCTCAGCCTCCTGAGTAGCTGGGACCACAGGTGCACATTATCGGGGGAACCCGCCCCTGATAATTCTTCGTGGGTTCTTTTCTATTTTCCCTAAGTGCTGGCTGGTCTGAGAAATAAAGGGAAAGAGTACAAAAGAGAGAAATTTTAAAGCTGGGTGTCCAGGAGAGACATCACATGTCGACAGGTTCTGTGATGCCCCCCAAGCCGCAAAACCAGCAAGTTTTTATTAGTGATTTTCAAAAGGGGAGGGAGTGTACGAATAGGGTGTGGGTCACAGAGGTTACCATGCTTCACAAGGTAATAAAATATCACAAGGCAAATAGAGGCAGGGCGAGATCACAGGACTAGGGTGAAATTAAAATTGCTAATGAAGTTTTGGGCACCCATTGTCATTGATAACATCTTATCAGGAGACAGGGTTTGAGAGTAGACAACCGATCTGACCAAAATTTATTAGGCGGGAATTTCCTCATCCTAATAAGCCTGGATACGCTATGGGAGACTGGGGCTTATTTCATCCCTTATCTACAACTGTAAAAGACATGTCCCTAGAGTGGCCATTTTAGAGGCCTATCCGTAGGAACGCATTCTCTTTCTCAGGGATGTTCCTTGCTGAGAAAAAGAATTCAGCGATATTTCTCCTATTTGCTTTTGAAAGAAGAGAAATATGGCTCTGTTCCGCCTGGCTCTCAGGCAGCCAGACCTAATGGTTATCTCCCTTGTTCCCTGAACATGGCTGTTATCCTGTTCTTTTTTCAAGGTGCCCAGATTTCATATTGTTTAAACAATTTGTGCAGTTAATGCAATCACCACAGGGTCCTGAGGTGACATACACCCTCAGTTTACGAAGATGACAGGATTAAGAGATTAAAGACAGGCACAGGAAATCACAAGGGTATTGATTGGGGAAGTGATAAATGTCCGTGAAATCTTCACAATTTATGTTCAGAGATTGCAGTAAAGATAGGCATAAGAAATTATAAAATATTAATTTGGGGAACTAATAAATGTCCATGAAATCTTCACAACTTATGTTCTTCTGCCATGGCTTCAGCCGGTCCCTCCATTCGGGGTCCCTGACTTCCCGCAAGACAACACCATGCCTGGCTTTTTTTTTTTTTTTTTTTGTGGTTTTGGAAGAGACAGGGTCTCGCCATGTTGCCCAGGCTGGTCTCAAACTCTTGAGCTCAAGCAATCTGCCTGCCTCAGCTTCCCAAAGTGTTGGGATTACTAGGCGTGAGTCACTGCGCCAGGCCAAAAAAATGATCTTTAAAATGTGTGTTTGTAACACAACTATGGCTTGTTTTTGAGGTCACATCTCCAAGAACAGACTAAATCACTGTTAAATTTCTTTACCTATTGTTTTTAAATAATTCATCTTGTGGTCTTTTTTTAGCTTTCTGAAAGCACAACATTGAGGTGGTTTCAACCTTCTGTGATTTCCACAAATAAGTAATTAGAGTGTTTTTTATAAAGGAATTTTGCTTGCCCTGGAGATCAATGACTTTTCTAGGGGATAATAAGAGGGAAATAAACCTGCTATTGTTCAGGTACATATGAGATGTAAATGTATATGAGAAACTAGTCCTCATAACTGTCATTGACTGGAGTGTGCAGGGCACACCAAATGTAAAGAATCCAGGAGATTAATAGGAAAGTACAGAAAATCTCCAGGCAAATGATTTCATTAAATATTAATTTATGAGTTACTTGGAAGCTGAAAGCTATCTATACATGAGTATGCAGAATATCAAATTGGTTGCAAATCCAAACTCTATCAGATGTACTGTAAGGTATCAGATGCCTATTAGATGTTAAGACCAGCTACAATGCTCATAGCATATCAGTTGGTGATGCCTTTAATTATTTTAAAGGAAATAATCAGTTTCCCTACTGCCTACTCTTCTGAGCACTGGAAGAAAAAAAGCAAAGTTAACAAAATGAGCCTGTGTGCTTCAGAATTTGGACTTTTGTCAATTAAAAGGAGAAATAAGTATTACACATAAAACAGCACTACTTAGTTTCTAAACTGGTGATTATGTCCAAGAATTCTCTATTTTAAAAAAATCTAATGTCCAAAAAGATGAACTTAGCTCTTGGTAGTTAAGCATGCTGCAAGGAGGCCTTCTCTAACTCTTGTCAATGTCATTTTTTCCTACCCCCAAATTCCCTGCCCTGTGTGAAGAAAAAAAAAAGTTTATTCCTTTTACTCCTTATCACAAGTAATAAGTAAGTTCACTCCTTATCACAAGCAAGCCTCACATTGTACCTCTGATACCATTTCTTCCTCTTTTCAGGATTTTTTTTTCCCTTCCAGTCTCTGTGCTATATTCTTCCCCTCAGCTACAGGTATTTTAGGTTTTTAACCTTTCTAATTCTTCGAGTCATGGCATCTCTCCTTTTCCTGCCACTGTTAAACGTCTTGAAAGCCTTTACCTATCTCCTTGTTACCTCAAAATTCCTGATCCTCTTACCCTGCTCCCATATTACTTATCACTTTCTAACATATATTTTATTTACTTATTAAGCTTAATTTTTAATAGCCTGCCTCTTACTAGAATGTGAGCTCAAAGTCAGGGCAGGAATTAAAAAAAAATGGATTGAATTGACACATAAAACTTAGGTATTTGTATTGAATACAACATGATGTTTTGATACATGTGTACATGTAGAATGGCAAATTGAGCTAACTAATGTGCATTAACTCACTTTTTTTGTGATAAGAACATTTATTATCTATTCTTAGTGATTTTCAAGATGACAATACATTCTTATGAACTATAGTCACCATGTTGTACGATAGATCTCATAAACCTATTTGTCCTGTTTAACTGAAATTTTGTATTCTTTGACCAACAGCTCCCTAATTGCCTCCACCCACTTCCCCACACCCAGCCCCCGATAACTACCGTTCTACTCTCTACTTCTTATGAGTTCAACTTTTTTAGATTCGACATATAAGTGAGATCATTTGGGATTTGTCTTTCTTTGCTTGGCTGGTTTCATTTAACATGATGTCCTTTAGGTTGATTCATGTTGTTCCAAATACCGGGATTTTTGTCTTTTTAAAGGCAGGATGGTATTGCATTATGTATATATACCACATTTTCTTTATCTGTTCATCCATTGAACACTTAGGTTGATTCCATGTCTTGGCTATTGTGAATAATGTCGCAATTAACATGGGAATGCATATATCTCTGACATACTGATTTCATTTCATTTGGATAAATACCCAGCAGTGGGATTGCTGGATCATGGTAGTTATATTTTTAATTTTTTGTTTTTGGAGACAGAATCTCACTCTGTTGCCCAGGCTGGAGTGCAGTGGCATGATCTCAGCTCACTGCAACCTCCGCCTCCTGGGTTCAAGCAATTCTCCTGCTTCAGCCTCCCAAGTAGCTGGGATTACAGGCACCCACCACCATGCCTGGCTAATTTTTTGTAGAGATGGGGTTTTGAAATGTTGGCCAGGCTGGTCTTGAACTCCTGACCTTGGCCTCCCAAAATGCTGGGATTACAGGTGTGAGCCACCATGCCCAGCCCTATTTTTAATTTTTTGAGGAACCCTCACTGTTTTCTATACTAATTTACCTTCCCTCAACAGTGTAAAAAAATTCTGTTTTCTCCACATCCCCCTCCCAACACTTTTATTTTTTTTGATACGATCCATTCTAACAGGTGTGAGGTGGTATCTCATCGTGATTGTAATTTGCATTTCCCTGATGACTAGTGATGTTGACCATTTTTTCATGTACCTGTTGGCCATTTGTATGTCTTTTAAGAAATATCTATTCAGGTCTTTTGCCCACTTAAAATCCAGTTATTTGTTTTCTTGCTATTGAGATATTTGAGTTCTTTATATATTCTGGATATTAACCATTTATTAGATATATGGTTTGCAGATATTTTCTCCCATTTCATAGGTTGTCTCTTCAACTCTTGATTCTATGGCTGTGCAGAAGCTTTTTAGTTTGATGTAATCTTATTTGTTTTTGCTTTTGTTGCCTATGCTTTTGGAATCATATATAAAAAAATCATTGCCCAAACGAATGCCATGAAGAGCTTTTCCCTTATGTTTTTCTCCTAATAGTTTTACAGTTTCAGGTCTTATGTTTAAGTCTTCAATCCATTTTGAATTGATTTTTGTGTATGGTGGGAGATGAGGATCTAATACTGTACATGTGGATATCCAGTTTTCCCAGCACCATTTATTAAAGATTGTTCCTTCTCCATTGTGTGTCCTTGACACTTTTGTCTAAAATTAACCAACCATAAGTGTATGGATTTATTTCTGGGCTCTTTGTTCTGTTCCATTGGCCTATGTGTCTGTTTTTATGCTGGTACCATGCTGTTTTGATCACTATATATAACTTTGTAGTATATTTTGAAGTTGGTAATGTTATGTCTCCAACTTTGTTCTTTTTGCTCAAAATTGCATTGGCTTTTCACAGTCTTTGTGGTTCCATATGGATTTTAGGATTTTTTTTCTATTTCTGTGAAAAATGTCATTGCATTGAATCTGTAGATCACTGGGTAGTGTGGACATTTTAACAATATTCTTCCAATTCATGAACATGGGATAGCTTTTAGTTTATTTGTGTCATCTTCAATTTCTTTTATCAGTGTTGTATAGTTTTCACTTTACAGGTTGCCTCACCTCTTTGGTTAAATTTATTCCTAAGTATTTTTTTTAGTATTGTAAATGGGATTTTTTTTTAATTAAAATTTTGCATTGGTGTTCTTAACTGAGGTAGGTCTAAAATTTTCTGTCCTTTGCAGTATAATTCAGGTTTGGAATCAATGTTATGTTTTCTTTATAAAAATTAATGGAAAGTTTTTTCCTCTTTTGGAAGTGTTTAAATAGCATTGGGAGTATTCGGTTCTTGAAGATTTGGTAGAATTCCCCTCTGAAACCATCTAGGACCGGTGCTAGTTAGGTTAGTTTTTGATAAGTTTTTACATTTCAATTTTTACTTTCTATCTTGTCAGATTTGATAGATATTTTCTGAGGAAATATCTGTTTCATCTAGGTTTTCAAATTTATTTGGGAAGATGTGTATTAAGCAGTCTCTCATTTTTTAAAATATAGCATTTGTGTCAAAGTCATTTTTCCCTCTTTATTTCCTGTTTTGTGTATTTGTGTTCTTCCTGTCATCTCTTCCCTCCCCACTTTGACTGGTTAACTAGTGACCATTTATTTTGTTGATGAATGTTTTAAGAGTCAGATTATTTAGTCTGTTGTTTCATTTCTAAATAATTATTTGTACCTTGTCTTTATTGCATTTCCTCTTTCAGCTGTTACTATTTTTATAGCTTTTGAAATGAGTATTGAATTTAGTACATTGATTCTTTAATTTTTATTGATATAAGTATATAGACTCTAAATTTTCCACTATTCACTGCCTTAATTTTATACTATACATTCTAATATATTATGTTTTAATTATGATTTTTTAAAAAGAAATTTGGCAATTTTTTTTCACTCTGATCTGAGCTGTTTGTTTAATGGATAATTTTTTTTTTTAATTTCCAGGGTGAAATGACATTTTTGGTTTTAAACAATTTCTAACTTTTAGTTTTACTATATTGTGACTGAAGAATGTTGGTTGTATTCTATTTTTGAATTTTTGTGATATATAGTACATTTATTTGAATGTTTCACATTGTTTGACAGAAAGATAAGATTCTCTAGCATCAGGGTATATTTTGGATATATATAATATTGACATTATTAGTTCTGTTTTTAGGCCTTTTATATACTTAATGTATACTTTTTTCACTTGTCTTGGACTGATAGTGATCTCTTAGTATATTTCTGTTCATTTCTTCTTGCATCTTCTGTAGTTTCTGCGTTATGAAGGTGGCTGCTGTTATTTGGTATGTAGATATTCAAAATGATTATATCTTCATTATGATTATATCTTAATTATGGTTATAATACTATAAAGTATCTTTATTTGTCTTGTTTACTGCTTCGAGTCCTGAATTCTACTTTATCAGATATAAAGCTCACAACCTTGCTTTACTTTTTTTTGCAATTGCCTACTCTACTTTTCCTATTCCTTTACTTTTTGGCCTTTTTTGGAAACAAGGCAATGGGTTAGGCCTGTCTACATTTATTGATACAACTTACTAGTGAGTCTGTGCAGTAGAGAAAGTCAGCCTGAGACTTCCAAATTCATGTTAGAGCTACCACTTATTACAAATCTCTAGCAATGCTAAATATTTTACTTTATAAACACATTTTACAATACTGATGATCTTGTCTAACCTTCATTTTCTTAAATTTCATAAGTAAGAAATATTTGCCAGCTTTATCAAAAGAATATGACCACCCCAAGTTAATATTTTTAAAAATGTAGTTTTAAAATTGCTTAAGAGAAAATACATTTTTGAGTAGGAATATTATGCTTTTATTATACAAGCAAGCTCAAATGGTCAGGCAGTACATTGATCAAGTCTGCTAGAACAGCATTCACTGGGAGAAAACTACCAAAGACAAGTAATATCCAGGGGATGCCATTGTCCATCCCCTCTAGAAAATGCATAGAGATTTTAGCAGGGATTGGTATTCTATTCAGAAAGAATACTTAGATTGTTGGCCTTCTAACCTGCATGACTAGGAAGGCACTGGCATCCTGCTGGTTGATCAGGGACTAGGGGGATCCTGGCCCTATCCTAATAGCTCAGGCTTTGTGATTAGGGTGTGTGTGTGAAGGGATGGGGGTTGTTTTTTTTCCTCCCTTGTTGTAATCAGGGGCCTGGTTCCAAGTGATGTAGCAATCTGGTAGTAGGATTCACCTGCCTCTTTCCTGGCATGACCAAGACACTGAAGTCCAAGATTTGGGGTTAACTGAGAATGATTGCCTTAAGTGCTAGGCATAGTCAGTTTCTATGTAGCTTTGCAAATTCCAACTCCCTCTCTGGGAAACTAGACTCAGGCAAGTTAATAATTAACTTTGAATTTCTATTACAGAAACATCATTATGTTAGTTAATTTTTTATCTCAGAAGCAATTTATGTTTATATAAAGTACCTTACATTTTTGATATGGTTTCCATCAGTAGGTAACTGTATCATGATTTCAGTCTGGTCAGTTGTGAGAAAGTTATTTTTGATTTTGTCATTTAAATTTGGATGTTGTTACTATGGGAAAATGGAAAAGTACAACTTCTCTTTAAAAAGTAGTAAGTGGTTTGGATATGAAGGTTGCTTCCCTTGAGGGGAAAATATGTTAGTGCAAATAATTTTCTGCACACGACATGCTTCTACAAAGTTGTTACACGTCGTTTTTATTGTACTTCAATTTTTCTAACATGGCAGCAGGTAAAGCATTTTTAATATATCATTAAGCTATAAACTGATTCACAATAGGAAATAAGACAGGAATAAACTTTAGTTGGGGTCTGGGATGGATGGATTTTTAACTCAGTTTTTCATATATTTGAAAGTAAAATATAGATAACTGAAAAAAGAGAAACATTGATTATACTCTTTCTATGTTTTATGCCTCCTAAGTTTTCAATAATTTGTAGTATTCTAGTAAAGGAACACCTATATAGCATACTTCATATTGAAAAAGCCAGGATTCTATATTTCATCCATGTAGTATATATTTTATTCTACTTACATAAAATTTATATAGTTTTTTGAATTTTAAGTATTTGATATGGATTTTATATTTTTTTGGACAGGTAAAAACATCAAATATGTTTGGTATTTTCATTGGCATTTCCTTTTTCTTTTTTTATTGCACCATTTTCCACACCCATAACAATGACATGCTTATGGTGGATGCTTGACGAATATTAGATAAATAAATGACTGCAGTATGTCCTCCCTGAGGCAACCTTAATCCTTATTCGAATGTGTCTGCTGGAATCAAATTTGTGATCTCCTAGAAAGAATGAATTATCTGCAATTCGGCATGACGTGATGTAACTGTTAATTTTATATGTCAACTTGACTGGGCCACAGGGTGCCCAGATACATGGTCAAATGTTATCCTGGGTGTGTCTGTGAGGGTGTTTTTGGAAGATGAACATTTGAATGGACAGACTGAGAAAGCAGACTGACCTTCCTAATGTTCATGGGTCTCATCCAGTCAGCTGAAAGTCATAGAGTAAAAAGGCTGATCCTCCAGGTGAGTAAGAGGGAGCTCCTCCTGCTTGACTACCTTGATCTGGGACATTGGTTTTTTTTCTGCCTTGAACTTGAACTGAAACATTGGCTCTTCCTGGGTCTTAAGGCTGCAGGCCTTCAGACTGGAACTTACACCATTGCTCTCCTGTCTCCAGCTTGCCAACAGCAGATCTTAAGACTCCATAATCATGTGAACAAATTCCTTATTATCAATCAGTCTCTTTCCCTCAGCCATCCCCCACAGCCTATTCATTTTGTTTCTTTGGAAAACCCTGGAAATACCTGGCTACCATTCTGTTTTCAAAAATAATTAAAAGTATTAATGCTCATCATTTCCTTGAAACTAATCTCTCTTTAAACCAGTCTTATTTTACTGGGTACTTTAGTAATATACAGGAATAGATTATGATGGTATAGTAGGTTCAGTAATGGCCATCCAGACATCAAGTCCTAATCCCTAGAATTTGTAAATGTTACCTTATTGGAAAAGGGGTCTTTGCAGATCTAATTAAGGGTCTTGAGGAAAGGGGATTACTCTGGATTATCTGGGAAGGCCTTAAGTACCATCACAAATAGTCTTAAAAGAGACAAAGGGAGATAACATGAACACACAGAGGAGAAGACATACAGATGAGGAGGAGGCGGTGTGACCATGAGGCAGAGATTGGAGTGATATAGCCACAAGCCAAAGAATACCTAATACTGTCAGTAGCTGGAAGAAGCAAGAAACAGATTCTCCCCTAGAGTCTTAGGAAGGAATGTGGCCCTGTTCACAACTTGATTCAAAGTTCAGCCCTCCAGAACTTCAAGAGAATAAATTTTTGTGCTTTAAGCCACTAATTTGTGATGATTTGTTACAACAGCCACAGGAAAGTAATACGGATGGAAAAAGCTACAGTTACTCAGGTGATCATTAAAAATGCTATTGTAATAGAAAATAGTGGGGGAGGAGCCAAGATGGCCAAATAGTAACAGCTCCGGTCTACAGCTCCCAGTGTGAGCGACGCGGAAGACGGGTGATTTCTGCATTTCCATCTGAGGTACCGGGTTCATCTCACTAGGGAGTGTCAGAGAGTAGGCGCAGGACAGTGGGTGCAGCGCACCATGCGCGAGCCGAAGCAGGGTGAGGCATTGCCTCACTTGGGAAGTGCAAGGGGTGAGGGAGTTCCCTTTCCTAGTCAAAGAAAGGGGTGACAGATGGCACCTGGAAAATCGGGTCACTCCCACCCTATTACTGTGCTTTTCCGATGGGCTTAAAAAACGGCGCAGCAGGAGATTATATCCCGCACCTGGCTCGGAGGGTCCTATGGCCACGGAGTCTCCCTGATTGCTAGCACAGCAGTCTGAGATCAAACTGCAAGGCGGCAGCGAGGCTGGGGGAGGGGCGCCCGACATTGCCCAGTCTTGCTTAGGTTAACAAAGCAGCCGGGAAAGTTGAACTGGGTGGAGCCCACCACAGCTCAAGGAGGCCTGCCTGCCTCTGTAGGCTCCACCTCTGGGGGAAGGGCACAGACAAACAAAAAGACAGCAGTAACCTCTGCAGACTTAAATGTCCCTGTCTGACAGCTTTGAAGAGAGCAGTGGTTCTCCCAGCGCGCAGCTGGAGATCTGAGAACGGGCAGACTGTCTCTTCATGTGGGTCCCTGACACCTGACCCCTGAGCAGCCTAACTGGGAGGTACCCCCCAGTAAGGGCAGACTGACACCTCACACGGCCGGGTACTCCTCTGAGACAAAACTTCCAGAGGAACGATCAGACAGCAGCATTCGCGGTTCACGAAAATCTGCTGTTCTGCAGCCACCGCTGCTGACACCCAGGCAAACAGGGTCTGGAGTGGACCTCTAGCAAACTCCAACAGACCTGCAGCTGAGGGTCCTGTCTGTTAGAAGGAAGACTAACAAACAGAAAGGACATCCACACCAAAAACCCATCTGTACATCACCATCATCAAAGACCAAAAGTAGATCAAACCACAAAGATGGGGAAAAAACAGAGCAGAAAAACTGGAAACTCTAAAAAGCAGAGCGCCTCTCCTCCTCCAAAGGAACGCAGTTCCTCACCAGCAACGGAACAAAGCTGGACGGAGAATGACTTTGATGAGTTGAGAGAAGAAGACTTCAGATGATCAAACTACTCCGAGCTACAAGAGGAAATTCAAACCAAAGGCAAAGAAGTTAAAAACTTTGAAAAAAATTTAGACGAATGTATAACTAGAATAACCAATACAGAGAAGTGCTTAAAGGAGCTGATGGAGCTGAAAGCCAAGGCTCGAGAACTACGTGAAGAATGCAGAAGCCTCAGGAGCCGATGCGATCAACTGGAAGAAAGGGTATCAGCAATGGAAGATGAAATGAATGAAATGAAGCAAGAAGGGAAGTTTAGAGAAAAAAGAATAAAAAGAAACAAAGCCTCCAAGAAATATGGGACTATGTGAAAAGACCAAATCTACGTCTGATTGGTGTACCTGAAAGTGATGCGGAGAATGGAACCAAGTTGGAAAACACTCTGCAGGATATTATCCAGGAGAACTTCCCCAATCTAGCAAGGCAGGCCGACGTTCAGATTCAGGAGATACAGAGAACGCCACAAAGATACTCCTCGAGAAGAGCAACTCCAAGACACATAATTGTCAGATTCACCAAAGTTGAAATGAAGGAAAAAATGTTAAGGGCAGCCAGAGAGAAAGGTCGGGTTACCCACAAAGGGAAGCCCATCAGACTAACAGCTGATCTCTCAGCAGAAACTCTACAAGCCAGAAGAGAGTGGGGACCAATATTCAACATTCTTAAAGAAAAGAATTTTCAACCCAGAATTTCATATCCAGCCAAAGTAAGCTTCATAAGTGAAGGAGAAATAAAATACTTTACAGACAAGCAAATGCTGAGAGATTTTGTCACCACCAGGCCTGCCCTAAAACAGCTCCTGAAGGAAGCACTAAACATGGAAAGGAACAACCGGTACCAGCCATTGCAAAATCATGCCAAATTGTAAAGACCATCGAGGCTAGGAAGAAACTGCATCAACTAATGAGCAAAATAACCAGCTAACATCATAATGACAGGATCAAATTCACACATAACAATATTAACTTCAAATGTAAATGGACTAAATGCCTGAATTAAAAGACACAGACTGGCAAATTGGATAAAGAGTCAAGACTCATCAGTGTGCTGTATTCAGGAAACCCATCTCACATGCAGAGACACACATAGGCTCAAAATAAAAGGATGGAGGAAGATCTACCAAGCAAATGGAAAACAACAAAAGGCAGGGGTTGCAATCCTAGTCTCTGATGAAACAGACTTTAAACCAACAAAGATCAAATGAGACAAGGCCATTACATAATGGTAAAGGGATCAATTCAACAAGAAGAGCTAACTATCCTAAATATATATGCACCCAATACAGGAGCACCAAGATTCATAAAGCAAGTCCTGAGTGACCTACAAAGAGACTTAGACTCCCAAACAATAGTAGGGAGACTTTAACACCCCACTGTCAACATTAGACAGATCAACGAGACAGAAAGTTAACAAGGATACCCAGGAATTGAACTCAGCTCTGCACCAAGCGGACCTAATAGACATCTACAGAACTCTCCACCCCAAATCGACAGAATATACATTTTTTTCAGCACCACACCACACCTATTCCAAAATTGACCACATATTTGGAAGTAAAGCTCTCCTCAGCAAGTGTAAAAGAACAGAAATTATAACAAACTGTCTCTCAGACCACAGTGCAATCAAACTAGAACTCAGGATTAAGGAACTCACTCAAAACTGCTCAACTACATGGAAACTGAACAACCTGCTCCTGAATGACTACTGGGTACATAACGAAATGAAGGCAGAAATAAAGTTGTTCTTTGAAACCAACGAGAACAAAGACACAGCATACCAGAATCTCTGGGACACATTCAAAGCAGTGTGTAGAGGGAAATTTATAGCACTAAATGCCCACAAGAGAAAGTAGGAAAGATCCAAAATTGACACCCTAACATCACAATTAAAAGAACTAGAAAAGCAAGAGCAAACACATTCAAAAGCTAGCAGAAGGCAAGAAATAACTAAAATCAGAGCAGAACTGAAGGAAATAGAGACACAAAAAACCCTTCAAAAAATTAATGAATCCAGGAGCTGGTTTTTTGAAAGGATCAACAAAATTGATAGACCGCTAGCAAGACTAATAAAGAAGAAAAGAGAGAAGAATCAAATAGATGCAATAAAAAATGATAAAGGGGATATCACCACCGATCCCACAGAAATACAAACTACCATCAGAGAATACTAAAAACACCTCTATGCAAATAAACTAGAAAATCTAGAAGAAATGGATAAATTCCTCGACACATACACCCTCCCAAGACTAAACCAGGAAGAAGTTGACTCTCTGAGTAGACCAATAACAAGCTCTGAAATTGTGGCAATAATCAATAGCTTACCAACCAAAAAGAGTCCAGGATCAGATGGATTCACAGCCGAATTCTACCAGAGGTACAAGGAGGAACTGGTACCATTCCTTCTGAAACTATTCCAATCAATAGAAAAAGAGGGAATCCTCCCTAACTCATTTTATGAAGCCAGCATCATCCTGATAACAAAGCCTGGCAGAGACACAACAAAAAAAGAGAATTTTAGACCAATATCCCTGATGAACATCTATGCAAAAATCCTCAGTGAAATACTGGCAAACTGAATCTAGCAGCACATCAAAAAGCTTATATACCATGATCAAGTGGGCTTCATCCCTGGGATGCAAGGCTGGTTCAATATACGCAAATCAATAAATGCAATCCAGCATATAAACAGAACCAAAGACAAAAACCACATGATTATCTCAATAGATGCAGAAAAGGCCTTTGACAAAATTCAACAACCCTTCATACTAAAAACTCTCAATAAATTAGGTACTGATGGGACGTATCTCAAAATAATAAGAGCTATCTATGACAAACCCACAGCCAATATCATACTGAATGGGCAAAAACTGGAAGCATTCCCTTTGAAAACTGGCACAAGACAGGGATGCCCTCTCTCACCACTCCTACTCAACACAGTGTTGGAAGTTCTGGCCAGGGCAACTAGGCAGGAGAAGGAAATAAAGGGTATTCAATTAGGGAAAGAAGAAGTCAAATTGTCCCTGTTTGCAGATAACAAGATTGTATATCTAGAAAACCCCATTGTCTCAGCCCAAAATCTCCTGAAGCTGATAGGCAACTTCAGCAAAGTCTCAGGATACAAAATCAATGTACAAAAATCACAAGCATTCTTATACACCAACAACAGACAAACAGAGAGCCAAATCTTGAGTGAACTCCCATTCACAATTGCTTCAAAGAGAATAAAATACCTAGGAATCCAACTTACAAGGGATGTGAAGGACCTCTTCAAGGAGAACTACAAACCACTGCTCAATGAAATAAAAGAGGAGACAAACAAACGGAAGAACATTCCATGCTCATGAGTAGGAAGAATCAATATCGTGAAAATGGCCATACTGCCCAAGGTAATTTACAGATTCAATGCCATCCCCATCAAGCTACCAATGACTTTCTTCACAGAATTGGAAAAAACTACTTTAAAGTTCATATGGAACCAAAAAAGAGCCCGCATCACCAAGTCAATCCTAAGCCAAAAGAACAAAGCTGGAGGCATCACCCTACCTGACTTCAAACTATACTACAAGGCTACAGTAACCAAAACAGCATGGTACTGGTACCAAAACAGAGATATAGATCAATGGAACAGAACAGAGCCCTCAGAAATAACGCCGCATGTCTACAACTATCTGATCTTTGACAAACCTGAGAAAAACAAGCAATGGGGAAAGGATTCCCTATTTAATAAATGGTGCTGGGAATACTGGCTAGCCATATGTAGAAAGCTGAAACTGGATCCCTTCCTTACACCTTACACAAAAATTAATTCAAGATGGATTAAAGACTTAAACGTTAGACCTAAAACCAGAAAAACCCTAGAAGAAAACCTAGGCATTACCATTCAGGACATAGGCATGTGCAAGGACTTCATGTCTAAAACACCAAAAGCAATGGCAACAAAAGCCAGAATTGACAAATGGGATCTAATTAAACTAAAGAGCTTCTTCACTGCAAAAGAAACTACCATCAGAGTGAACAGGCAACCTATAAAATGGGAGAAAATTTTCGCAAACTACTCATCTGAAAAAGGGCTAATATCCAGAATCTACAATGAACTCAAACAAATTTACAAGAAAAAAACAACCCCATCAAAAAGTGGGCAAAGGACATGAACAGACACTTCTCAAAAGAAGACATTTATGCAGCCAAAAAACACATGAAAAAATGCTCACCATCACTGGCCATCAGAGAAATGCAAATCAAAACCACAATGAGATACCATCTCATACCAGTTAGAATGGCAATCATTAAAAAGTCAGGAAACAACAGGTGCTGGAGAGGATGTGGAGAAGTAGGAACACTTTTACACTGTTGGTGGGACTGTAAACTAGTTCAAGCATTGTGGAAGTCAGTGTGGCGATTCCTCAGGGATCTAGAACTAGAAATACCATTTGACCCAGCCATCTCATTACTGGGTATATACCCAAAGGACTATAAATCATGCTGCTATAAAGACACATGCACACGTATGTTTATTGTGGCACTATTCACAATAGCAAAGACTTGGAACCAACCCAAATGTCCAACAATGATAGACTGGATTAAGAAAATATGGCACATATACACCATGGAATACTATGCAGCCATAAAAAATGATGAGTTCATGTCCTTTGTAGGGACATGGATGAAATTGGAAATCATCATTCTCAGCATACTATCGCAAGGACAAAAAACCAAACAGCGCATATTCTCACTCATAGGTGGGAATTGAACAATGAGAACACATGGACACAGGAAGGGGAACATCACACTCTGGGGACTGTTGTGGCGTGGGTGGAGGGGGAAGGGATAGCATTATGAGATATACCTAATGCTAAATGATGAGTTAATGGGTGCAGCACACCAGCATGGCACATGTATACATATGTAACTAACTCGCACATTGTGCACATGTACCCTAAAACTTAAAGTATAATAATAACAAAATAAAAAATAAAAAAAAGAAAATAATCTGACTGGTTAGTGTGTGTGTTTGTGTGTGTGTTTGTGTGTGTGTGTGAAAAATGTGCAAATAACCATTATGATTTACTATGTAATTATTTAAATTTTACAAACTGTTGCTATTTGTCTGCATACTCTAAATTGTTTCAAATTATTGTGCTGTACAGACTTTTTGAGGCTCAATTTGGATTTCTAAGATAAATGAGGTAAGGATTGCCCTCAAATATTACTGAACTACAGTCACTTGGTAAGACTTACTTTTTGGACAACTAGTCATAAGGTGGATACCAGTCTGATGTTAATATGTCTAACAATTTAAAAGTGTAGTGGACAATCAGTGTTTGGGTGGCTGTCCACCCTCCAAATATTCCCTCCTGTTTGGTATAGTCCACCACTGGCATAATCTTCATGGAAGATAGGATACTACCCCTACATATAGTAGCTAAAATGTTTTTCTTTTCCTCTTCCCTCTCCTGGAGCCAGGAGTTGGTCATGGGATCAGGGCTCAGTTAATTAAACACTCCCACCCAGAACTTTGCATCTCTGGTGACTAACGTATCCATAGGAGGAGTTCGGCAGGATTCATGGTGGCAGGGGCAGCTATTTCTGCTCTTCAGCGCTGCCTTTGTTGGCACATATTCCAAGTTTGGTTTGCCAGCATCCCATCAATAATGTGAGCTCTCAACATCCTTCCGATAAATTCCCTTGTTACTTGAAAGAACCAGTGTTGGTTTCTGTTACTTTCAGTTGAAAGGCTTATAAAAGCTATAATGGTTCTTGGTATCCATCTTAGTTCATGATGGTTTTTTAGCAGTTCAAGGTTTATTAATCCAACAGAATTTCTGACTCAGAGATGGTAAAAGTGAAACATCCTGTATAGCCTTAAACTTATAGGTGTTGATTATCTTTTCAAGCTATACCAGATTGTAAAAAGTAATTGAAACATGTAAGCAGCTTTGTCACAAGCTAGCTAGTGTCTTTGCATCATTATAACACCAAAGGTAACAAATTCTGCTTGAAATTTAAGATAAAATGATATAATATTTTTTGTTGCATGAATAATATGACATATATAGGAAATTATATAATAGATAAACTTATTATTGAAGCTTTACTTCATGCCAGACATTAAGCATTTAGACATTTATTTAATCCTCATAACAATCTTATGAGGAAGGTACCATTAAAATTCCCATTTTGCAGATAAGGAAATGGGGGCATTTGCAAAATCAAAAATAAAAGGCAGCCGATACTTTGTTACTCTGTAGTGCTTTTAACTTCATCATTATTAGTAAGTCAGTCCTGTAAGACTCTGCCTTCTAAAGTGCAGCCAGGTCCAGACAGCTCAGCCACTGCAAGCTTCATGTATCCTTTATCTGCTGCTTAAGTATGGATCTCAAAATAGCACCACATACAGATGGTGCAGCTGGCCTAGCAGATGTAGAGTGAAGCTATCTGCAAAATTTTGCAAATGAATCTGTAGCTTAATATGTTACAGATATATAAAAATAATAAGAGTGCACTATTTTAATGTATAATTTTTTTAAGGAACACCTTCCTCATCTAGAGAATCATTTGGGATTATTTAAGGCAATGTCAATTTTATAGCTTAGCTGGAAACCATAAGGAGAATCTCAATACAGAAGTGTACACCAAAAATGACTTTTAAAGAAGTCAGTATGGGTTAGGTTTCATAATCAAGCTGGCAGAAATAGCTTTTTAGGCATTTCTGCCCTAGTACCATCCTTTGACCTAGTGATATTTTACCTCTTTGCTGCGGCAGGCTAAAGGCATCATACAGGTAGAAAGGATTGTCTGAAGCACAATTCTGTGTTTCTGGGATTCTCCTGTTTCTTCAGTATTATATGTATCTGCCTTGATCTCCTTTGTTCTTTGATTTTCTGTTCATTCTCATATTGCCTCTTACCCCCTTCTCCTGGCCCCAGCTTTCCCTTGGCAGCTTATCCCATTAGGTGTCTTTCAGCTATCTAGTGCTGCATAATGGAGTACCCCAAAGTTTACTGGCTTAAAACAACAACTGTTTTTATTATTTCTCACTATTCTGTGAGTCAGGAATTCAAAGAGGGAAGAGCAGAGATGACTAATGTCTGCCCCGTATCATGTCTATTAGAATGTCCAAAATGGTTTCCTCACTTCCATGTCTGGTACCTGCACTAACTAGTCTCTAATGGTAGGAGCTGGCTTGAGTGATTCTGCTGAGGTCATATATTTAGGGTCTTTGGTCTTACTCTTGACTGGGTTCCTCAATTCTTCATGCAATCTAATGACCTCTCCCTCTCCACGTGGTGTCTCCATAGGGCTTCTATATGTGGTGTCAACAATGGGGTAACCAGACTTCTTATGTAGCAGCTCAGGACTTTCAAGAGTACAAAAGCAGAAGCTGCCAGGGCTTCTGCCTTATTCTGTTGGTCAAAAGAGGTCACTGGGCCAGGTGAAATTCAAGGGGAGGAGACTATAAAAGGACAACTTTGAGAGTCACCAAAGAACCAGGGTACCACATTGTGTAATTGCAGCATCACAACCATGTTTGTGTTCAAACATTGTGTGCATGTACATGATGGACATTTGATAAAAGCATTTTCTCCATTCTCCTTGCATTAGGCTAGATCCTTATTTCAGTCACCCATACACAGATGTAAAAACAATTATCTTGCATATCATGGTTATTACTGCTTCTCTGGGTTAGGTCAGATTTGTAATAATTTTGGTCAGGGTTTAACACAGAATTTTGAGAGCAGTGAGTTATGCCTTATCTTCAAAATAAAGGTAAGACCAGAACGAAGTGATAATACATTTCTGAATAAAAGAATTGGGAGAGCCTATGGGTTGATTCTTTTTTTATTTTATTTTATTTTTGAGACGGAGTTTTGCTCTTGTTGCCCAGGCTGGATTGCAATGGTGCGATCTTAGCTCACTGCAACCTCTGCCTCCCGGGTTCAAGCGATTCTCCTGCCTCAGCCTCCCGCGTAGCTGAGATTACAGGGATGTGCCACCATGCCTGGCTAATTTTGTATTTTTAGTAGAGACGGGGTTTCTTTATGTTGGTCAGGCTGGTCTCGAACTCCCGACTTCAGGTGATCTGTCCGCCTTGGCCTCCCGAAGTGCTGGGATTAGAGGCATGAGCCACCACGCCCGGCCGGGTTGATTCTTTTAAAATCAACATTCTTGAGATATAACATGTAATATAATTTAAGGTATAACTAACCTAAATATAATCCATGAATCTTGTGTTTTTTTCTCTGAGTTTTGACAATTTCATATACTTGTGTAAACATTATTCAAAACAAGACATAAATCATTTCTATCACCTCAGAAGGTGTTTTCATGCCCCTTTCCGGGTGGCTCCTTCTCACACCTAGAAGCAATCTTTGCTCTCATTTCAACTACCACTGATTAGCTTTTCTAGTTCTTGAATTTAATGTAAATGGTATACACTATGCAACCTCTTGTGTTTGGATTTGTTCTCTTATGATGTTTTTGAAATTCTTCTGTTAAGGTCAGTGTATTCATAGTTTATACCCTTTACTAATGAGTTTTCAATTGTATGGCTATAGCAAACTTTGTTTTTCCATGTGCCTGTTTCCACAGGCATTTTGGTAACTTCCAGTTTTAGGCTACTTTAAATAAATTTTTGCATAAAAGCTTGCTGGGATATTGATAAGAATTGCATTAACTCTGCAGATCAATTTGGAGAAAATAAAAGTCATCAATTTTGAGTCTTTCAATCAACATAGAATGGTTTGTATCTCTAGGGTTTCATTTTTCTCAGCTATGTTTTGTGTTTTGTACTGTATCAGTTTCCATATTTCTCATGTTTATTTTTAGATACTTATTGTTTCTTGATATCCTGTCACATGGCTAATTTCACTTATTAGTTGAGTAGTCATTTTTTAGATGTCATAGTTTCTTTGAATGCAATCATGCCACTTGTAACTAAGCATCATTTAGCTTCTTCCTCTCCTGTCTTCATGCTGCTTATTTCTTTTCTCTTGTCTTGTCTTTCTTTCTAGCTAGGACTTCCAGTACAATGTTGGAGATAGTACATATCCTTGCCCTTTTGCCAAGGATAAGGGAAATATTGTAATACTTCACCATTAAAATATGATGTTGGCTGTTTATCAGATTGACAAGGTTACCCTCTGTTTCTTGTTTCCTGTGAGTTTTTATTTTTAAAATCATGAATGGGTATTGTCTTTTATCAAATTTCTGTTTTCTCTATCTGTGGAAATGATTTTATGACTTTTCTTCTTTACTATTGTAATGTGATGAATTACAGTGATTTTTTTTAACTGTTAAACCAATCTTATATTCCTAGGATAAACTCCACTTGTTTGTGATGTGTTATAGTTTTAATTGCTGGATTTGGCTTGCTAATTTTTGTTACGGAGTTTTAAAATATTTGTTCAGGAGGTATACTTGTCTGTGCTTCTATTGCACCGTATTTACTTCTAGTAGGAAGGTTATGCTGCCTTGTTTCATAAAACAAGTTGGAAAGTGTTTCTGTAAAAGAGTAATAACTCTTTTATAAAACAGTTTAAGATGGGCATTATTTCTTCCTTAAATGTCTGATGGCATTCATTGGTGAAGCCATCTGGACCTCGAGTTTTCTTTGTGGTAATGGTTTTGATTACAAATTCCATTTCTTTCATGGATATAGGTTTACTAAGGATATTTGCTTTCTCTTGAATGAGCTTTGGCAGCTTGTGTTTTTTGCCTTGCTTGTTGGATTTTGTTGGCATAAAGTTGTTTATAATACCCATTATCATTCTTCTAATATCTATCAGATCATAGTGATATCCTCTTTTATTTGTGAAACTGATAATTTATGTTTTCTTGTTCTGTAATCTTTGGCCCTTGTGTTAGTTAGAAATGTGTGGCTCAATTTCCTAATGTTTGGGAATTTTCTGGGTATTGTATTGTTATTCATTTCTAATTTCATACTTGTGTGGTCAGAGAATTACTCTATCATTTTTATTATTGGAAATTCATTGAGACTTTTTTTCTGGCTTGACACATGGTGTATCTTGGTGTATGTTCCATGTGGACTTAAACAGAATGGATATTCTGCAGTTGTTGGATATTATGTTCTATAAATGACAGGTCCAGTAGTATTATTTAAATCTATGTGTTTGTTGATTTTTGTCTCTGCTTTCTTTAAGTAGTGAGAGAAGGGCATTAAAATTTCCAGCTACAATTGTGTATTTGTTGATTTCTTTAGTTTTGACAATTTTGACTCATGCATTTTTAGGTTCTGTTATGAGGTGATTACATACATAGTATTGTCATATCTTCTTAATAATTGTCCATTTTATCATTACCAAATATCCCACTTTATAGTAATACTTCTTGTCTCAAAGTCTGCTTGGTCTGATATAACACAGTCACAAACACTTTCTTATGCTTAATGTTTGCATAGTATAGCTTCTTGCACATTTTACAACTTTATATTTAATGTGTTTCTTTGCTATATTTTTTGGTATTGCTTATTTATCAAATCTAATAAACTGCCTTTTAACTGGAATGTTTAGTCCATTTTTACTTGATATGGTTGAGTTTAATTCTACCATCTTGCTACTTTAAAAAATTATTTATTTTTTGTTTACCTCTTTCTCCATTCTTGCCATCTTAGGTATTTTCAATATTCAGTTGCTTTTCTCCTCTATTATATTGTCAGGTATTTTATAGTTAAATCATTTTATTCAGAAAGAAACTAAAATTTATTTTTATTTTGAATGACTTTATTTTTTAAAGCAGCTTTAGGTTCACAGCAAAAATGAGCAGAAAGAACAGAAAGTTCCTGTGTTAGTCTGTTTTGCATTGCTATAAAAGAATACCTGAGGCTAAGAAATTTGGAAAGAAGAGAGGTTTATTTAGCTCATGATTCTGTAGGCTATACAAGAAGTGTAGTGTCAGTATCTGCTTCTGGTGAGGCATTAGGAAGCTTACAATCATGGCAGAAGGCAAAGGAGAAGCCAGTGGGTGACATGTTGAGAGAGGGAGCAAGAAAGAGAGGGAGGAGGTGCCAGGCTCTTTTTAAACAACTGGATCTAATGTTAACTCATTACCACAGGGAGGACACTTAGTCATTGATGAGTCATTTACTGTCACCATACTTTTGTCTTTTCTAAAATGTCATGTAGTTGGAATCACGTAGTATGTAGACTTTTCAGATTGGCTTCTTTTACTTAATAATATGCATTTATGTGTCCTCCATGTCTTTTCATGGCTTCATAGCTAAGGTGTTTTTTTTTTAGCACTGGATAATTGGATAATATTCTGCAATATTATCCACCCCCATGACCCAAGCATCTCCCACTGGGCCCACCTCCAACATTGGAGGTCACATTTTAATATAAGATTTGGAGGGGACAGAACATCCAAACCTTATCAGTTCCCCTTTACCCCCATTCTTCCTCACACACATAATCTCCCCAATATCAACATCCCACACCAAAGTGGTACATTTATTACAATCATGGAACCTACAGTGACACAACATTTACACCCAAAGTCCATAGTTTAGTTTTCCCTCTTGGTGATACACATTCTATGGATTTTGACAAATGTATAATGACATGTATCCACCAGTATAATATCATACAGAGTATTTTCACTGCCTAAAAATCACCTATGCTTCACTTAGTGATTCTGTTCTTCTCCTTTTTTTTTTTTTTAGACGGAGTCTCACTCCAGGCTTGAGTGCAGTGGGGCGATCTCAGCTCACTGCAACCTCTGCCTCCCGGGTTCAAGCAATTCTCCTGCCTCAGCCTCTCGAGTAGCTGGGACTACAGGCACGTGCCAGCATGCCCAGCTAATTTTTAATAGAGACGAAGTTTGACCATGTTGGCCAGGAGGTCTTGATCTCTTAATCTCATGATCCACCCGCTGCGGCCTCCCAAAGTGTTGGAATTACAGGCGTGAGCCACTGCACCCAGCCTCTTTCTCCATTTTACTGTTTCTATACTTTTGTCTTTTCCAAAATGTCATATAGTTGGAATCATGCAGTATGTAGTCTTTTCAGATTGGCTTCTTTTATTTAGTAATATGCATTTATGTTTCCTCCATGTCTTTTCATGGCTTCATAGCTAACTTTTGTTTAGCACTGGATAATTGGATAATATTCTGTTGTCTGAATATACCACGGTTTATTTATTTATTCACCTACCATCTTAGGTGGCTAGGGCTGCCATTAACAAAATAAGACAAGCTGCATGGCTTAAACAACAGAAATTTATTTTCTCAAAGTTAAGGAGGCTGGAAGTTCGAGATCAAGGTCCAGCAGGTCTTGTTTCTGGTGAGGACTTTCTTCTTGGTTTGCAGATAGCCACCTTCTCACTGCATCCTCACTGGCCTTTTCTCTGAGTTCATGTGGAGTGGCCAGGGAGAGATCTCTTCTTCTTATAAAGCCACCAATTGTGTTGGACCTCATTTAACCTTAGTTACCTCCTAAAGGCTCAATCTCCAAATACAGTCACATTTGGGATTAGGGCTTTAATATGTGAATTTGGAGAGGGGAGTAGAAACAATTCAATCCATAGAATCTATTGAAGGGCATCTTGGTTGCTTCCAAGTTTTGGCAATGCCATAAACACCTGTATGCAAGATTTCTGTGGACATAGATTTTCAGCTCCTTTGGGTAAATACCACTGAGTGTGACTGCTGGATTATGTGGTAAGAGTATGTTTAAGAAACTGCCAAACTGTCTTCCAAAGTGACTGTACAATTTTGCATTCTCACCAGCAATGAAAGTTCCTGTTGTACCACATCTTCACCAGCATTATTATCAGTGTTCTGGATTTTGGCCATTCTAATAGTTGTGTAGTGGTATCTCATTTTTTAATTTGAATTTCTGTAATGATATGTGATGTGGAGCATCTTTTCCTTTGCTTATTTGCCATCTGTCTTTATTATCTTTGGTGAGAAGTCCGTTCGGGACTTTCGCCCATTTTTTTAATTGGGAAATTGTGTTTTAATGCAAGATTTAATTTTATAGACTAGTAAAGTTTTAAAACAACCTGTGAATCTAGACATTAAAAAGCATTGGAACAATTTGTGAAATTTATAAATACAGTCCTTAAATAATTAAGTCAGGGGGGATCTCACCTCTCTGGACATTTATGGAGTCTTATTTACTGCATAAAGGCATTGCATATGTATGTGGAGGTGAAGAGCAGGATCAGCTATATAATTTGCAAGGCCCAGTGCAAAATGAAAATTCAGAGCCCCTTGTTAAAAAAGTTATTAATAATTTCAAACCACTCAGTGCCTCTTCAGACTTTACAGAGAGCAATCCTCCCTCTAGAAATTACTTTATGGCTGTATAATTTGTGTAGTTGTACAAGGTTCCCATGCTTAGAAAGGCCTCACATTTTGTTTAATCCTTAAACATTATGGTTTCTAGCTACAGTTTCTAGCTGCAATTCTACAACAGAGGCAAGTTATTTTTTTTCAGATCTCAGTTTGCTCATTTCTTAGAATTGATCTATACTAGTAGTTTTCAAACCTGTTATTTTAAAGCAGTAGAACCCCCTTTACATCAAAATTTTTACTTGGAGTCTGCTGTGGTCTGAATATTTTTGTCTCCCCAAGATTTATGTTAACCGTAATCTCCAATGTGATACTGTAAGGAGGCGGAACTTTTGGGAGGTGATTTGGTCACCAGGGTGGGACCCTCATGAATGGGATTAGTGCCCTTACAGGGGCTGAAGAAACCATAATTTTTCCACCATGTGAGGATGTAGTAAAGTAGAAAGTGGATCCTCACCAGACACAAAATCTGCCATGACCTAGATCCTTCCCAGTCTCGAGTTCTATAAGAAGTAAATTTCTGTTGTTTAAGCCACCCAATTTAAGAAATTTTGTTATAGCAGCCTCGATGGACTGAATACAGGATGGAATGATTACAGTCCTAAATATAAAACAGATAAAAGAGAAAGTATCTAATTAAAATCGCCTCTCTAATAGAAGGAGCCCATGAAATTCCACAGAATAATTTGATAACACTCCATTGCGATCAAGTTTGCCAACTACAGCCCTCAGGTCAGAAGCCCTCAGCTGCTAGCTGTTTTTGTACATAAGTTATTGGAACATAGCCACGCTCATTTGTTTACATGTCATTTCTGGCTGCTTCTGCTCTACAGAGTTAGAGTTGAGTAGTCTTGACAGAGTCCACATGGCTGGCAAAGCCTAAAATATTTACTTTCAGGTCCTTAACAGAAAAAGTTTACCACTTCTTGATCTAGATTATTTATGCTGATGACACTGGGAGGATGGCAAGAACAAGACAAGGCACAAGGGTTCCCAGGCTTGGAGAATGGGCAGGCTAACAAGGCAGGAAGTTAGATATCAGCTAACAATCAAGCGACCAATGTGGAACTGGTATGTATCACATGGATCCAGACCCTGAAATAAGATAGAAACCTAATTACCAAGACAGAGATACAAGGCTGAAATGAGAAAAGCAGCAAGTTTGCCCACATGCCAACTTAACTGAAGTATGGATTAGTCCTGAGATTTCTCCCCACAGTGGTTTAGCTTCCAGAGCCCTGCACGGAAATAGAGTTGGAGAATAAAGAAGTACTGGGACAGGGAACTGGTGGGTCCTCATCAAAGTACTATAACTTTGATGAGATGAGAAGATAATGGCCCCTGGAAGGGTACGAGAGTGCAAACATAAAACACTCATGTCAGTAATAAATCAAATATAGAGAATAAATAGGCCAGGTGTGGTGACTCTTGCCTGTAATTCCAGCACTTTGGGAAGCCGAGGTGGGCAGATCACCTGAGGTCAGGAGTTTGAGACCAGCCTGGCCATGGCAAAACCCGTCTCTACTAAAAATACAAAACTTAGCCAGGTGTGATGGCACACCTGTAATCCGAGCTACTCGGGAGACTGAGGCAGGAGAATCACTTGAACCTGGGAGATGGAGGTTGTAGTGAGCTGCGATCATGCCACTGCACTCCAGCCTGGGCAACAGAGCGGGACTCTGTCTCAAAGATAGATAGATAGATAGATAGATAGATAGATAGATAGATAGATAGATAGATAAAGTAGGAAAAACCCAGAGAGAACAGAGTAATAACTAAAACAAAATAGACTGTTTCCTAAACATCTTTGATAGGTACCATAAAAATGAATGAGATTACATACATGTACAAGGCAGTCTTTGACTTCAAGGATTATACATAGAAGTCAAAATACAATACACTGGAATATAATCCTGTGTATTTGAGGCTCCCTGTGGTAGTTTTAAAGTAGAGATCCCAAGGTACTTCCCCAGACCTACTGAATCAGAGTCTCTGTGACTGGGACTTGGGGAAAGTAATGGGCTGAACTGTGTATTGTGTCCTCCCAAAATTCCCATGTTGAAGCTCTCAACTCTAGTACCTCAGAATGTGACTGTATGTGAACATGGGGGTCTTTAAAGAAGTGATTAAGTTAAAACGAGGCTGTTAGGGTGTGCCTGAATCCAGTCTGACTATTGTCCTTGTCAGAAGAGGAAATATGGACACACAGAGAGACACCAGGGGTGCACATGCCCAGTGGGATGACCATGTGAGGGCAGAGCAAGGTGGCCACCTACAAGCCAAGGAAAGAAGCGTCAGAAGAAACAAAATCTGTTGAAACTTTAATCCTGGATTTCTAGCCTCCAGAACTGTGAGAAAATAAATTTCTGTTGTTTAAGCCATCCAGTCTCTGGTATTATTATGGTGGCCCTACCACATGAATAGATCATGTGTGATATTTGAATATCTACACAGGTAATTCCGACACTCACACTGAGTTGACAACCACTTGGTTAGAGCTAAGATGCAGACCCAGGAGGAAGATAAGGAAAAGGTACTGAAGAATGGATAGAGGAAATGTTGCCTTATAAATATAAAAGAGATGAGCTTTGTGTTGTCTGTGAGGTTCCCCATGCCTGTTACTTTGGTTGTCAGTCCTGAAGCAGCTGGGGTTGTGCTGTCCACATAAAACTCTTCATTTGCCAGGTGGCTCATGCCTGTAATCCCAACACTTTGGGAGGCTGAGGTGGGCGGATCACCTGAGGTCAGGAGTTCGAGACCAGCCTGGCCAACATGGTGAAACCTCGTCTCTACTAAAAATACAAAAATTAGCCAGGCTCGCTGGCAGGTAATCCTGTAATCCCAGCTACTCAGGAGACTGAGGCAGGAGAATCACTTGAACCTGGGAGGCAGAGGTTGCAGTGAGCCGAGACCGCACCATTGCACTCCAGCCTAGGCAACAAGAGCGAGTCTTCATCTAAAAAAAAAAAAAAAAAAAAAAAAAAAAAGCTCTTTATTTACCATCTTAGTGCTGCTTCTGTTGTTTTGAGTTGAATCAGGTCAGTCTTCATCTTGTTCTTGGGAAGTTTTGCCCCCAGTCAATGGGAAGCTAGCACGTTTTCCTATCATGTACTCTTAGTTGCCTCCCTCTCCTGTTATCATGTTGGAAACTGTGCAAGAGACAGAAGCCAAGAACTAAGGCTTTTCTTACCACTAAACAAACTGTTTTTAAACTAGGCAAAATAAGGGCCATTTCTTCGGGGGTGGAGTCATCTCGTTGCTATTTATGGCTTCTTGTTATAAATCCAATTTCTCAAAAAGAGTTCCAGCATTAGCAGATTTTAATGAAGTAGTTATTAAGCATATTTGGCTCTGATGAACGCAAATTTATTTCCTAATGATCTTTGTCTGACTGAAAATAGCAAGTCTTGAATATGTTAGTCTGTGCAGGGCATATTAATGTTTTCTTAATTTTTCCCAGTGATACTGAATCAAAATGGCTTTTGGCAAATCAGTCAACTGAAGCAGTAGGTAAGGACACCGAACTCCTGTCTCTTATTACTTAACATGATATATATTCAACTAAAATTACAGTATCCCATTTTCTTAGTGCTTTGAATGGAAAAGTTCCAGAAAGTAACCATTTGATTTAAAACTCCTAGCACTTTTTAAAACAAGGTATCATCTCCTTTTAAAGGTTAGAGTTCAGGGAGAAACATCAGCAAGATATCAGAGTAGGAGATGCCAGCCTTCATCCTCCCACAAAAAAAATAATAATTAGACAGCTATCCACAAGTGAAAATAGCTCTAGAGAGCTCAGGCATCAATTTGAAAAGCTGCAGCAACACAGCAAAGCCAAAAAAAAAAAAAAAAAAAACCACCCAGAATAATTGCACAAAAGGCATAGGAACAACAGTTTCATTTTGCCTGCACCATCTCATCTCCTGAGGCTGTCACTCCTCAGTGCTAAGAGGGAACTACCCAGTGCACAAGTTGTCCTTACAGGGAAAAGAAGAGCGGAATGAATGACCAACTTCCCCAGTCTTTTGGGGGCATTGCTCTAAGGATCTGCTTTGGTTTCACCTCACCCAGATCTCTGGGGACACCAACATAGCTGAGACATCTGGAGAGGACTAAAAACTTAACATGACATATATTCAACTAAAAAACAAAGAAGGCTGGAGGCTATCACTGTCAGCCATATGGTGGATGCTATTGAGACCGCCCCCATGGCTTGATCCTCAACTCTCACCACTGAGGACCTCAACAGCAGCTCTTGTGGTGTTTCACAGCATCCCCCCACCGCCGCCACCAGCCAGCTCCACCGAGGACCCCCTGGTGTTCAACATTGTGGATCCAAGCAGTCTGCTCCACAGGGGATGCCAAAAGCTTTTGCCTTTGAGATCTACAGATTTTTGTCTTTGCAGACTCCAGCTGTCTGAGCTGCCACCTTTTTCTCCCCTTCCCAGAGCTTTCTTTCCACCATGGGTGCCCCATCCCCACACATAGCATGGCCACTGCATGCACATGCTTGCAGATGGCTTGGGTTCCTGCATCAAGCCATGACATGCAATGTTGTATGTATGCCCACGGGTGATCCTGCAGGCATGTGTGTTTACATAGCTGACACTGACCCCACTGCCAGCTTTCACTACTATTCAGTCACCTGCAGCTAGCCATCAGCTCTGGTCCCCACAGCAGTGTACATGCACCAGCTAGCCCCAACTCCCTCACCACCAGGCACATATCTTCAGCTATTCCTTGCAGTCGAGCTCATGCATACTGGCAGGCCCAACCCCTGCAGCCACACTGGCATGTACAGCTGGTCCCTGCAGCCACACATGTGTAAACTTCAAGCCCCGGTGTCCACCACTGTTAGCCCTTGTCCCTTGCTACTGAAGCCAGAGGCACTGCTGAGGACCCTAACAGCTTTTTTACTCACTGTAGATCCCCTGCAGTTCTTATCAATAAGGGTTTTCTGCTGCTGACGTCATGGACAGCTTTCTGAGCTGATAAGACTCTACACCACCCCCACACAAGACCCAAAGCTACTTTATGCTCCCACATTTGATATCTGGTGACACAGTATGCTCCAGGGCCCCCTCACCCCACTGATAAACATCTTTTCTTACCACAGCCAGTCAATTAAATCTGGAAAAGGTCTTCCAAGGCACAGATACCTGCCTGTTTACCTATATATCAAACCTGCACAAACAAGGATCACAAGGAACCAGGGAAACAAGACACCAACCAAGTAACAAATAATTGTTCTAAAGAAGCTCAGCAGGTTACAAGAGAACATAGATAAATGATGTAATGAAATCAGGAAAACAATATGAGAACAAAATGAGATATTCAAAAAAGAGATAGAAAACAGAAAAAGAGAGAACCAAACAGAAATTTTGAAGCTGAAGAATACAGTGACTGAAATAGAGAACGTAATAGAAAGTTTCAATAGCAGACTCAATCAAGCCAAAGAATCAGAACTTGAAGACATGTCATTTTAAATTATCAAGGCATAAAAGAAAAAGTGAAAAAGAATAAAAGGGAATGAAGAAAGCCTATGAGATTTTTGAGACCCCATCAAAACAGCTAACATTTGCATTACGGAATCTTTAGAAGGAGAAGACAGAGAGGGAAAAGGACAGGAAACTATTTAAAGAAATAATGGCTGAAAATTTTCCAAGTTTGGGAAGAGATATGGAAATCCAAGCACATGAAGCTCAATGGTGGTCCCCAAAGACTTCATTGGCACATATTTTAATCAAACTATCAAAAGCAAAGACAAAAGAGAGAAATTTGAAAGCAACAAGAGAAAAGAGGCTCACCAAACCAAGAAAATTTCTATGAGGCCATCAGCAGAAACCTTGCAGGCCAGGAGAACATGGAATGATATATTCAGAGTGCTGGAAAGAACCCCTGCCAAACAATAATAGTTTACCTGGCAAAGCTATTCTTCATAAATGAAGGATAGATAAAAATTTCCTCAGAGAAACAAAAGTTGAGGGAGCTCGTCATCATTAGACCTGCCTTAAACGAAATGCTAAAGAGAGTTCTTCAACCTGAAATGAAATAATGCTAATTAGTAATGTAAAAACATATGAAAATATAAAACTTGCTTGGAAAGATAATTAGGTAGTCAAATTCAGAATACTCCAGTGCTGTAATAATGGTGTGTAAATCACTTATAACTCTAGTACAAAGATAAAAAGTCAAGGCATTAAAAACTATATCTATAATAATTTATTAATGGGTTCATAATATAAGAAGTTATAAATTAAAAACATAAAATTGGGCAGAGCTTTTATAGTGATCAAAGTTGTTATTAGATTAAAATAGCCTATTGTAACTATCAGATATTTTATGTAAGCCTAACAGTAACCACAAAAAAGTACCTATATTAGATACACAAAAGATAAAGAGAAAGAAATCAAAGCATACCACTACATAAAATAAATAAATCACAAAGATAACAGACGAGGAAGAAAGAAACAAAGAACCTACCAAACAGTCAGAAAACAATTAACAAAATGGCAATAATAAGTTCTTACCTCTCAATAATTATGTTAAATGTAAATGGACTACATTCTCTATTCAAAAGACATAGAGTGGCCGAATAGATTACATGCGCGCGAGCGCACACACACACACACACACACACACACACAACCCATCTATATGCTGCCTACAAAAGACTGACTTCAGCTTTAAAGACACACATAGATTGAAAGGAAATAAATGAAAGAAAGACTTTCCATGCAAATAGAAACTAGAAAAGAGCAGGGGTAGCTATACCTATATCATACAAAATAGACTTTAAGTCAAAAACTGTAAAAGAAACAGTCATTATATAATGATAAATGAGTCAATTTATCAAGAGGATATATCAATTGTAAATATATAGGCACATAGCATTGGAACACCTTAATATATAAAACACATATGAACAGCTCTACAGAGAGAGTTAGACCACAAAAAAATAGTAGAGAAAAGTAATACTCCACTTTCAACCATGGATCAGTTGTCCAGACAGAAAATCAGTAACATTGGACTTGAACACTATAGACAAATATACCTAACAGACATAAACAGAATATTCCACTCAACATGGTAGAATATTTTCCTCAATTGCACATGGAACATTTTCCAGAAAGGATCACATGCTAGGCCACAAAACAAGTCTTTACAAATTTAAGAAGATTGGATTTATATCATGTATCTTTTCTGACCACAATGGTACAAAACAAGAAATCAACAACATGAAGAAATTTAAAAATTCACAATATGTGGAAATTAAACAACACATCCTGAACAACAAATGAGTCAAAGAAGAACTCAAAAGGAAAATTAAAAAAAATCTTGAGACAAATGAAAATGGAAACACAACAGACCAAAACTTATGGGATACAGAAAAAGGCATTCTAAGAAGAAAGTTTATAGCAACAAGGACCTACATTAAGAAAAAAGGAAGATGTGCTGGCCTGGTGGCTCACACATGTAATCTCAGTGCTGTGGAAGGCCAAGATGGGAAGATTGCTTGAGGCCAGGAGTTTGAGATCAGCCTGGGCAACATAGTGAGACTCCACCTCTACAAAAAATAAATTAGACAGGTGTGGTAGCATGTACTTGTAGTCCTAGCTACTGGAGAGGCTGAGGTGGGAGCATCACTTGAGCCCAGGGTTTCAAGGCTGCTACGAGCCATGATCATGCCATTGCATTCCAGCCTGGGAAAGAGGACAGCAAGTCCCTGTCTCTCAAAAAAAAAATTTTTAAAGAAGGATAAAAGAAAGATGTTGAACATAAGGAAACAGAATAAAACTAAACGAAGCCCAAAGTTTAAAAAGGAAGAATAAAATAAAGGATAATTAAAATCAGAGTAGAAATAAATAAAACATAGACTAGAAAAACAATAGAAAAATAATCAGTGAAACTGGGTTGGTTTGTTAGAACGGTAAACAAAATTGACAAACCTTTAGCTAGACTAACAAAAAAAAATAGAGCATACTCAAATGCAATTAGAAAGAAAAGAGGAAACAACTGATATCACACAAAGAAAGGATCATAAGAGACTACTATGAATAATTACATTCCAACAAATTGGATAAACTAGAAGAAATGGATGAATTCCTAGAAACATACAACCTACTAAGACTTAAGAAATAGAAAAATCTGAACTGAACAATAATAGGAAGATTTAATCAGCAATCAAGTCTTCCAACAAATAAAAGTCCAGGACCAAATGCTTTCACTGGTGAATTCTACTAAAATTTTAAAGAAAAATTAATGGAAATCCTTCTTAAAGTCTTCCAAAAGTTGAAGAGGAAATAATATTTTTAAACTCATTTTATGAGGCAAACATTATCCTGATACCAAAGCTGACAGGGACATTACTGAAAAATAAAATTATAGGCCAATATCCCGATGGACAAAAATGCATAAACCCTCAAGAAAATACAAAAACCTTAATTCCACAGCACATTCAAATGATAATACACCATGATCAAGTGGTATTTATCTGTGGTATGCAACAATGGTTCAACATATGCAAGTCAAATGTGATACACCAAATTAACAAAATGAATAAAAAAAGATACGATTATTTCAATAGATACAACAAAATTATCTGATAAAATTCAATATTTTTTCATGATAAGAACTTCCAACAAATTAGATATAGAAGAGATGTATTTTAACAAAATAAAGGCCATATGTGACAAGTCTGCAGCTAATGTCATACTCAATCGTGGAAAATTGAAAGCTTTTACTCTAAGATCAAGAAAAAAACAAGGATGCCCCCGCTCACCACTTCCATTCAACACAATATTGTAAGTTCTAGTCAGAGCCATTAGGCCAGAAAAAGAAAGGGCATCCAAATCAGAAAAGATATAAAACTGTATGTGTTTACAGATGACATGATCTTATATGTAGAAATCTCTAAAGATTCTATGAAAAACTATGAGAACTGCTACAGAAATTCAGTAAAGTTGCAAGACAGAAAATCAACATACAAAAATCAGTTTTATTTCTACACATTAACAATGAGCTAGCTGAAAAAGATATTAAGAAACAATCTTATTTACAACAGCATAAAAAAAGAAAACTTAGAAATAAATTTAACCAATGAGGTGAAAGATCTGTACACTAAAAATTATAAAACACTGATTAAAAAATGAAGAAGACATAAATATATGGAAAGATATTATTTGTTCATGGAGCAGAAGAATTAATATTCCAAAAATATCCACACTACACAAAGTGATCTACAGATTCAGTGCAATCACAATCAAAATTCCAGTGATATTTTTTATAGAAATAGAGAAAATAATCCTAAAATTTATACAGAACCACAAAATATCCTGAATAGCCAAAGAAATCTTGAGCAAGAACCACAATGCTGGAGGCAGCACACTTCTTGATTTTAAATTATATTACAAAGGAATAGAAATCAAAATAATATGATACCAGTATAAAAACAGACATATAGACCAATAGAACAAAATTAGCCCCAGAATAAACCCACACATATATAGTCAACTGATTTTTGATAAAGGTGCCAAGAACACACAATGGGGAAAAGATAGTCTGTCCAAAGAATGACGTGGGGAAACTGGATATTCACATGCAAAAAATTGAAATTGGATCCTTATCTTACTTCATGCACAAAAATCAACTCAAAATGGATTAAAGATTTAAACATAAATACTGGAACCATAAAACTCTTAGAAGAAACAAAGGGGAAAACTATGACACACATCGTAGCAATAAATTTTTGGATTTGACATCATATGCACAGGCAGCAGAGGTGAAAAAGTTAAAAATGGATTACAGAAAACTAAATACTTCTGCATAGCAAAGAAAATAATCTACAACATATAAAGGAAACCTATGGAACAGGAAAAAATATTTGTAAACCATATGACTGATAAGGAGTTTATATTCAAAATATATAAGAAATTCATGCAGGTGGCTGGCAAGATGGCTGAATACGAACAGCTCCAGTCTGCAGCACCCAGCAAGTTCAATGCAGAAGGCAGGTGATTTCTGCATTTCCAACGGAGGTACCTGGCTCATCTCATTTGGACTGGTTAGACACTGAGAGTAGCCCACGGAGGGTGAGCTGAAGCAGGGTGGGGAGTCATCTCACCTGGGAAGTACAAGGGGTTGGGGAACTCCCTCCTCTAGCCAAAGGAAGCAGTGATGGACTGTGCCATGAGGGACAGTGCACTCTGGCTCAGATACCACGCTTTTCCCATGGTCTTCACAACCCACAAACCAGGAGATTCCCTCAGGTGCCTACACTACCAGCGCCCTGGGTTTCAAGCAAAAAACTGGGCGGCCGTTTGGGCAGACACGAAGCTAGCTGCAGGAGTTTTTGTTTCATACCCCAGTGGCACCTGGAATGCCAGTGAGACAGAACCGTTTACTCCCCTGGAAAGAGGGCTAAAGCCAGGGAGCCAAGTGGTCTAGTTCAGTGGACCCCACCCCCAAAGAGCCCAGCAAGCTAAGATCCACTGGCTTAAAATTCTCGCTGCCATGCCTCCTGACTGGGAAACACCTCCCAGCAGGGGTCGAGAGACACCTCATACAGGAGAGCTCTGGCTGGCATCTGGCAAGTGCCCCTCAGGGACAAAGCTTCCAGAGGAAGGTACAGGCAGCAATCTTTGCTGTTCTGCAGCCTCTGCTGGTGATACCCAGGCAAACAGGGTCTGGAGTGGACCTCCAGGAAACTCCTGCAGCAGAGGAGCCTGACTTTTTGAAGGAAAAGTAACAGATAGGAAGGAGTAGCATCAATACCAACAAAAAGGATGTGCACACAGAAACCCCATCCGAAGGTTACCAACATCAAAGACCATAGGTAGATAAGACCACGAAGATAAGGAAAAACCAATGCCAAAAGGCTGAAAATTCCAAAAACCAGAATGCCTCTTCTCCTCCAAAGGATCCCAACTCCTCACCAGCAAGGGAACAAAACTGGATGGAGAATGAGTTTGATGAATTGACAGAAGTAGGCCTCAGAAGGTGGGTAAAAACAAACTCCTCTGAGCTAAAGGAGCATGTTCTAACCCAATGCAAGGAAGCTAATAATCTTGAAAAAAGGTTAGAGGAATTGCTAACTAGAATAACCAGTTTAGAGAAGAACATAAATGACCTGATGGAGCTGAAAAGCACAGCACAAGAACTTAGTGAAGCATACACAAGTATCAATAGCTGATCAAGCGGAAGAAAGGATATCAGAGATTGAAGATCAACTTAATGAAATAAAGCATGAAGACAAGATTAGAGAAAAAAGAATGAAAAGGAATGAACAAAGCCTACAAGAAATATGGAACTTGTAAAAAGACCAAACCTACGTTTGATTGGTGTACCTGAAAGTGACGGGGAGAATGGAACCAAGTTGGAAAACACTCTGCAGGATATTATCCAGGAGAACTTCCCCAACCTAGCAAGGCAGGCCAACATTCAAATTCAGGAAATACAGAGAACACCACAAAGATACTCCTCAAGGAGAGCAACCCCAAGACACATAATCGTCAGATTCACCAAGGTTGAATGAAGGAAAAAATATTAAGGGCAGCCAGAGAGAAAGGTCAAGTTACCCAGAAAGGGAACCCATTAGACTAAGAGTGGATCCCTCTGCAGAAACCCTACAAGCCAGAAAAGAGTGGGGACCAATATTCAACATTCTTAAAGAAAATAATTTTCAACCCAGAATTTCATATCCAGCCAAACTAAGCTTCATAAGCAAAGGAGAAATAAAATCCTTTACAGACAAGCAAACGCTGAGAGATTTTGTCACCACCAGGCCTGCCTTACAAGAGCTCCTGAAGGAAGCACTAAATATGGAAAGGAACAACCAGTACCAGCCACTACAAAAACATACTAAATTCTAAAGACCATTGACACTATGAAGAAACTGCATCAACTAACATGCAAAGTAACCAGCTAGCATCATGATGACGGGATCAAATTCACACATAACAATATTAACCTTAAATGTAATGGGATAAATGCCCCAGTTAAAAGACACAGACTGGCAAATTGGATAAAGAGTCAAGACCCATCAGTGTTCTGTATTCAGGAGACACATCTGACATGCAAAGACACACATAGGCTCAAAATAAAGGGATGGAGGAATATTTGCCAAGCAAATGGAAAGCAAAACAAAGCAGGGGTTGCAATCCTAGTCTCTGACAAAACAGACGTTAAACCAAAAAAAGAGCAAAAAAGACCACGAAGGACATGACATAATGGTAAAAGGACCAATGCAACAAGAAGAGCTAACTATCCTAAATATATATGCACCTAATACAGGAGCATCCAGATTCATAGAGCAAGTTCTTAGAGACCTACAGAAAGACTTAGTCTCCCACACAATAATAGTGGCAGACTTTAACACTACATTGTTCATATTAGACAGATCAATGAGACAGAAAATTAACAAGGATATTCAGGACTTGAACTCAGCTCTGGACCAACAAGACCTAATAGACATCTACAGAACGCTTCACCCCAAATCAAAATATACATTCTTCTCAACACCTCATCACACTTATTCTAAAACTGATGACATAATTGGAAGTAAAACACTCCTCAGCAAATGCAAAAGAACGGAAATCATAACAGTCTCTCAGACCACAGTGCAAGCAAATTAGAACTCAGGATTAAGAAACTCTCAAAACCACACAACTACATGGAAACTGAACAACCTGCTCTTGAATGACTACTAGGTAAATAACATAATTAAGGCAGAAATAAATAAGTTCTTTGAAACCAATGAGAACGAAGACACAACATACCAGAATCTCTGGGACATATTTAAAGCAGTGTGTAAAGGGAAATTTATAGCACTAAATGCCCACATGAGGAAGTGAGAAAGATCTAAAATTGACACCCTAATATCACAATTAAAAGAACTAGAGAAGCAAGAGCAAACAAATTCAAAAACTATCAGAAGACAAGAAATAACTAAGATCAGAGCAGAACTAAAGGAGATACAGACATGAAAAATCCTTAAAAAAAATCAATGAATTCAGGAGCTGGTTTTTTGAAAAGACTGACAAAGTAGATAGACCACTAGCCAGACTAATAAAGAAGAAAAGAAAGAAGAATCAAATAGACACAATAGAAAATGATAAGGAGGCTATCACCACTGATCCCACAGAAATACAAACTTCCATCAGACAATACTATAAATACCCCTACACTAATATACTAGAAAATCTAGAAGAAATGGATGAGTTCCTGGACATGTAAACCCTCCCAAGTCTAAACCAGGAAGAAGTCGAATCCTTGAATAGGCCAATAACAAGTTCTGAAATGGAGGCAGTAATTATTAGCTTAACACCAAAAAAAGCCCCAGAACAGATGGATTCACAGCCGAATTCTACCCAAGGTACAAAGAGGAGCTGGTACCATTCCTTCAGAAACTATTCCAAACAATAGAAAAAGAGAGACTCCTCCCTAACCCATTTTATGAGGCCAGCATCATCCTGATACCAAACCTGGCAGAGACAGAACAAAAGAAAGAAAATTTCAGACCAATATCCCTGATGAACATTGATGTGATAATCCTCAATAAAATACTGGCAAACAGAATCCAGCAACACATCAAAAAGCTTATCCACCATGATCAAGTTGGCTTCATCCCTGGGATGCAAGGCTGGTTCAACATACACAAATCAATAAAGGTAATCCATCACATAAACAGAACCAATGACAAAAACCACATGCTTATCTCAGTAGAGGCAGAAAAGGCCTTCAATAAAATTCAACACCCCTTCATGATAAAAACTCTCAATAAACTATTGATGGAACATATCTCAAAATAATAAGAGCTATTTATGACAAACCCACAGCCAGTATCACACTGAATGGGCAAAAGCTGGAAGTATTCCCTTTGAAAACTGGCACAAGACAAGGATGACCTCTCTCACCACTCCTATTCAATATAGTATTGGAAGTTCTGGCCAGGGCAATCAGGCAAGAGAAGGAAATAAAGCGTATTCAAATAGGAAGAGAGGCAGTCCAATTGTCTCTGTTTGCAGATGACATGACTGTATATTTGCAAGAGATGTGAAGGACCTCTTCAAGGAGAACTACAAACCCCACCACTCAAGGAAATAAGAGAGGACACAAACAAATGGAAAAACATTCCATGCTCATGGATAGGAAGAATCAATATCATGAAAATGGCCATACTGTCCAAAGTAATTTATAGATTCAATGCTATTCCCATCAGCTAGCACTCACTTTCTTCACATATTAGAAAAAAACTTTTCTTGGCCCATATAGCCAAGACAATCCTAAGCAAAAAGAACAAAGCTGGAGGCATCATGCTACCTGACTTCAAACTATACTACAAGGCTACAGCAACCAAAACAGCATGGTACTGGTACCAAAAAAGATATATAGACCAATGGAACAGAACAGAGTCCTAAGAAATAACACCACACATCTACAACCATTTGATCTTTGACAAACCTGACAAAAACAAGCAATGGGGAAAGGATAATAAATGGTGTTGGAAAAACTGGCTAGCCATATGCAGAAAACTGAAACTGGACCCCTTCCTTACACCTTATACAAAAATTAACTCAAGATGGATTAAAGCCTCTCCCTCTCCCTCTCCCCACGGTCTCCCTCTCCCTCTCTCTCCATGGTCTCCCTCTGATGCCGAGCCGAAGCTGGACTGTACTGCTGCCATCTCGGCTCACTGCAACCTCCCTGCCTGATTCTCCTGCCTCAGCCTGCTGAGTGCCTGGGATTGCAGGCGCACACTGCCACGCCTGACTGGTTTTTGTATTTTTTTGGTGGAGACGGGGTTTCGCTGTGTTGGCCGGGCTGGTCTCCAGCTCCTAACCATGAGTGATCTGCCAGCCTCGGCCTCCCGAGGTGCCGGGATTGCAGACGGAGTCTCGTTCACTCATTGCTCAATGTTGCCCAGGCTGGAGTGCAGTGGCGTGATCTCGGCTCGCTACAACCTCCACCTCCCAGCCGCCTGCCTTGGCCTCCCAAAGTGCCGAGATTAAAGCCTCGGCCCGGCCGCCACCCCGTCTGGGAAGTGAGGAGCGTCTCTGCCTGGACGCCCATCGTCTGGGATGTGAGGAGCCCCTCTGCCTGGCTGCCCAGTCTGGGAAGTGAGGAACGCCTCTTTCCGGCCGCCATCCTGTCTAGGAAGTGAGGAGGGTCTCTGCCCGGCCGCCCATCGTCTGAGATGTGGGGAGCGCCTCTGCCCCGCCGCCCCATCTGGGATGTGAGGAGCGCCTCTGCCCAGCAGCCGCCCCATCTGAGAAGTGAGGAGCCCCTCCGCCCAGCAGCCGCCCCGTCTGGGAAGTGAAGAGCCCTTCTGCCCAGCCGCCACCCTGTCTGGGAGGTGTACCCAACAGCTCATTGAGAATAGGCCATGATGATGATGGCGGTTTTGTCGAATAGAAAAGAGGGAAATGTGGGGAAAAGATAGAAAAATCAGATTGTTGCTGTGTCTGTGTAGAAAGAAGTAGACATAGGAGACTCCATTTTGTTCTGTACTAAGAAAAATTCTTCTGCCTTGGGATGCTGTTAATCTATAACCTTACCCCCAACCCCGTGCTCTCTGAAACATGTGCTGTGTCCACTCAGGGTTAAATGGATTAAGGGCAGTGCAAGATGTGCTTTGTTAAACAGATGCTTGAAGGCAGCATGCTCGTTAAGAGTCATCACCACTCCCTAATCTCAAGTACCCAGGGACACAAACACTGCGGAAGACCACAGGGTCCTCTGCCTAGGAAAACCAGAGACCCTTGTTCACTTGTTTATCTGCTGACCTTCCCTCCACTATTGTCCTATGACCCTGCCAAATCCCTCTCCGCGAGAAACACCCAAGAATGATCAATAAATACTAAAAAAAAAAAAAAAAAAAAAAAAAAAGATGGATTAAAGACTTAAACGTAAGACCTAAATCCATAAAAACCCCAGAAGAAAACTTAGGCAATACCATTAGGACATAGGCATGGGCAAAGACTTCATGACCAAAACACCAAAAGCAATGGCAACAAAAGCCAAAATCGACAAATGGGATCTAATTAAACTAAAGAGCTTCTGCACAGCAAAAAAAAAACCTATCATCAGAGTGAACAGGCAACCTACACAATGGGAGAAAATTTTTGCAGTTTATCCATCTGGCAAAGGGCTAATATCCAGAATCTCCAAAGAACTTAAACAAATTTACAAGAAAAAAACAACCCCATCAAAAAGTGGGTGAAGGATATGAACAGACATGTCTCAAAAGAAGGCATTTATGTGGCCAACAATGATAAGAACAAAAGTTCATCATCACTGGTCATTGGAAAAATGCAAATCAAAACCACAACGATAGTACCATCTCACGCCAGTTTGAATGGTGATCATTAAAAAGTCAGGAAACAACAGATGCTGGAGAGGATGTAGAGAAATAGGAATGGTTTTACACCATTGGTGGGAGTGTAAATTAGTTCAACCATTGTGAAAGACAGTGTGGCGATTCCTCAAGGATCTAGAACCAGATATACCATTTGACATAGCAGTCCCATTACTGGGTATATACCCAAAGGATTAGAAATCATTCTACTATAAAGACACATGCACACGTATGTTTATTGCGCACAGTTGACAATAGCAAAGACTTGGAACTAGGCCGGGCGCGGTGGCTCATGCCTGTAATCCCAGCACTTTGGGAGGCCGAGGCAGCCGGATCACGAGGTCAGGAGATCAAGACCATCCTGGCTAACATGGTGAAACCCCGTCTCTACTAAAAATACAAAAAAATTAGCCAGGTGTGGTGGCGGGCGCCTGTAGTCCCAGCTACTCAGGAGGCTGAGACAGGAGAATGGCGTGAACCTGGGAGGCGGAGCTTGCAGTGAACTGAGATTGCACCACTGCACTCCAGCCTGGGTGACAGAATGAGACTCCGTCTCAAAAAAAAAAAAAAAAAAGACTTGGAACTAACCCAAATGCCCATCAATGATAGACTGGATAAAGAAAATATGGCACATATACACCATGGAATACTATGCAGCCATAAAGAAGGATGAGTTCATGTCCTTTGTAGGGACATGGATGCAGCTGTAAACCATCATTCTGAGCAAACTATCACAAGGACAGAAAACCAAACACTACATGTTCTCACTCATAGGTGGGAATTGAACAATGAGAACACATGGACACAAGGAGTGGAACATCACACACTGGGGCTTGTTGGGGGGTTGGGGGTTAGGGGAGGGATAGCATTAGGAGAAATACGTAATGTGGATGACAGGTTAATGGGTGTAGCAAATCACCATGGCATGTTTATACCTATGTTAACAAACCTGCCCATTCTGCACATGTATTCTAGAACCTAAAGTATAATAATAATTAAAAAAACAAATTCATGCAATATAATAGCAAAAAGAAAACATAATTATAATCTGATTTAAAATTGGGCCATGGACCTGACTAAACAGATATTTTTCCATGGAGTACATTAAAATTGGCAAAGTGTGTATGAAAACATGCTTAACACCGCTATGTTTTAGGGAAATGCAAATTGAAACCACAGTGAGCTATCACATCACATCTGTTAGGACAGCTGTTAGAAAAAAAGATCATTTTTGTGAGGATGTGGACAAACCCTTGTACATCATTGAGTATGTAAATTGGCACTGCCATTATATAAAACAATATGGAGGCTCCTCAAAAAATTAAAAATAGAACTGCCATATGATCCAACAATTTCATTTCTGAGTATATATCAAAAGACATAAAATCAGTATCTCAAAGGGATATTGGTACTCCTATGTTCAGTGCAGCATTATTTTCATTAGTCAAGAAATGGAAACCATCTGTCCTACAACAGATGAATGGATAAAGAAAATATAGTGTCGTATTAGCTGGGTGTGGTGACTTGTGCCTGTAACCCCAGCTACTCAGAACATTGAAGCAGAAAGATCACTTGAGGTCAGGAGTTTGAGATTAGGTGTTTGAGACCCCTATCTCAAAATATAAACAGAAAGAAGGGAAGGGGAGGGGAGGGGAAGCGAGGGGAGGGGAGGCGAGGGGAGGGGAGGCAAGGGGAGGGGAGGGGAGGGGAGGGGAGGGGGAAACATGGTATATGGACACAATGAAATATTATTCAGCCATTAAAAAAAAAGGTGATTGGCTGGGCACAGTGGCCTATGCCTGTAATCCCAGCACTTTGGGAGGCTGAGGATCACTTGAGGTCAGGAGTTCGAGAACAGCCTGGCCAACGTGGTGAAACTCCGTCTCTACTAAAAATACAAAAGTTAGCTGGGCGTGGTGATGGGCGCCTGTAATCCCAGCTACCTGGGAGGCTGGGAGAATCACTTGAACCTGGGAGGAAGAGGTTGCAGTGAGCTGATATCAGGCCACTGTACTCCAGTCTGGGCAATAGAGTGAGACTCTATCTTATTTAAAAAAAAAAAAAGGAGATCATTTTATTTGCCACAACATGAATAGACGTGGAACACTTTATGCTAAGTGAAATAAGCCAGACACAAAAAGGCAAATATTGCATGGTTTTATTTTTGTAGCGTCTAAAAAAAGTCAAACTCATAATAATAGAGGACAGAATGGTGGTTATCAGAGGTTATGGGTAAGGGAAGAAGAAGAGATGTTGGTCAAAGAATATAAACTTCCAGTTACAAGTTAAATGAGTTTGAGAGTCCTAATGTACAAGATGGTGACTATAGTAAATGTATTGTACACTTGTAATTTGCTAAGAAAGTAAACCTCACATGTTATTACCACACACCACTCAAATATAAGGTGATGTGCATATTAATTCACTTGATTGTGTTAATCATTTCACAATGTATAGATATACAAAACATCATGTTGCACACTTAAATAGGTACAATTTTTCTTCATCAATCATACCCCAATAAAGCTTGGGGGGAAAAGACTAGATTTCAGAATGACATCAGCAAGATGGCCAAATAGTAGATCCCATGGCATCACTTGCCCCATGAACATACAGCTAGAAACTATTCAAGGAAAAGAATACCACCCTGAATTCACCAGAACTCCAAAGAGAAGCAGAGAAACATCTTGATCCCACAGAAACAGGAGTAACCATGACCAATAAGATAAACCATCATTTTGGATTATGCCAATCCCTTCTCCAAACCAGCATAATGTGACTCACAGATAATCATCCTAAGCCCATGATTTTTGAGGTGAGTGAAAGGATTGGGAGGTGAACATTTTATCTCTCCAATGGTCGGAAATCTTTTCAGGGAGCCCACTCTGGTCCCATCTTGCAGGAGTCATTATGAGGCCCAGCAGAGCTGAACAAACCAGGGTGAATTGGGAACAAAGAGTGAGGTGATGATTGCAGTGACTGGTACGCAGAACTCATTTGGCTACTCTGTGCACTGATTAGTGGCAATGCCACATTGAAGACACTTCCAGATGCCACATTCCTGCATGGAGCACTATCTGCGGCAAGGCCCAAATCCCTGGCTGAAGTTTTTACAAAGCCCAGGTGCTCATGTGGAGCCTTCCTTTGGCCTGCAAAAAACTAAAGGCTTGTTATTAACTTCTGGTGTCTGCTTAAGTTTTCCCTATAGTGAGAAACATTCAAAGGGCCGTGGTTTAGTTTCAAAGCAGCATTTAAGTTCCACTGTTCATTATAAGTCTTCCTCAGACCAAGAAACAATAGCAGGGCAACACAATAGCTGCAGTGCAGTGTTTTAGTTCCAGTGCTCATTGTAAGTCCTCTCCAGATGATAAGAATCCACAGGTCAGCATTTAAGTCCTGATACTAAGTAGTAAAGGTCTAACACAACTAAAAAACACCTGCAAAAACTAGAAGAGGTGACTGTCTTCTCAAATGTGCAGGCATCAGTGTAAAGACACAAGGACAGTGAAAGTTCAAGGAAATAGAACACTATCAAAAGAAACCAAAGCTCCAGCAATGGACCCAAAAGAATTTAAGATCTATGAAATTTCAGGCAGAGAATTCAATATAATTATCTTAAAGAAGTTCAGGGAATCACAAGAAAATATGGATGGGAAACTAAATGAAATTTGGAAAACAATCCAGGAACAAAATGAGAAAATAGACAAAGAAGAAGAAACAATAAAAAGAAGTTCTAGAAATAAAGAATACAATAAGTGAACTGACAACTTATTAGAGAGCTTCAATAGCTGACTTGATCAAATAGAAGAAAAAATTAGTGAGCTTGAAGATAGAACATATGATATTATTACCCAATCAGAGGAGTGAAAAGAAAAAAAATTTTAAAAAGGTGAAGACACTTATGATAATTATAGGATGCCATCAAGAGAACTAACCACAGCATAACAGAATTTCTGAAGGAGATGAGAGAAAAAACAGCCTAGAATGCATATTTAAGGAAGAAATGGCTGAAAATTACCCAAATTTAGAGAAAGACATCATGAGATGCAGGAAGCTCAGAAATCACCAACAAATTTAACCCAAAGAGGAAATTGCCAATGCACATCATAATCAAATTAGCAAGAATCAAAGACAAAGAAAGAATTACTCAAAGCAACAAGAGAAAATAAACATTACACATTCAATGGAGCCCCAATATGGCTGTCAGTGGATTCTCTCAGTTTCTCTCAGGAGAAACTGCAAGCCTGGAGAGTGGGATGCCTTATTTAAAGTGCTGAAAGAAAAAATACTCTGCCAATGAAGAATACTAACCCACCAAATGAATCCTTCAAACATGAAAGAGAGAGAAAAACTTTCCCAGACAAAAGCTGATGGAATTTGTCAATACCAGACCTGTCTGACAAAAAATGCTAAAGGGAGTTCTTCAATCAGGAAGAGATGAATGCTAACATTTATCTATAATTTTCTATAACAAGAAAACATTGGAAAGTATTAAACTCACTGGCAAAAGAAAGAAAACAAATTCAGAATACTGTAATACTATGACTGAGATAAGTAAAACACTTATTAATATAAGTATGAAGACTAAAAGACAAAACAAATAAAAACAATAAGTTTAAGAATTGGTTAAGAGATAGAAAATATTAAAAAATGTAAATAGAACCATCAAAAAGTCCAAATGACGGGGGCGTTTAAAGAGTAGGCTTTGTTTTTGTTACTTTTCTTTGTGATCAAAGTTAAGCTGTTATCAGTTAAAATAATCTGTTATAACTATAATACATTTTGGTAAACCTTATGATAACCACAAAGAAAAAACCTATAATACATATATGAGAATAAATAGCTCGGAATCAAAACATACTACCAGACAAAATCGCTTAACCACAAAAGACATCCAGAAAGGAAAAAGAAGGAAGAATCTATAAAACATCTAGAAAACAAGAAAAAGGCATTAATAAACCATTACATATCAATAATAATTTTGAATATAAATATATTATATTAAATTATTCAATTAAAGGATAGAGTGGCTAAATGGATAAAAAAATAAGATCCAACTATATGCTGTCTACAAGAAACTCACTTCACCTATAAAGATACGCACAGACTGAAAGCGAAGTGATGGAAAAAGATATTCCATAGAAATGGAATCCAAAAGAGAAGGAGTAGTTATACTTGGGAAAAATAGACTTTAATTCAGGAATAGTTTTAAAAAAAAGACAAAGAAGGACATTATATAATGACTAATGGGTCATTCAAGCAAGAGGTATAATAATCACAAATATATATGCACTCAATACTGAAGCACCCAAATATATAAAACTAATGTTAATAGAACTAAAAGGAGAGATTGCCTACAATACCATAATAGTAGGAGACCTCAGCACTCCACATTCAGCAATGGACCAATCATCCAGACAGAAAATTTACAAGAAAAATGAGTCAGACTGCACTGTAGACCAAATAGACCAAAAAGACATTTGCAGGATTTTTCATGCAGCAACTTCAGAATATATATGCTTTTTCAACAGCACATGAAACATTCTCCAAAAAATACTACATGATAGGTCACAAAACAAATGTTAACAAATTTTTAAGTGGTGGCCAAGATGGCTGACTAGAAGAAGCTAGTGTGCATGGCTCTCATGGAGAGGAAAGGAAGAAGCAAGTAAATACAGCATCTTCAACGGAAACACCCAGGTACATGCATTGAGACTAATCAAGGAAACATCTTGACCCATGGAGAATGGGGAAAAGTAAGGCAGGAAGACAGCCCACTTGGGAGTGACACAGAACCAGGGAAACCTCCCTGACCCAGGGGAAGAGGTGAGTAAATGTGCCACCCCAGGAACCTACGTTTCTCCCACAGATCTGTGTGACTCTTGGGTCATGATATCCCCCTGTGAACCCATTCCACCAGGGCCTTCAGTCTGACACACAGAGCTATGTGGAGCCTCAGCAGAGCAACTGCTCAGACACATGTGGAGATCTATGAGCCTTAGACACCCAGGCTTTCTGAGCTTCTCAGCAAAAGTAGCTGCAACTGTGGCAAAGCAGGAGGCTAGACTCCCATATATACCCCTAGGAAAGGGGCTAAATCTAGGGTGCTGAGCAGCAACAGTCTACAGGCCCCACTTACATGACACCTCACAGGATAAGACCCACTGGCTTGGAATTCCAGCTAGCCTCTGGTAATAGCATTACACCTCCCTGAGATAGAGCTCTCAGGGGAAGGGGTGTGTCACCATCTTTGCTCTCGGGGCGACTTTGTCATTCCAGCCTTCAGATTTTGGAAAGTCCAAGCAGAAGACAGGGGGCAGAAGTGGTCCCCCATCAAAGCACAGCTGCTCTATGAAAATCTGGCCACACCACTTTTTTTTTTTTTTTTTTTTTTAGATGGAGTCTCGCTCTGATGCCAGGCTGGAGTGCAGTGGCACAATCTCAGCTCACTGCAAGCTCCACCTCCCAGGTTCAAGCCATTCTCCTACCTCAGCCTCCCAAGTAGCTGAGACTACAGGTGCCCACTACCATGCCCGGCTAATTTTGTTTTTGTATTTTTAGTACAGACAGGATTTCACTGTGTTAGCCAGGATGGTCTTAATCTCCTGACCTCATGATCTGCCCGTCTTGGCCTCCCAAAGTGTTGGAATTACAGGCATGAGCCACCATGCCTTGCCAGCCAGACCACTTTTTAAAGTAAGTCCCTGATCCTGTTCCTTCTCACTGAGCAGGACCTCCCGACCAGGGTCTCCAGACACCCCTGTTGCTGTTTTCTGGCCAACAGAGATTTGAAACCTCTCTGGTGTGGAGCTCCCAGGGGGAAAGGTGGGCTACTATCTTTGTTATTTGGGCAACAGCTGTTTCAGACTTTGGGCTGTGGAGGGTCCAAGCTGGCTGGGGGTGGAAGTGGTCCCCCAGCACAGCTTAGCTGCTCTATGAAAATGTGACCAGACTCCTCTTTTAAGCGGGTCCCCAGTCCTCTTTCTCCTCACTGGGAGGACCTCCCAACCAGGGTCTACAGCAACCCCCACTGGTGGTTTCTGTACAACAGAGATTTGAAACCTCCCTGGGATGATGCCCCCAGAGGAAGGGGCAGGCCACCATCTTTGCTGTTTCAGTGACTTGATTGTTCCAGCCTTTGGGATTTGAAGAGTCCTAGCTCACTGGGGACAAAAGCAGTGCCCCAGCACATCTCAGCTGCTGTATGAAAACGTGACCAGACTGCTTTTTAAAGAGGGTCCCCAATCCTGTTTCTCCTCACTGGTTGGGACCTCAAAACTGGACTCTCCAGCTACCTCCTACCAGTGTGTTCAGGCCAGCAACAGGTTTGTACCTCAATGGGACAGATCTCCCAGAGTGAGGAGAGGACCGCCATCTTTGCTATTTTGCAGACTTCACTGTTGATACCTCCAGATACTGGAAAATATGAGGTAACTAGGGACTGGAGCAGGCCCTCCACATACCATAGCAGTCTTACAGAATAGTGGCCAGACTCTTTTTTTTTTTGAGACGGAGTCTCGCTCTGTCGCCCAGGCTGGACTGTGGACTGCAGTGGCGCAATCTCAGCTCACTGCAAGCTCCGCTTCCTGGGTTCACGCCATTCTCCTGCCTCAGAATAGTGGCCAGACTCTTATGTGGGTGCTTGTTTCCATATCTCCTCACCAAGCACATCTTCCAGGCCTGGGCCTCCAGCCACTCCCCACCAGAGCTATCAAGCCAGTAGCAGCTCTGCAACTCCTTGGACAGAGCCCCCAGGTGCAACTGAAAGCCTCTCTGCCACTGCATCTGCAGTGGAATTTCCCTTGCTATCCTTGGACTAACAAAGGAACAAAGACCTTAAGTGCCTTATTCATACCTCCAACAAGCTACAGTCAACCCAAGTGGAGGAGGCCAGTGTCTCTCCCATGGGTCCTCCTGCATCCCCCCACCCCCTGCCAACACTCATCACCAGACAGGGAAACTCCAGCTTTGGCCCACAGCACAGACCCTCCATCCTCCATCCTGGGCTGATTGCACTGAGTGATCTCTTTGGGGTGGAGCCCCCAGGAGACAAACAAAAGACCCTTGGCCACAACCACTACTAAGGTCCCTTCCTCTGATGCCTCCAAGTTGGGGGAAGGAACATAAACACTGAGATCACCCCAGAGCTGCAGTGGGAGTCCAGGAGTGCCATGCCATGATCTACAGCCAGCACTCAAGGGAAAGAGGAACCCACAATTTCAGAGCATTGAGGGGGAACATGGCTAAAACTTTGAGGAAACATAGAGGAGTCACACAACCGAGAAGGTCTACCAAATGACCAGTATATCTAATACCATGTACTGGATCACATCCCAAAACTTCAACACCAAAAATACCTCACTAACATGCCCCCTCCTTGAAACCAAAAGTAGGAAGTCAGCTTCAAATAAAGACCCTGCACAGAGCATCAGCCCTGTTAAAACATCCAGAAAAGAGCTTTATTGACTGTAGTCAATCTACACTGCAGTTAAAGAAACACCCACACAAAGACATGAGAAAGAACCAACACAAGAACTCCAGTCACTCAAATGGCCAGAAGGTCATAGGTCCTCCAAATGACTACACCAGTTCTCCAACAAGAGGTCTTAACCAAGCTGAGCTGCGTGAAATGACAGAAATATAATTCAGAATATGGATAAGAAAGATCATTGAGATTCAGGAGAATGACAAAACCCAATCCAAGGAAACTAAGAACCATAATAAAATGATGCAGGAGCTCAAGGACAAAATAACCAGTATAAAAAAGAACCTAACAGATCTGACAGAGCTGAATAACACAATACCAAAATTTCAAGATGCAGTCATGAGTATTAACAGCAGAACAAACCAAGCTGTGGAAAGAATCTCAGAATTTGAAGACTGGCTCTCTGAAATAAGACAGTCAGACAAAAATAAAGAAAAAGGAATGAACAAAACCTCCATGAGGCATGGGATTGTGTAAAGAGGCCAAGTCTATGAATCACTGGCATCCCTGAAAGGCAGTGGGAGAAAACAAACAACTTGGAGAACATTTCAGGACATCATCAATAAAAACTTCCCCAACTTTGCTGCAGAGCCAAGAATCAAATTCAGGAAATACAAACAACTTCTGCAAGATTCTACACAAGAAGATCATCCCCAAGACACACAATCATCAGATTTTCCAAGGTCAAAAAGAAAGAAAGAATATTAAAAGGAACTGGAGAGAAAGGGCAGGTCACCTACAAAGGGAACCCCATCAGGCTAACAGTGGACCTCTCCACTGAAACCCTACATGGGAGAAGAGACTGGGGGCCTATATTCAACATTCTTTAAGAAAAAATTCTTCAACCAAGAATTTCATATTCTGTCAAACTAAGCTTCCTAAAAAAATGAGAAATGAAATCCTTTTCAGATAAGCAAATGTTGAGGGCATTCATTATGACCAAACCTGCCTTACAGGAGCTCTTGAAAGGAGCACTAAATATAGAAAGGAAAGACCACTACCAGCTAATACAAAAACACACTTAAATACACAGATTAGTGACACTATAAAGCAACTACACAAAAAGCACAATAACGAGCTAACAACATGATAAAAGGATCAAATCCACACATATCAATACTAACCTTGAATGTAAATCAGCTAAATGGCGCAGTTAAAAGGCACAGAGTAGCAAGCTGGAAAAAAAGCAAGACCTAATGTTATGCTGTCTTCAAGAGACTCATCTCACTTGTAATGACACCCATAGGCACAAAATAAAGGGATGAAGGAAAATTTACCAAACAAATGGAAAACAGAAAAAATCAGAGGTTGCAGTCCTAATTTCAGACAAAATAGACTTTAAACCAACAAAGGTTAAAAAAGACAAAGAAGGGTATAAAATAATGGTAAAGTGTTCAATTCAATAAGAAGACCTAACTATTCTAAATATATATGTACCCAACACAGAGGCACCACGATTCATAAAGCAAGTTCTTAGAGACCTACAAAGAGACGTAGACTCCCACACAATAATAGTAGGAAACCTCAACACCCCACTGACAATATTAGGTAGATCACTGAGGCAGAAAATTAACAAAGATAATCAGAACCTTAACTCAACATTTGACCAAATGGATCTGATTGACCTCTACAGAACTCTCCATCCAAAACCAACAGAATATATATTCTGCTCATTGTCATATGGCACATACTCTAAAATCAGCCATATTATTGGACATAAAACAATCCTCAGCAAATGAAAAAGAACGAAAATTATATCAAACACACTCTTGGACGACAACATAATAAAAATAGAAGTCAAGACTAAGAAAATCACTCAAAACCATGCAATTACATAGAAATTAAACAACCTGCTTCTGAATGACTTTTCAGTAAATATTGAAATTAAGGCAGAAATCAAAAAGTTCCTTGAAACTATGAAAACAGAAATACAACACACTGGAATCTCTGGGATACAGCTAAGGCAGTGTTAAGAGGAAAATTCATAGTGTTTAATGACCACACCAAAAAGTTAGAAAGATCTCAAATTAACAATCTAATATCACAACAGAAAGAATTAGAGAAGCAAGAACAGAGCAACCCCAAAGCTAGCAGAAGACAAGAAATAATCCAGAACCAGAGATGAACTGAAGGGAATCAAGATATGAAAAACCATTCAAAAGGCCAAAGAATCCAGGAATTTTTTTTGAAAAAATTAGTAAGATAGGATGCTAGCTAGACTAATAAAGAAGAAGAGAGAGAAGATTCAAATACAGAGAACTAGAAATGATAAAGGGAAAGTTATCACTGACCCCAGAGAAATAAAAATAACCATCAGAAAGTTACTATGAACACCTCTATGCACACAAACTAGAAAACCTAGAAGAGGCAGATAAATTCTGGACATATACATCCCCCAAGACTAAACTAGGAAGAAATTGATTCCCTGAATAAACTAATAATGAACTATGGAGACAATAATAAATGGTCTACCAATTAAAAAAAACCCAAGACCTGATGGATTCATAGCCAAATTCTACCAGATGTACAAAGAAGAGCTGATACCATTCCTACTGAAACTATTAAAAAAATGAGAGGGGACTCCTCCTCAATCTATTCTATAAGGCCAGCACCACGCTGATACCAAAACCTGGCAAAGACACGACAAAAAGAGAAAACTTCAGGCCGATATTCTTGATGAATATCAATGCAAAAATTCCCAATGAAATATTTGCAAACTGAATCCAGCAGCACATAAAAAAAGCTAATATACCATGATCAGGAGGCTTTATCCCTGGGATGCAAGCTTGATTCAACATGACAGCAAATCAATAGTGATTTATCACAAAAACAGAATTAAAGACAAAAACCACATGATTATCTCAATAGAAGCAGAAAAAGACTTCGATAAAACTCAACAGCCATTCATGTTAAAAACTACAAATCAAAGGAACATACCCAAAATAATGAGCCATTTATGAGAAACCCAAAGCTAACATCATACTGAATGAGCAAATGCTGGAAGCATTCCCCTTATAAATTGGCACAAGGTGAGGAGGCTCTCTCTCACCACTCCTATTCAATACAGTATTATAAAGTCCTAGCCAGAGCAATCAGGCAAGAGAAAGAAAGAAAGGGCATCCAAATAGGAAGAGAGGAACTTGAACTATTCCCATTTTGTGGACAATATGATTCTATATCTAGAAAACCCCATAGTCTTGGCCCAAAAGCTCCTTCAGCTGATAAACAACTTCAGCAAAATTTTAGGTCACAAAATTAATGTACAAAAATCACCAGTGTTTCTACACACCAAGAATGGCCAAGTTGAGAACCTAATCAGGAAGACAATTCCATTTACAATAGCCACAAAAAGAATAAAATACCTAGGAATACAGCTAACCAGGGAGGTGAAAGATCTCAACAATGAGAATTACAAAACACTGCTCAAAGAAATCAGAGAAGACATGAAGAAATGGAAAAATATCCCACTTTCATGGATAGGAAGAATCAATATCAGTAAAATGGACACACTGCCCGATTTACAGATCCAATGCTATTCCTTTCAGACTACCAATGACATTCTTCACAGAACTAGAAAAACTATTTTAAAATGTATATGGAACCAAAAAAGAGCCCAAATAGCCAAGGCAATTCTAAGCAAAAAGAAAAAAGCAAAAAAGCTGGAGGCATCATGTTACCTGACTTCAAACTACATCACAGGGCTACAGTAACCAAAACAGCATGATACTGGTACAAAAACAGGCACATAGACAAACAGAACAGAATAGAGAGCTCAGAAATAAGGCTACACACCTCTGAGCACCTGCTCTTCACAAAGCTGACAAAAACAAGCAATGGGGAAAGGACTCCCTATTCAATAAATAGTGCTGGGATAACTGGTTAGCCATATGCAGACGATTGAAAATGGACCCCTTCCTTACATTATATACAAAAATTAACTCAGGATAGATTAAAGACTTACATGTGAAACCCAATACTAGAAGACAACTTGGGCAATACCATTCAGGATACAGGCACAGGCAAAGACTTCATGATGAAGACACACACAAAAAAATTACAACAAAGGCAAAAATTGACAAATGGGGTCTAATTAAACTAAAGAACTTCTGCACAGCAAGCAAAATAAACTACCAACAGAATAGACAACCTACAGAAGGGGAGAAAATATATGCAAACTATGTATCTGAGAAAGCTCTAATATCCAGAATCTATAAGGACCTTAAACAGATTTACAAGAAAAAAAACAAACAATCCCGTTAAAAAGTGGCCAAAGAACATGAACAGACACTTTTCAAAAGAAGACATACCTGTGGCCAACAAGCATATGAAAAAAGCCCAGTATCACTGATCATTAGAGAAATGCAAATCAAAATCACAGTGAGATACCATCTCACACATAATGGCTATTTTTGAAAAGTCAAAACAGATGCTGGCAAGGTTGCAGAGAAAAGGGAACACTTATACACTGTTGGAGGGAGTGTGAATTACTTCAACCATTGTGGAAAGCAGTACAGTGATTCCTCAAAGAGCTAAAAGCATAACTACCATTCAGCCAGGCAATTTCATTACTGGGTATATACTGAGAGGAATATAAATCATTCTACCATAAAGACACATGCACACAAATGTTCATTGCAGCACTATTCATAATAGCAAAAACATGGAATCAATCTAAATGCCCATCAATGAGAGATTGGATAAAGAAAGTGTGGTACGTATACACCATGGAATACTATGCTGCCATAAAAAAGAACAATATTATGTCTTTTGTGGGAATATGGATGAAGCCGAAGGCTATTATCCTTAGCAAGCTAATGTAGGAACAGAAAATCAAATACCACACGTTCTCACTTATATATGGGAGCTAAATGATGAGAACTCATGAACACAAAGAAATGAACAACAGACATGGGGTCTACTTGAGGGTGGAGGGTGGGAGGAGGGAGAGGAGCAGAAAAGATAACTATTGAATATCGGGCTTAATACCAGGGTGATGAAATAATCTCTACAACAAACCCCTGTGACATGAGTTCACCTATATAGCAAACCTTAACATGTACCCTTGAACCTAAAATGAAAGTTGAAAAAAAACCCACAAATTTTTAAAAGTTAAAATTATATCAAATATCTTTTCTGACCACAATGGAATAAAACTAGAAATCAATAACAGAAGGAACATTAGAAACTGTACAAATCTGTGGAAGTTAAACAACATACTCCTGACAACAAATGAGTCAATGAAGAAATTAAGAAGGCAATTAAAAAATTTATTGAGACAGATAGAAATGAAAGTAAAACGTAGCAAAACCGATTGGATACAACAAAGGACTTCTAAAAGGGAAGTTTATGGCAATAAATACCTAAAACATCAGAGTAGTAGAAAGACTTCAAATAAACAACATAATGATACACCTCAAGTAACTGGAAAAGGAAGAAAACACCAAACCCCAAATTAGTAAAAGGAAATAAATAATAAGTATTAAAGTAGAAATAAATGAAGTTGAAACTAAGAATAATACAAAAGATCAACAAGACAAAAATTTTGTTTTTTTTTTTGAAAAACAAAGTTAACAAACCTTTAGCCAGACTAAGAAAAAAAGACACAAATAAATAAAATCAGAGATGAAAAAGGAGACATTACAATGAAAACCAGAGGTGAAAAAAGGAGACATTACAATGAATTCAAAGGATCATTAGACTATTATGAACACTTGTACACCAACAAATTGGAAAACCCTTTTGCTATGTGATGTGCCTACTCCTGCTTCACTTCTGACATGAGTAAAAGCTTCTTGTGGCCTCCCTAGAAGCAGATGCTGCTATGCTTCCTGAATAGCCTGCAGATACATGAGCCAATCAAACCTCTTTTTTTAATAAATTACCCCGTCTCAGGTATGTCTTTACAGCAATGCAAGTTCAGCCAAATACAGCCAATAGCAAACAATCTGAAGAACATAACAAGAAAGCAGTTTGGCATGGTGGCTTATGCTTATAATCCCAGGACTTTGGGAGGCCAAGGAAAGGGGATCACTTGAGGCCAGGAGTTTAAGACCAGCCTGGACAACATAGTGAGATGCTTTCTCTACAAAAAATACAAAAATTAACTGAGCATGGTGACATTGCCTGTAGCGCCAGCTACTCAAGAGAGCGAGGCAGGAAGATGGCTTGAGCCCAGAAGTTCAAAGCCACAATGAGCTATGATCACACAACTGGACTCTAGCCTGGGCAACAGAGCAAGACCCTGTCAAAAACAAACAAACAAACAAAAACAGAAAAGAAATCAAAAAAGCAATCCCATTTAAAATACCTACAAAGAAAAGAAAATATCAAGGAATCAATTTAACCAAAAGGGTAACATAACTCTACAAGGAAAACTATAAAAAAGCTGATGACAAAAATTGAAGAGACTCAAAAAAAAAGAAAGAGAAAAAAAGTTCCATACTACCTAAAGCAATCTACAGATTCAATTCCTGTGAAAATACCAATGACATTCTTCACCAAAATAGAAATAACAATTCTAAAATTTGTATAGAACCACGGAAGACCCTGAATAGCTCAATCTTCAGCTAAAAGAATAAAGCTGGAATCATCACACTACCTAACTTCAGAATATACTACAAAGCTACAGTAACAAAAGCAGCATGGTAGTAGCATAAAAACAGACACATACAACAATGGAACAGAATAAATAACCCAGAAATAAATCCACACATTTATAGCCCACTTATTTTTGACAAATGCATCAAGAACATACATTAGGGAAAGGAGAGTCTCTTCAATAAATGGTGTTGGGTGAACTGGATATTACTCAGATTTGATCATTATGCATTGTATGCTTGAATGAAAATACCACATGTGCCCTATAAATATGTGCAATTATTTATGTATCAATAAAAAACAAAGAGTATTTTAAAAATACATCTGGGTGCCAAAATTCATAACAAAAAGTTATGATTCTGTATATAAGCATGATGTTCATTATTTTAGTATTTCTGCACAAAGGACTTTTCTAACTTGTTGCAAGCTTTCATTAGGAGTAGAATTATAGCCATTGTATTTATTTTTCTTGTTTTGTTTTTATGGCTAGGCACATGATTTAGGGAAAATTTACTTGGAGAAATCACATATCTGTTACATATGCTACATGAAATAGGGAGGACCGAATTCTTTCATCAGAGTACAGAAATTGATTAGACATATACATCCCTACCTCATAGGAGAGGAAAGCTTTATTTGGTGTATCCTGAGACTATTCAAGTATGGAGCTTCTGGAGCGAAGGATTCATTGTACTTCTCAGTTACTAGATGAAGATTCTCATATTGACACTGCACATCTTCATGCAACTCTTTGGGCTGCTGGAATGCTCAGAAGTAAATTTAGATTTTACTTCTATTGAGCATTTTTATAAACTCTTCATATTATAATTTTTAGCCTTATTTTTCATTAAACTCAATTTCTTTTGACTATATCACTTGGGCGCTCTTGCCAATCTTGAGTTCTGCCAGTGGGAGACTACAGAACATTAAACTGGTGGAAGGAAAAATGGAACATTTTCCCTGCTCCTTACCCACTTGGGCCTGCATTTATGCTGGTGCCAGCATCCATCCACATTTGTACCTCCTGTTGAGAGGGAGGCCCTTCCCCCACAACTCTAGCTTTCACTAGATTCTGATAGCCCTACTCGCTCTTGCTCCTTCAGGTCTGGGAGTGGTGCTGGCTTTCTGCTCTTGCCAGTGTCTGAGTGCAATATCCCTTATTGGTTTCCCTTATTGATTAGGGAATAACCAATATGTGAAAACCAATTGGTCCTGGCTTCCTGCTCTTGCCAGTGAGTGCAGTATCCCTTATTGGTTTCCTCGGCCCTCTGCACACATGGGAGGAGTAGCGGGGTAGTCTTTTAATTAATATTTTTTGAATTATCAGAGTTGGACTCAGTTTCCTATTAGGTACCTGACTGATACCCACCCCTTCCTCAAAGACATTTTACTGCCCTCTATTGAAACCTTTCATAAGCAATTGTATACATGTATCTCCAGTGTGAACTGTGCCACTTAGATGTGGGTTGGAGTAAACAATCCAAAGCACAGCAAAATGAGAGGGACAGAAGTTTTAACTTAATAAGGGGAATCCATCCTCCATACCTCTATAAAGGAACACCAAAGCCTCTCCACTTAGTCTCAGAGTGTCACCTGCGTATGCTTCCTCATTCTCAAAGTTTCTCTCTTCAGTCCTTTCTCTCGTCCTCACTCAGCAGCTTCTTTCAGTTTTTCTCATTGAGTATTTTGTCTCTCCCTTGGGAAACTCCACCCTTCACCAAGTAGAGTTGTCCAAGCCACAGTCCTTTCGTGTGTCTGGTAAGTTCCACCTCAGATTTAGCAGGAAAGAAATGTTAGGGGTTTTTCTTCTCCAAAGAATATGCTGACTCTGAAGAGAGGAGAGTTGAGTTCTGATCCAACAAGCATGGGGTTGGAGTTCCAGATAGAGGTGGACAGTGAATGCCTTTATTCTAGCTTGGGTTTCCACAAGGTATATGGCTGTGATCAGTTGTTTCTCAATTAGACAAGGGTATCATCGTGAAGAAAATTAATTTTTTCTGGAGACGACATTGTATATTCTCACCCAGTGATTATATTTCTTCTATTAACAGTATTTTAACCCTATTCCTTGCATACACACACACACAACCAAGTATTGTTGTATTAAGCTAGCATTATTTTCTTAGGTTTTCATGATATAGAAACCTACCTTTAGCGAAGTTGCTGAATAATCTGGGCTGGGTGGTGCCATGTTCAAATAGTTTTTCCTGATTGCCAATCTCAGATACCCACCTTATAATGCAATCACAGATTGTGCTAATTCAGTGTAAAATACTCTTAAAGTACCTTGATGCATGTGTCGATTAAGTTAATGGTTCTCAGCTGGGACCAATTTTACTTCACAGGTGATGCTGGCGATTGAAAACATTTTGGAATGTAACTGAGGGGAAGAGGTTATTACTAGAGGACAGAGGCCAGGAATGGTCCTAAACATCCTACAACGCACAGGACAGGCTCACATAACAAAGAATTATCCAGTTCAAAACTCCCCTCAGGGAGCTTTCATCCGTGTTTTGATTAGGGAGGTAAAATCACTAAGACTTACTTTTGGACATGTCCTTATGGGATTGTGCTCTGATTTGAAGCAGAACCACTTCTGTGGATAAAAGGCCAAAGTGTCCTCATTTTCCAAATTTCTCCCTTACAATGACTCACACACACACTCATTCACTCAGAGGAAATCAAGATAAAGAGCAAGAAGCTTCAAAATCTCAGCCTGACAGAGGGTGTGTGATGAAGGTTAGGGTTCAATTTGCTCCCTTCATCTTGGAGACAGGGAGGCAAGTTTGGACAGTACTGGTATTAGAAGGAATTCCTTCCTACTCCTCTCCCTTCTTCACTCATATCTGGCCTCACTGGCAGGGTTTCCAGATAAAATATAGGATGTCCTGCTGTCTTAGCTTAAGCTGCCATAACAAAATACCACGGATTAGGTGGCTTAAACAACACACATTTATTTCTCACAGTTTTGGAGGGTGGGAAGTCCAAAAGGAAGGTATCGGCAGGTTTGGTTCCTGGTGAGGGCTGTCCTTCTGGCTGCCAGGTGCCCACGTTATCACTGTGTCTTCACATGGCCTTTCCTTGGTGCATGGCTGTGGAGAGACCCCTCTCTCTCTCTCCATATAAAGCCACCAATCCCATTAGACTAGGATCCCACCTTTATGTCCTTATTTAATTACCGTCTAAAAGTTCTATCTTCAAAGATAGTTACAGTATGGGTTAGAGCTTCAACATACGAACTTTAGGGAGAACACATTTCAGTCTGTAGCACCAGTTAAATTTGAATTACAGATAAACAACAAATAATTTACTGGGCATACTTATATTAAACATTATTCATTGTTAATCCAACATGTAAAATTTAATTGGAAATCCTGTATTTTTATTGGCTAAATCTGCCAAACCTCTTCCCTGGGCCATTAGCTGGCATTGGCAACACAGACCCTGTTCTAGGATCAAAAACACAGGAGGAATGTGATGGATTCCAGAGTCACATTTCTACAGGATAGGTCTGATTTTGCCTAAAAAACATATCCCCTTCCCTTTGCTTGTCTGTCATTTGGAGAAACTTCTTTACTAACACCAGTGCATGGTTGTTGCAAGTGCAACTGTGCCCTTTCCAGAATGTGAAAAGAATAAATGTTGCCATTTACAATTAGAGTATTAATTTTATTTTTTTCTATGTGATACAGATATTGAATAATTTGGAAAGTAAAGGGGAATTTTTGTTATGGCTTTTATAATTTTCAGCCTCAAATTTAATAACAATATTATTTATTGATGATTAATAAGTCATCATTTTATTACCTCATTTTTAATATAGCATTTTGCTATACTCTGCCATAAATTTTCATATATTATCATTTACCTCAAGGAACTTATTAAAATACTGTCAGTTATTCAATTTTCTACAACTTTCAAAAAAATTATAAAAATACCAAAAGAATGACTCCAGGTCTTTCTCTGTGGTGTGTCTGTGTTTTGGTTATGCTTATATTTTCTCATTCATTAATTGACAAATATTTTTTAATACATATAGTGAACCGGACATTTGATAAGCATAACTAAGACCCTCTTACTGGATTTCTGAACTTCACACTTTGACAAACGTAACACAATTGCTTGGCAGTTTGTATTAGTTGCATGTTGCTATGTAACAAATTAGCTCAAATCTGGAAGCAATAGCGTTTCTATGTCACAGTTTTCTACAGGTCAAGAATCTGGGTACAGCTTATCTGGGTCCTGTGCTCCAGAGCCTCAGAGGTTTCAGAGTTGACGAGGGCTATGGTCTTATGGTGTGAGTGAGAAATGAGCCTTTCTAAGCTTCCTTGTGAGGTTGTGGCAGGATTCAGTTCCTCAAAGGTTGTTGGACTGAGGGCCTCAGTTCCTCACTGGCTGTTGGCCAGAAGCTGCTCTCAGTTTCTCACCACATGGGCCTCACCATATGATAGTTCAGAACATGACTGCTAGTTTCTATTAGAGAAGTCAAGTGACAGGGCCAGAGAGAGAGTGCCAGCATGACCAAAATAATCTTTTGTAACCTAACCATGGAAGTGACATTCTAAGACTTTTGCTATATTTTATTTGTTAGAAGGAAGTCTCTAGGTCCAGCCCTTAGGAGAAATTAATGTTAGGGGCAAAAACTGAAGCCATTTTTAAGATACTACTTTAACTTCTGGCCTTTGTTTTTCAAAAAGTCTAACTCATTGAAGTGATTAATATAAGTTATCTTGAAGGACAGAGGAGAATAGAGGGGAACAATTTTCAAGTTAAGGAGAGAGGGTGGGAAAGATTTCCTCAGGAGTAAAGAGGCTAGAAGTCTGACAGCCTGTTGAGAACAATTGCCCTAGGGATAAATGAGATGAGGGACCAGAGCTGATTCTACCTGGGTGTAAAGGTAATAAATGGACATTTCTTACACACCTGTGTAAATCTGTACACCGAGAATCTTTGTTGTTTTTGATATTTATCAACGTTTATTCACTTTAGGAGTTGACATGTGACTAAGAGGGGACAAAAACCAATGTTTTAAACTAACTGCATAGTCATTTTATGGATATAAATCTTAGTGTGTTTGATTTAAATGGGTTGCTGTAGAATTTGGTAAGACCTTTTAAGTTATGTCAGAGAGAATTTGTTCCAGAGCAATTATGATGCTTGCAGCCAACTTAATATTCATTTTCATAATTATTTTCCAATACATGAAATGCTGTAAAAAGACCAGAACAAATGAATTTTTGCTCATTTAATTTGCTATTTTTAGTGATCAGGATATGGTGTTTATTAGGCTTGTGAAATGAAAATGTTACATGTTCAAATTTGAGATAAAATCTTAGTAAACTGAACAAAAATTATGATATCTCCCATGCTTCATTCTTAATTCTACTGCTCCTTCCGTTTGAAAAAAATTCAAATATTTTAGTCTTACTTGTCGGTTCCTCTGCTTCGGACCTCTTAGCAATTCCTGCATTCCCAATGCTGTGATTCTGGTCAGAGCATGTCTCTTTCTGCTGGTCTTCTGCCGGAGCCTTCCAACAGCTCCCCATGGATGCTCCTCAAACCCATCCTCTACACAGCGAGAGAGTGATCTGAAAACAAATGAACAAACAAAAAAAGTCAGACCACACCCTTCCCTTTGCAAAACCCACCCGAAGCTTCTCATTCAACTTTGAATAAAACACAGACTCTTTAGATATCTTCAACCTGCCTGTTCAATGCCAGCTATACTCCCCCCTCACTCTACTCCACTTTTGTTCTGGCCCTCATACTTACAAAACTCTAGAGCCTAATTCAGGTGAGTCAAGCATACCAAATCCCAGCACTTTGGGAGGCCGAGGTGGGCGGATCACCTGAGGTCAGGATTTCGAGACCAGCCTGGCCAACATGGTGAAACCCCGTCTCTACTAAAAATACAAAAATTAGCTAGGTATGCTGGCAGGCGCCTGTAATCCCGGCTACTCGAGAGGCTGAAGCAGGAGAATCACTTGAGCCTAGGAGGTGGAGGATGCAGTAAGCCTAGATCATGCCACGGCACTCCAGCCTGGGAGACAGAGAGAGACTCCATCTCAAAGCAAACAAACAAACAAAGAACCACACACACAAATAACAAAAAGCAAATCTGCTTGAGGTAATCAAAGTGCTCATAATGATTACTTTCCATAGATTAGCTGTTACCTGGATGGAGTCAGATTCTGTCTCATGTGTTTGATTCTAGTTTCTTCTGTCAAATGACTGATGATAATCGAGGACTTCCTGTGGCAAGCAAATTAAAATAACTTTCTCTGCCATTACTCTCCAAAGCGTGTGAAGATGACCTGTTTAGCTGTTCAGTTGGTCTTTTGCTCAGAGTTCAAAGCCTCCTATTTCTTTATTTGATAAAGTTTAGCAGTAATATCTGTGGGTCAGAAATTTCATGCTATTTAGAGACTGGGCAGTGGATATGTGAGCCTGAGGCAAGTTTATTTGTTATTAATTTCTCTCTCCTTCAGCTCACCAGTCCTCATGAGCAGACATGCCCTACTTATCAATATGACCTATGCATTAACAACTTTGGAAGACCCCGGTTGGCTATATCCTTTGAAAGGAGATGCATTTTCTTGATTAAACAATATACCATTACAATGGGTAAGCTTGAAAGAGATGGAGAAAATGGAGTTACTAATCATTCTTCATGCTCTTCAGGAAATGCAATTTCTATTTCAGTAAAGCAAATAATTTCTCTTTGGTAAGAAAAAAAAAAAAAGAACTCTAAATGCTCCTCACCTGTGGGTCATACCTGAAAGCCTCAGTCTATCCTATGGGATGCTATGCATTCCTTCTGTATGGCATTCTTTCTTCCAGTTGTTTCTAAGTGGTAGACAGAGTTGAGGCTGAGCTTAGGTCACTTTTCCTGGAGATTTTATGTTATGACTCTTGTAGTTCTCTCAGAGTATACCTGGACTAAAGACTTCAAGTTCTCAAAAGAAAAATAAGACTATGTATCAGCCATAGAAACATATATTAAGAGATGATAAAAGCAAACAAAATGGTATATTAAAAGCTCTTGTCACTTCTTCCAGAGAGCCAAAGAAATGCCTATTAAGCATCAACTGTGTGCTCAGCACTCTATTAGGATGAGCAAATCATTTATTTGGGATTGAACAATGACATATATACTACAATGAAGAACATGAAAAATATACAGCATAATAGAAGGCAAAATCAGAGACTGTAGGAGCCAAAAGGCGGGGAATCAAAAGAACTGAGATGACCAGCAAAGCCTTCAAGAGTCTTCAGTGATGAGAATGATTTGCCTAGGAGCCAAAGCCTTAGTCATTCTCCTTACAAAGCCTATGTGACAGCTTCCCTGTTAATTTTTTCACAGATAACATTCCATCTCCTCAGAAGTGTGTGACCCTTTGGGCCACAGCTGGCTCCTTCCAGAGAGGAGAGGCTTAAGTCCTGATTCCCCTATTTACCTGGGGACTCCAGATGTTTGCAATACAAGGTCAAGTTTATAGAACCACCCAATACCATTTCCGTCTTCAAATATGGGCTCAGGTTTCCTTGGAGGCAACATAATTATTTATCAGCACTCATTTAAAACCTGCTCAGGATGATTACCACAGGACTGATCAGTCTCTTCTGTCCATATACCCCAGCATAGGGGCTGAAGGGCATTCTCTTAACTCCCAACACCACTTGTAAACCTAAGCACTCATGCAAAAATCCTTCCTCTTTGGACTTTCAGGTTTTCCATCTTTTTCTTCTTAATAGCTGTCATCTACAGAACTCCTGGCCACTTTTCCATACTCAGTAATGACTATGGGCTCTGAATCCCTGTCATCGTCTTCATCCCAAACACCACCATCTTTCTTGAAATAAGCACAGGCTTTGAAATGAAAAAGAAGTGGGTTTGAGATTCAGCTCTGCTATGTACCAGTTGTGTGACCATGGGCAAGTTACATAATTTCTCTGATCCTTAGTTTCCTCATACGTAAAACATAAGAATAGTGCTTACTTCAAAAGGCTGTGCAATTACGCGTGTAACTTGCTCACCACAATGCTGAGCCATAGACAGTGATAAATAAATATTGCTTATGAAGATTGCTATGAGTAACAGCACACCCAACACCCTTGTTTATAGTTCATTGATCTTCTCAGCTCTACCATCTCGTCCTATGCAGCCCCACCTTCAGCTTTGGGCTGCACCTTTGCAACCTGAATGTTCCTCCTGCAAAATCTTAAACATCTACATTTTTATGCCACCTTTTTCTATTATTCTAGGCCTCTTATTTCTATGCTCACTTTACACCTGTTCTTCAGTTTTTTTTATCTTCAGTTCCTCTTTGTTCTTCTTTCTCTCGTTTCTCAAAAGTGTACAGACCTCATAATGTTATTTAATTTATAACAGTCTTTGACAACTCTCTTGCTTTTTGGTTTTTCTTCTGCATCTTTCTGATAAAACCTTATTCATAAATCAAACCAGGTGACTTCTTCTTCTGTTTTCATACCCAGTTTCCAGAGAGCTACTAGAAAAAAATGCATTTCAATGAGAATGTGTAAGTTTACAGTTTCCAACCTGGCTCTGGTGAACTCCCTCTGCCAGGCGTCACCTCATCGTCTGTACCTTCAACACTCTCTTGGAGTTCCCTACATATCACCTCTCTCAAAGCTTCCAGCTGAGCTGCTTGACAATTACATCATGAGAGGAACTTTTTAAACTTTCTGCTACTTCCGCTCTCTTAGCCCTTTCCTAGCTCCTCCCGCTCCAATGATATAGTAACACTTGCTCTTACAGTAGAAAGTTCTGTATCCCATCCTTCCCTGTTTCATCGGGGATGTTGTTCCATTGTTTTATCTCAATCCTCTCCTGTTGCTTTACCCTTTTTTTCACTTAATGTGCTCTTTCTCTCAGAATGTAAATGTGTTCAAGATCTTCCCTTCTTCATACACTCACCCTCTTCAGACACTATTGACTAGACTCTGACACATTCTTCCTGGTGTTTCCTCGTATGAATCCCTGCCTCTCTGGCCAGGCTTTCTCAGCTGTTATTGTTTCTTCTTCTTCTCTTCCCATTCCCCTTCCCCTCCCTCCACTTCTCCTTTGTTTTCAGGATTCTATCCTCAATCTCTCCCTGTTGTTAATCTGGATCCTCTCATACAGGGGCGATAGACACAATATTTAACAAGGCAGAGTTGGGTACTGACAAATCAGAATAGATATGGTCAAAAGCAATTCATAGCCATGCCATGGTGTACTGGCTGAGCATTAGCCCTGACTCCATGGAATCAACCTCCCCTGTGGTTTACATCTGTACTGCCATCTCAACTCTCTTTCCGTAAATCAAAGTGAACACACACACAGGAATGTATTATAAGCACCGCAAGTTTAACATTTCTAAAACAGAGCTCTTCTTTTCCTCTCTTCGCTTCTCCAAATGTTTCTTCTCCTGTACTCCCCCTACTGCTACTGATAGGGAACTGGCACCTTACTATATTCTGAGCATTACTGTATCACCACTATGACCTCAGGTCCATTTTCTACTTTTGCTGTGGGAAGACCACAAATCTTAAGCAGTAAATTCCCTGCTAAAAAATGCTATAATAGCTTCCTACTGCTTTTAGAATAAAATCCAAGCCTCTTAGGAAATATAAGGCTCTTCGGGATTTGGCCTGTGCCTCCCTCTTTAACCTGGCCTCTCAGCACTTTCCTTACCACCCTTAATCTTTTGTGCCCTCCACTTTATCCTGGATAGATATCCGCCTCCAAAAGTCATGCTAATGACTTTTGCCATGTACTTTTTACAGCATCTCTCTACTACCTGGCCCACTGTTACCACCACCCACTCACCCTAACTTCTTGGTTAGAATAGCTCCTGCTTTAAAAGCTTCATCAGATATGTCCTTTTAAAAGGAGGACTTATTGAGCTCCCCACTCTCCAGTATGAGTTAAGTACACCCCCCCCGCCCCTGCTCCCATTGCCTCATGACTACCTCTTCCATTACACTTACCAGAAATTTTTGTATCTGACCATTACCTCTCTAGTTCTTCACTGCAATGTGATATCCTTGAAGGCAGAGACTATGAGTCTCAAGCTGAATTAGTGCTTAGCATACAGTAGGAGTCAATGGGAGCTCATGGATTGAAAGGCTGACTGCACCAAGCAGGAAGATCATAGATGATGAACACAAGCACACTGGGTCTGTTCATTGTTGGTATGAGGGTTCTGTTTATCATTTGAAAAAACTCGAAATTAGTGATGCAGATGACACTGCCTGGTCTTTGATCAGTGTTTGGAGGAACTATCAAGATAGACAGAAACTGTCCCTCAGGAGTTTCTGAGCATCTACAACTGATCAGAGGGCTCTGTGAGCACCTGCTGCCTTCCCCTGGGTACCCATGGCGGCTTAATGAATCTTGACTACTGACTGTACCTTTCTCTGTGCTTTACCAAAACAAGTTAATATGCTTTAAGTAAGTTGCATTTGCCACTCTCCTCCTTTCTATATTTTTTCTTTCATAGAGTAAGAAAAGCAGCAAAATGGACATAGGCAACATTCTTCAAATCACTTTGTTTTATATTTTGGAGGCTTTTTCAAATCCTGCCTATTTTTAATTGTTTCAGTAAAGCTAAATAATTTATTTTTTTTAATGTTTCTCTGTTGTCCTGTAATTTTATTATATCCAAAGTGTATTCCAGACACAAATTGTGATTTAGCTTGTGATTCTGGATCCTCAATTGCCTGCATCCACTTAATTTAAAATTCTATGGCAGGATGATACACTTTAATTAGAGGGTCAAACCACCATGTCTCTGGTGCCCTGGGGGCGGTGGTGAACATGTTGGGGGAAGCACAAGTCTGAGTGGTAAAGGAAGAGGTTGTCTTCAGTCCCCAGATCAGGCTGAGTAATTTGGAGCTGATTAACATCACAGTAGTAAAAGACTCTTCCTTCAGAATCATCTTTTAAATTATTGCTCAAATGGTGGTTAAAACATCCCTTCATTTGCCCTTCCCACTCTCATCTTTTATTGCCCACTCAAGAAGATTAACAAAAAGCAGGAAAAATTAATTTCCTAAATTCTTGGAACAAAATAATTTCAAGCCTATTACATTAGATGATTTTATCCTTCTTGTGCAAATACTGTTGATGGTAATCTGATTTTTGCTTATGATTGAAATACAAAGAAATTTTTCTTCTATCACATGATCCTTGCTGGGGTTTCCTGAACCTATCTGTCTCACATCATTATCATTTTATTTTTTTCACAGCTTGGCCTAGTGTTATGTTAAAAATACCCAAATGGCAAGGCAGGTGTTTATTAATTTTGTATTATCATTAAGAAATGGAAGGGAAGTAGGATTTATTGATCACACATGATGTGCTAGACCCAGTGCTATATGCCTTACATAAGCTACTTAATTAAATTCTTATCACAATCTAGTGATGAAGAGATTATTTTCGCTATTTTAGAAGAATATATGGGAGTTCAGAGAGCTTAAGTAATTTGGCCAGTGGAGTACAGAACATAGGAACACCAGGATTTAAATCTGATTATGGTTAATTTCAGAAGTCCATTATTATTCTACTACACAAGGCTATACCCTAGTGTGATTGAAGAGTACCATAAAGTTTAGTATTTAATTTCCCTTTTGCTTCTTATTGATTTTTCTTTTAAAAAATTTTATTGTGTTCCTAATGGATTCTCTATGTTTCCTGCAAACTGCTGTGGATGGTACTGTTGTGTGTGCGTGTACATACATGGATATCCATTAGAAGTCAGAGATAGTTTTGTTTATGTGTTAAGATATTTAGCCAATAGCATTTTCTAATGAGAATTTTTCCCTTTTCTACACCCCCAATTTGGGAGTTTTATAAAATAGCCTATAATCTACAAAATCAAAATGTGCAACCAATGACTTATCTGTACAAATTTTGGAGCAGTTTGTGTGGTCAAAATTCTTTTGCTCTTCTTTATCTGCCTCCACCTCCTTCCAACTTACTTTCTTCCACTCCTGGTGTTCCCTTCCAATTTGCTCTCAGTTCATACTGATTCCTAACAGCTGACCCCACCCATTTTTCTCCTCCTCTTTTCCTGGGCCAGTTTATGTCCCTTCCAGGAAACCTTCCTCTATCTCCTTCCCTCTCTGATATCTTTTAGTCAGGACCACACAGCTGAAACAGTGAGTCAAAGGTTAAGTGATTGTTAGCGATCGTTGTACAACTAAATTAAAAGAACAAGGACACTGGTTTATGGAGTTGTGTGGGTTTTTTTTGTTTGTTTGTTTTGAGACAGGGTTTCACTCCTGTCATCCAGGCTGGAGTGCAGTGGTGACTTCACAGCTCACTATAGTCTTGTCCTTCAGGGCTCAAGTGATCCTCCCACCTCAGCCTCTTGAGTAGCTTGGGTTACAGGCATGTGCCACCATGCTCAGCCAATATTATTTTTTTTTTTTTGAGATGGAGTTTTGCTCTTGTTGCCCAGGCTGGAGTGCAATGGTGCAATCTCAGCTCACCACAACCTCTGCCTCCCGGGTTCAAGCTATTCTCCTGCCTCAGCCTCCCAAGTAGCTGGGATTACAGGCATGTGCCACCACACCCAGCTAATTTTGTATTTTTAGTAGAGACGGTGTTTCTCCATGTTGGCCAGGCTGGTCTCAAACTCCTGACCTCAGGTGATCCACCCACCTTGGCCTCTCAAAGTGCTGGGATTATAGGCGTGAGCCACTGCACCCGGCCACCCAGCCAATTTTTAATATTTTTGATAGAGATGGGGTTTTGCCATGTGGCCTAGGCTGGTCTCAAACACCTGGGCTCAAGTGATCTGTCTGCCTTGGCCTCCCCACACCTGGCCATGAAGTTATTTCTTTTTAAAACTCATCCACGGTGGTTGGACAATGCTGGCATATGGTGGCTCCTCAATGAATATTTCCAGGTCATTGGCCCAGGCTTCCTATAAGGTTACACAAACATGGGGGCTATACAAAATGGTGTATTTTAACTGTTGTTGGTTTCTACGTCATATACTTTGAAAGTAACTGACCCAGGGTATAGGGTGAGGCCTACCATCTGCCAGGCACGTCTAGAGTAGGGGTCTTTGGTGAGGAAAGGATCCTTAGAAAAAGGGACAGTTTAGCATTATTTAGTGTCAAGTTAGCTAATGATGTGATAGAGATCACAGGCAGGGTCTCACTTTACTCCACAGTCTTTGCAACCTTATTGTCCTTCTGTCTTAACACTCCTGCCTTGACCTCCTTACATTTGCTTTGTGCCATCCACCCCAATCCCAATGTCTTTCTCCATTTTCTTGCTGAAACTCTTTAAGGCCTGTGCATACTTTCAGAACACCCCGTATTTCTGCTAGCAAAGCACTTATAACCATTTAAATTATGTGTGTGGCTGGAGAGTATGTCAGAGCCTCCCTGGGAGACTATTATATGCTCACTGCTTCAGAGAAAAGCTATGGAGGGCAAAAAGCAAAGGTTTCTTGTCTTTTATCTTCCAAATTTTTAATCTATGGGGGCAGGAAAGAAAAGACTTACTGGTTTAACTAACATTTTTGGAGGGACAAGGCCTTGTCCCTTTTGGCAGAGTCTGCTATTGTGCTCAGCAAAACCTGTTTCTTTTTTGTCTTGGACACAGAGCTAGATGACACTTTCTGGACTCCCTTGTAGTCATATAAGGTCCTCATCAAGTCTGAACCATGGAATACTGACAGAGGTGATGTGTGCCTCCTCCATACCTGGACTATAAAAACTCCCGAGCAGGCCTTCCCTCCTCATCTTTCCTCCTTTGCTGGCTGCATGGCATGAACTCTAAGGACTTAGAAGATAGTGGAATCACGAAGTGAAAAGAAAATGGGTCCCTGAATCACCACGAGGGAGGTTTCCTGCTGAATACTTCCAGTGAACTGTTTAATAAGGGCATGGGGGATGTAGCAGAGAGACCTGATAAAGATTTGTGGAATCTGAGAATAGATGTGGAACTCCAGTTTGGTAGCAGAATTTTACCAAAGGAAGAAGAGGTGTGTAGTGAATCTAGGGCCCACCACACAGCAGAATCATTTCTACCTCCATAAGCACAACACAGACACAGTATCCAGAAATGCTGGACCCACGTAGATGGGTCAGGGCCATTTCTCAGAGATGACCTCAGAAACTGATATCAAGCATTATATGTAATGCTGAATGTCTCAGAGTGGGTACATAGTCTCAATTGGCTTCAAGGGACAGGGCTGCCCTTCCTCATCTCTCCCCACCCACTCCTCAACGCTTTCTAAGACCTACCTCCAAAATTATATGGAACTCATGGAAAGAGAAGTCTCTAGTGATCTGAGATAGGGTTTCTGCTACTCTAGTAGAATGGGAGCTTAAAATAGAAAGTAGGATGAATTATAGAAAAATTCAGAAATGTATACATTTTTCACCACTGAGTATGAGGACTGAAATTTATCTTTTCTCTCCTCGTTTGCTTGTCTGTCTTTCCTGCTGTACTGTGAACTCCATGAGACAGCGTGTACCCAGTTCACCAGGATGTCCCCAGGTCCTAGCACATGGCAGGCACCTAATGACTATTTATAAATGTGTTAACAAATGAGCAGACTGTGGGTGAGAGAGTGGTTCCATTTCCATCTATCAGTAGTGGTTGTAGAAAATAACTTCACATCAATAACAGCGGAGAACCAAGTTGGGAGAGCCTTCTGTTGGGGATTTTGTTCTTTTCTTCTAATGGCCAAAAAGCTAAATGTCACTGAATCTATCTCCCGGAAGACAGCATCGGCTACTGGGTCTTAAAATAAAAATTACCAATGACAGAATACTGTCACCTTTGTGAAAGACTTCCTTTCATCCATGTTTAACTCTTTAGGGTACTAAGCTTGGAAGACAATAAGCAGATGTGTGGTGGCAGCCTTCCTCTGCAGTATTTGTTTTCATGAAAAACAAGCTTATACATTTTACATGCTGTGTCTCCACACTTTGATTTCAACCATAATGAGCACGAGCAAGTATTAATAGCATTTTTATATAAGATGGAAATGCTACACTTGTTAATGACTTGAGAGTGGTTATTCTGATGTACTATGAAAGATAATTTTATTCCTGGTTTTTCATTTTACATGATAATTATCATAATCACATATCAAAAATAATTATATATCATATAATTATTATCATATCAAAAATAATTATCAATATTTTTCTGGTGGGGACTGTTTATTGAGTGCTTACTTAGAGTATCTGTTGTTTTTAAATTATTATTATTATTTTTTAAAGAGACAGACTTTCCCCCTCTCACCCTGGCTGGAGTGCAGTGGCCCCATCATAGCTCGCTGCAGCCTTGAACTCTTGGGCTCAAGTGATCTTCCCGCCTTTGCCTCTCAGAACACTGAGATTATAGGCATGAGCCACTGTGCCTGGTCTTAATTACTTTTGGTTTTGAACCTATCCTTAGAGAAGAAGGAGGTGTTATTTCCCTTGTCCCTCTTGGGATCACATCTTGACAGGTGTATGGGGGCAGCAGAAACTCCTAAAGTGATCTAGAGAGATCAGAGTATCACAGGCTAGTGCCTCTCCTGAGCAAAGGCTGGGGAGATGCCAAGACCAAGAGAAGCTCTGAATTCAGAATAAGAGTGGGTTGAATTGTTGTTCTTAAAGAATATGTCCACCTGGAACCTCAGAATATGACCTTACTTGGAATAAGGGTCTTTACAGAAGTAATTAAGGTACGAATCTTGGGATGAGATCATGCTGGATTCGGTTGAACACCAAATCTAATGACAAGAGTCCTTATAAAAGATAGAAGGAGAGAGATACAGAGAGAAGGCCATGTGAAGATGGAAGCAGAAATTGGAGTTCTGCAGCCCTGAGCCAAAAAAAAAAAAAAAAGCCAAAGGTTGTTGGTAGCCACTCGAAGCTTGGAGAGAGGCATGGAACAGATTCTCCTTCAGAGCCTGCAGAAGGAACCAACTTTGCCAACACTTTGATTTAAGATTTCTGGCCTCCAGGACTGTAAGAGAAGAAATTGCTGCTGTTTTAAGTGATCTAGTTTGTGATGATTTGTTATAGTAGCCCTAAGAAACTACTATAAGAATGGAGCCAACAAGAGCTGCAGTGGCTAGGCAAGGGGACCTACGGGCAGCCTCACAGAGTCTCATCCTGCACACTGCACAGAAAGCAGCGAGGCTTCCCAGCCCAAGGGTTACAGAGAGCGAGAGTGGCCTGGAAGAGGCTTTAGGCCAGGACAAGAGAGGATCAGAGCATGAACACAATGGGCCTGGGACAATGGCTTGGTGTCAGTGTTCTCAGTGACAGATGCCAGCATGATGCAAGAGCAGTTCAGCCACTCCTCAGGGAAACTGGGAAGGGCCCCAGTATAGCAGGCTGCCAGGAGGGATGAGGAACATCATGGAGGAAATCATGAGGCCCTTCGTGTATAGCATATAGCCCACGGACCTCTCTGCCCACTGACAAGTTATGGCATGAGCTGCCTCTAATGTTTTGTTACTCAGGAAGAAAAGAAAAGATTGGGAGAGGGAAGAAAGCCTGAAAATCAAATATTTACCAAAAGAGGCCAGGTACTTCCCTGAAACTATTTTACACTGGAAGGGAAAGTTACTTTTAACTGGCATGTTTAACTTAACTCCAGTATTAGCCAAATAGGAGGCTCGAGGAAAAAGTGAAGTATAGAAAATATTCTATGTTTTTGTACATCGGAGTTGTTTGTGCAAATTCAAGAGTTCTATACTTCATCTCCATCTTTTGTGATATGAGATGTTTCTCAGGCGACTCTTCTGCCTTTCATGACAAGATTCCCTGGTGGTTCCAACCACCTTCCCCCAAGTCTTCCAGATGGCTCAAATATAGTGAAAGCCTAGAGGGAACCCACTGTAAACTCCAGATGAGACTTTGTGTAATGCATAAGATTGCTCAAAAGGGATGAGTTTCTTTTTTTCTTTCCTCTTTCCAAATTTATTTTATCATGAAAACTTTAAAATATGCAAAATAGTTGAGAAAACAGTTAAATAAATATTCTTATACTCCTCACTTAGATCCAACAATAAATTTTGGATTGCTAACATTTTGCTATTATCTCAGTCTCTCTCTGTATCCATCCATTGCTAGATATAACTATTTCTCTGTATAGATAGGTAGATGACAGATAGACAGATACTCTTTAAATGACAGGCAATAAGGAACATATGTTTAAAGTGCAGAATTTTATGACATTTGCCATATGTATGCACCCAAGAAACCATCACTAGAATCAAGTAATAAATATAACCATAAGCTTCACCCGAAAATTTCCTTCTGCCCCTTATACCTTCCTCCTCGGCTCCTCTCCCTTCTCACCATTCATCCCAAGACAACCTCAGATCTGCTTCCTGTCACTATAGATTAATTTGCACTTTCTAGATTTTTATATGAATGGATTCATACAGTACATACTGTTTTTTTAGGGGTGGCTTCTTTCACTTAGCATAATTATTTTGAGATGCATCCAGGTTGTTGCATGTGTTAATAGTTTATTTCTTTTATTGCTGAATTGTTTACTATTGTGTGTAAACTGTAATTTATTTATCCATTCACCTGTTGATGGAAATTTTGGTTGTTTCCAACAAGCCAACCTACTGTGAACATTTCTATACATGTCTTTGCGTGGACATGTTTTCATCTCTTTTGGGTACATATCTGTGAGTGGAATGGCTGGGTCATCATACCATGTATGTAAGTGTAACATTTTAGGAAACTGCCAAACTGTTTTCTAAAATGGTTATACCAAGTTATATTTACACCAGTAATGTATGAGAGTTCCAGCTGTTTCAAATTCTTGCTAACACTTGTATTCAACATTTATAATTTTAACCATGCTTATAGGTGTGTAGGGAATTCTCCTTATGGTTTTAATCTGCATTTCCTTAATGCCTAATGACATTGAGCATTTTTGTGTGTGCTTACTTACTTCCTCCATATGTCTTCTTTGGTGAAATATCTGTTCAAATCTTCTGCCCTCTTTTAAAATTATGTTTTTTTGTCTTATTAGTAAACTGTCAATGTTCTTTTTATATTCTAGAAAAACATTATCTACTGGATATATGCTTTGCAAATATTTTCTCCAAGTGTGTGGCCTGCCTTTTCATTTTTTATAACAGAGTCTTTTGAAGAACAAAAGGTATAATTTAATAATGGTGGGGTATCAAGTATTTGCTTTTCTTTATCTGTTTTGCACACATTGCGAGTAAAGAAAGCAAAGTGTAGTTAGATAGGCACATAAATTTTAGAGCCAGACAGGTCTGAGTGAATTTAACTTCTCCACTTACAGGTTAAACTCATATGAGCTCAGTTGTCTCATCAGAATAAGGGTAAAATGTCAGTGACAGACTAGTAAGATTCTTGTACAGAATTAAGTGTGTGTGTGTGTGTGTGTGTCGTATAAAGCACTTAGTAACTGGCATATGGTAAGTATTCAATCTTTAAAAAATAGCTATTATCTTCCTGAACTTGCATCATGGTTTTGCCTTTATATGTACTTTTTAGGAACATGGAGGTGCAAATTGGAAATTTAACCAAGTCCATCAAACCTTGATGACACTGTCTGGGCCAGGGTAGGGGCCCATCTATGTCACTGGATCTACACCTTCTTCTCCTGGCACACAAACCTAAAGGAATTCTTTCAGGACTAGATAAGAAAATGGATGCTTATTCCTAACAGTCACAGTGATGATGGTTGTTTACTCGGGAGAGAGCATGAGTGAAGCACATTAGAGTAACACAAGTGTACTCTGGTTTCATCCATAGGCCTCCCACAGTAGGTAAATGTGGTCGCCACCATTTTACAGAGGACTACAAAAGGCTGCTGATTCATGTGTTTCACATTCTCAGCTGAGAGCAAAGTTGAGATGGCAGCAATTTATCAGGAAAGTCTTCCTTAAACTGGGGCTGTTTCTGGGAATACGCCTACAGACCCGGCAATGAATCTTAGGAAGGAACCTGTAGAACAAGGGTTAGAACACTGGGATGGTTAAAGGGCTGACTGGTCCATAAATATGGGAATCTTATTTTCTATGTGTCATTGCTCGTAGCCTGCTCAACAGTTCTTTCTTCCTCTTTTTTGCTAATAAAATCCAATTTTTATTTGAATTGCATCTTGCCCAGCCTCAAGGGATAAATCATGACTGAACTAAGTCAATTATAGTAATTCTGTTCCCCACTGCCAGTGATTGGCTTAGAGGTCTAGCCAATGAGACATAAGAAGTCAGCGATGGATTCTAGGAAAGATCTTTATTTATGCTGTGGGTGAGTTAGGCAGGGAGAATGCACTCTTTTGCTTCCAACCCATCCTTCCTGCTTTGAACTTTTTCATGTGAAGTTGTGATGTTGGAGCTACTGCAGCCATCTTGTAACCATAAGAGAGAGTCACAGAGATGCACACGTAGAGTTCTTACTTCATTGAGCCATAGACCCCAGCCTGGAGGTGCCTACCTCCAGACTTCTTGTTAAGCAAATTGAAATAAAGAGGTTATTCCGTTATTTCTGTTTTAACCCCAGTTCAGTTCAGGTGCAGTTGACTAAGATGTCTTAGTCAGAGTTTGAGAAGGTAATTTAGTACAAGGTCTAACTGACAATTTCTAGTTAAGTGTTGCTGTCAGATTCGTCTCATTGTAATCTCCACACTGGACTCTTCTTTAATATATCACAAAGGAGTCTGACTCTACCGATAGATGTCTCCTGTCTTGGAATCAACCTGGTACTGAGGAAGACTGTGCAGAACGTGGCTGCTTCTGATCCTGGCATGTCTTTGATAAACAAGCTTATTCACACAGTTGTGTTGAGGCAGCAGACCTTTCCTTATTGGAAGGGTCTCTAGTTATATTATTGCTATTGGTTGCAGACAGGGTCATGCTTGCTGTTATAGCCTGAATAATTGATTCTACAAACCAATCCGCAAACAAAAACTCAATATTTTCCGGATGGCTGTTTCTTTAGTCTTTGTATTGGCTCTTTACAATGTTTCTTGGCAAGCCTGTTATTTTTCTTTTAAACTTGTTGAAATCTGCTGCATACTTAACATCAAAATATGTTTTGCTTGTCCTAATGGCTAATTACTTGAAGTGGGAAAAAAATCTCTAATACAGACTGATTAACAACATAGGCTTGGAAGTTACCGCCCACACGTGGAGCCACTCATCTTCAATGCAAATATTTCATATAATTACATGAAACCAAAGAAGCTTAAACCATATCTTTTGAGAGAAGAGGAAGCAGGCTTCCTGTAGGAATACTTTAGTGACCTCTATTTAACAACCACGAATATCTTTTTATATATTTGTAGCTCTGGCATACTTTAAAGTCAAAAATGGGGAGTGAAGCTTCTGGAATTTTTGCTCAAATAACTTGACTGGATGTACACATTTATGAACTTAAAACAGTTATTACAAGCCAGCAATATTTCATAAAACATAATATTTGTACACAGTTCAGTTTCAGTAACAACCTGTAAACTTGTAAAGGGATACCGTCCCCACAACCCACCTTTTTAAACGAGATATCTCCGCTTTGTTTTGGCTATAAAAGCAACATACGCTTCATGACAAAAATTCAAACTACACATTCAAATGTTCATGTTTATAATGCAGAAGTCTTCTATAAGCTCATCCTCCCAAAGGAAACCACTACTATTTAGTGCACAGACTTCCAGTTTCCTATGTATACATGGTATATTTATAGAAATGGCATCTTACTCAACATACTGTTTTATAAACTGCTTTTGTCGCTTACAATATGTATCTTGAACATCTTTGCAAGTCTAAGTTATATACTTCATCTTTTAAAAGAGATGAATAATAGTCTGTGCATAACAAATTCAGAAAGCTTTTCATTTACCGTTTTAAGCAATTCCACAAGAAACATTTATGTACCTGCATCCTTGTGTACTTGTCTGATTATTTTTCTTTATTCTAAGAAGTGGAATTACTTTATTAAAGGATGGTGCTTTAAAATTTTAATACATATTGGCAGATTTCTCTAGAGAGTTTATATCAGGGTTGGGCATGATGGCTCATGCCTGGAATCCCAGCACTTTGGGAGGCTGAGGTGGGAGGAGCACTTGAGCCCCAGGAGGTTGAGGCTGCAGTGAACCATGATCCCACCACTGTTTTGGAGCCTGGGAAACAGAGTGAGACTCTGTCTCTAAAAAAAAAAAAATAGAAAAAGAAAGTTTATATCAATTTGTATTCTTGTACACAATGAATGAGAGGACCCACTCTTTCCAATGTCCTTGCTGTTGCTGAGCAGTAACAATCTTTTGAATATTTGTCAATCTGAAAGATAAAAATAATACCATTGATGCTTGGTTCTATATTTAATTAATGATTAGTGAGATCAAACACCTTTTCCCTGGTTTTTGTCCACTTATTTATTAATTGCTTGAGCATATCCTTTGCCCATTTTCAATAGGAAAGTTCATCTTTTACACACTGATTTGTAAGAGCTTTTATATGTTAAAGGTGCCAATTGTTTATTTTTATATATTTGTAAATGTTACTTTCTTGTTGATAACTTATCCAGTTTATTAAGGTTTAGTTATTCACAGAGTCCCAGTCTTCCTGGGAAAACAAGCTGAGTTGAGTTAGGTGGTAACTTCTCTTTGTTTCTCTACCATTTTGGATGCGCATCTACGAAAGTACTCATAACTCAGTACTTAGAGTGTTTTTCAGACTAAATCTTTGACCTGTAGCTGTTTGAAGGCAGGGACAATACTTGTTCATCTGTGTACCCTAGTATCTAATATGACACTCCTAATATGCAGTCATTAAAAGTAATAACAAAAGCATGGCTATTTGGGTTTCTTTTTTCTCTCCCTTCCAAAGTGCAGCCCAGGCTGAATCTACTTAACGGTAGGATATGCAGTTTTGTCCTAACAGTAGGACATGCAGTCTAGCCCAGTTTTGAGCACTTACAATGTGCCAATATTATGCCAGAGGCATGTATTGGGCTATTACAACAAAATAACCTAAGCTATGTGTTGCAGTTCTAGAGGCTGGAAGTCGAAGATCAAGGTGCTGACAGATTTACTGCCTATTGAGGGCCCACTCTTGGTCTATAGAAGGCTGTCTTTTCACTGTGATCTCACATGGTGGAAGGGTGAAGGGACCTCTCTTGGGCCTATTTTATAAGGTCACGAATCCCATTTATGAGGACTCCACCCTTATGATCTAATCATGCCCTAAAGGCTCCCCTCTTAATACCATCACCTTCGGGATTAGAATTTCAGCATATGAATTTTGGGGGAGCACAAACATTTAGACATAGCAGCAGATCATGCCCAAGAGGGAAGGACTGGAGATCCTTGGTCATTTATCTATTTTTCAATTCAGAGTAAAGTGACCTCTCCCTAAAATTTGGAATGTAAGGGCCAAAATGTTAAAGCCACTTTCTGCATATATGGTGCCATATATGAATAGTGAAAAATTTTTTAATATGACTAATGTGGGGCTTTAGCTTTACAATGTCTTAAAAATGAATGATGCAGCAAGGACAATGTCTATATTTTAAAACAATTAGGTTTTTTTTTTTTTTTTTTTTTTTGAGACGGAGTCTCGCTCTGTCGCCCAGGCTGGAGTGCAGTGGCGGGATCTCGGCTCACTGCAAGCTCTGCCTCCCGGGTTCACGCCATTCTCCTGCCTCAGCCTCCCAAGCAGCTGGGACTACAGGCGCCCGCCACTACGCCCGGCTAATTTTTTGTATTTTTAGTAGAGACGGGGTTTCACCGTTTTAGCCGGGATGGTCTCGATCTCCTGACCTCGTGATCCGCCCGCCTCGGCCTCCCAAAGTGCTGGGATTACAGGCGTGAGCCACCGCGCCCGGCCAACAATTAGGTTTTTATGCAGCAAGGACAGTGTCTATATTTCAAAACAATTAGGTTTTTATTCATATATTTCCAGATGCAAATGTATTTAGCTTGTGTAGATTAGTTTTGCAGTTTATCCTCTTTTTTGTGATCATGCTGATAACTGAAAATTTTGAAAAGCTGTTGCTAAGCAATGTGACTTGAAGCATGTAAAGACAGTTTCCTGTAACAACTAAAATGTAAAAAAGAACTATCTTAATTTTACTATACTACTTCATTATCAACCAACCTACTTTTAATGTTTGGGTAATCACATCCTTAATTAAAATTTTTGTGCAGTCATTTAAAACAGATCTAACAATCTAACAGAAGACTAAAGGGAATTCTTGAGATAAAAGTGTTTGTATGTTTATATAGTGAGAAAGAGATAAGATTTTGATATTCAACATTGGGTTTTCTGTCATTATCTGGGTGACTTTGAGCATGTCTCTTCTGCTTTCTGAGTCCAAGACTTCACTGGGAGTCACAGCCAATATAAGACAAATAAATGAAATGAAGTACAAGAATGTGAAAAAGACAACATTTTCTACAAAGATTTTACTCTATTGTGTACACTGAAAATCCAAATGACCTTACAGACAAATGATTAGGTATAATAAAAGAGTTCAGCAAGCTTGCTGTATAAAGATCAACATTAAAAAGAGTTTGTATTGCAGCCAACAATCATATGAGAAAAAGCTCAACATCACTGATCATTTCAGGAATGCAAATCAAAACCACAATGAGATACTATCACACATCAATCAGAATGGCTATTAATAAAAAGTCAAAAATAACAGATGCTGGTAAGGTTGTGGAGAAAACGGAATGCTTATACACTGCTGGTGGGAGCGTAAATCAGTTCATTGACTGTGGAAGACAGTGTGATGATTCCTCAAAGACTTAAAAGCAGCAATATCATTTGTCCCAGCAATCTCATTACTGGGTATATACCCAAAGGAATGTAAATCATTCTATTATAAAGACACATGCATGAGTACGTTCATTGCAGCACTGTTTACAATAACAAAGACATGGAATCAACCCCAATGCCTATCAATGATAGACTGGGTAAAGAAAATGTGGTACATATACACCATGGAGTACTATGCAGCCACAAAAAAGGCATGAGATTATATCCTTTACAGGAAGATGGATGGAGTTGAAGGCCATCATCTTTAGCAAACTAACGCAGGAACAGAAAACAAAATACCCCATGTTCTCATAAGTGGAAGTGAAATGATGAGAACACGTGGACATATGGAAGGGAACAACACACACTGGGGCCTATTGGAGGCTAGAGAGGGGGAGGAGGTAGAGAATCAGGAAAAATAGCTAATAGATTCTAGGCTTAATATCTGGGTGAGAAAATAATCTGTACAACAAACCCCCATGACAATAATTCAATAATCAAAATAATTCAGTAATCTCATGTACGTAAGATTGGCAAAAAATGGCAAAGCTTGAAAATAGCAAGTTTAGGAAGTCTTTGGAGAAAGGGGAATTCTCCTTTATGGCCTTTGGAGCCCAGCAGGAGGAAAGCTTACTTTTTAAGAGCATGGACTCTGGAAGATGCCTTCTTCTCTTGCTAGCTGTGTGACAGTCAAGCTATTTCAAATACTTGTGCCTCAACTTCCTCATCTGTGAAACAGAAATGACAATGATAGCCAAAACTTACATATAGCTTACTTGATACCCAGCCAGATCCTGTTCTAAGGTACTTCAAAGTGTTTGTGTGAGGATTAAATGTAAAGCTTTAAACACACTGTCCTGCAGAATTAACACTACACAAATGTTAGATATTTTTACTTGGTTTAGTAAAGCTAAGGCTGTTCATATACTTCAATCCAGTGATTCCACTTTGTACTTCTGAAGTACAAACTCCTGAAGAACTCTTGCACCCGAGTGCAGGGGCCTATATAAGCTTATGTATTACAGTATTGCCTATTACAGCCAAAATTAAGAGTACCTAATTGACCGTCAGTAGGAAAACAAATAGTGGTGTATTCATTCAATCATAAGAGCTACATGGTTACATGTAACAACATGGACAAATATCAAAAAACATGATGGAAAAGCAACATACAGATTGACATACATGGTAAGATTCCATTTATTTAAAGCTTAAGCACATGCAAAAGAGTGTGATGTGTTTATGGACAAATATTAACGTGGAAAATTTATAAAAACAGATATAAACGATCTCACCAACCTCAAGAGAACAGTTACATGTGGGTAAGAGAGGGGCAACAGGAATCCGGAGAATGAGGAATTCAGGCTGATGGAAACACAGCCATATTCCATTGTACCATCTGAAACACAAAACCTCTGTTGCTGCGGAAGCCAACAAACAAAACAGGAGAGGCGCTAACAGGCTTCCACCACCTCAGCTCAGAAATGACACGGGGCATTTCTACTCACATTTCATTGGCTAGACCTAGGCATCTGGCCACACCAACAACCTGAAGGACATTCTTTTAGTAAACACTAGTAACGTCTCCCACACTTGGCCTGTGGTCTAAGTAGACAGAGCACATTCAACTCCAGAACAAATAACTTCACATTGTCATTTTTTGCTCTTGATCTGAAATTTCTGAATAATTCAGTCTCCTTGGGTCCATCAATCTTTGGATCTTCAATGACTAGATCTGCCATCAAATACCTTGAAAGCCTTGATAGAGACCAACTTCTTGTTTCTCAGAGCCACCAGATGGGAGCAGAGGTTACCAGGATTTTATCCAATAGTGTCACAGAAAGTCTGGAGAGTTCTACATCTTTTTATGATTTTGTATAAGTGTCTAGGAATTTTTGAATTTTTAAAAATAAACGTTGCTTAGTAATCATCATAATTATTCTTTTAAAATAATTCGAGATTTACTTCTTGGTCACATAATAAATCTCTTTGATTAGAGAGTCTTTGAATGAGGTGCATGCTGACTGGTAGATCATCCATGAGCTTGGGAGGCTTTGAAAGGCTCGTTCATCAAAGCCAGCAGTTTTGGCAAACTCTGAGCTACAGCTTTAATTAGCATCATGTTGCTTTCTTCAGTTTGGATTTGCATAAGTTAAAGCAGCCAGGGAAATATTTTACTAAAATCCACCTGTTCACTCAGCATCACCTACTCCTTTGGTTTTCCATAAATAGCTCAGGGTAAAGAGTTGACAGTCTATCTGTTTCCATACACACAGCTTGGGTGACTCAACTAAACATATGGAAAGATAGAGTTTGGGGCTTTGTGACTCTTCTTGAGCCAGGGAAGTGGATACCTGAGGCTGTTTTCTTAATACCTTCCTTGATACCTTTCCATTTGGCTCTCAGGTTTGGAGCTGGCCTTGTAATTAAATCGGAGCTCTAGCTGGCTTTGATGTTGCCCTGTCATCTTTTACTTTTTTTCTCAGTATCCTTAGAAACCAACACTCTCGCAAGTCACTCTCAGAGCTGCCTAAACTCTTTATTTAGACACATAGGTTAAATTGTCTTTTAATTATCTATAGGTGTTAAATAATTTGGCTCTAATATGAAATTAATGACTGTAAACAGGATTGAAATAGAACAAAAACTATTCCGATAACATAGGATATAGCTGTATTTTATAGTTAGTTTCCCGTATTATTGATATATTCTTCACTCACATCCACCCAAATACTGTCTGAAATTTGAGAGGAGAGGCAGGAGAGTGCAAATGAGGTTGCCAGTTACGATGGTTCTTACCATTCACCATCATAGGAAATAGCTTAATTCTTTACGGCAGTTTGGGTGGATTCTCTTTGTCCTCCATTGATTCTGGAAATGGATATCTGACTATAAACAGATCCCACATCTCACAAAGCTTATTGACCCCATTTGAACCAGTTGAGCACTTTCAATGCCTTCCAGGATAAAAAGAGAAGTGGGTCCTTTCTATCCACATTCCATATTCTTCTCTCCAGTATAACTGGAGCAGACAGAGAATGAATGTGTCCACCCTAAGTAAGCAGAGTGTGCTGGACATAGCATACATCTCCCAACTGCCCACATAGAGCCTCCAGCTGCTCCTTCAGGCTTGGCCTCAGCTGCCAAGAGTGGCCTCACTCAAGGGCTTGAACAGTTGTTCAAGATGGGGCTATAAAGGCTTGATCATTCTGGTGTGATGTGGGTCAGTTCTGATGGGCAATAGTTGCTTCTGAGCACCCCCTCCCCAGAATTGGCCAAAGCTTTGTTATATCTGCACCAAAGACTTTTCCTTTCTCCCAATACTACTTCTTTCCTCTCTCTTCCATAGGTGTTGATCCTTAATAATTCCTTGTATGCCAAACTCTGTTTCAGCTTCTGCTTTTGGACAACCCAACATGCAACAGAAGCAAGTTGAAAGCAGAAAGCATTTCTTCAGCCAGCCACGCATGTTAAGCACAGCTGTGACTTCTCCACATTGAAGAGTTGTGGCCCAGGTAGGTGAGGTGGTACAGCACCTGGCAGAGCCATAAAATTGTGGATTCCAAAGATGGTGAAAACCAAGGATGTAGAAGCTAGGAGAATCCTTTGAGGTCATTGAACCCAACTCTTGCAAAGAGGCTGAAGTTGGAAATTAGAGAATTGTCTCAAGACAGTGGTGGTTATGTTGACATAGTAACATGAGGACATGAAGGGGCTAACTCCCCCTTTCATGGAGAGTGGCTGCAGGAGACCACCAATCCAGTGGGCTGGATTGGGGTCTCTGGCAGCATGTGGAGCAGTGGGCCAAAGGGAAGCTGGACATCAGCCTGGGGTTCCAGAGTAGAAAGCAGTGGCTTAGGAGATAACTGCAGCCCCATCGGTGATAGGACAAAGGGGTGCATTTTTTCATGGTGGGCTTGAGAGAGAGCTGACCTGGAACACTTAAAGAGGATTTGGCACAGGAGGGCTACCTGGAGAGGAGTTCAAAGCAGAACAAAAAAATTGTCTATGGAGCTGGATTACTGAGTCAGAGCCAAAGGGGAGCTTTAAGAAGCTACTGGGAAGGTATAACCTGCGTAGGGGATTTCTGGGTGTTAGCCTGATCATGGAGTTCTCCTAGAGCTCACAGCAACCCACCCCAGAGAACAAGTCAGTTTTAAGCATCAGTGTGGCCAGAGTGAGCAAATGGCTTAATGCAGGCAAGGAAGGCCCCCCTTACCTACTTTTCTTTCCAAACTGACAATCTCTGAGAGGGGAAGCCATAGGGGTAAGCCTCTGGGGGGAGCAGAAGGAATTGGTAGAATAAACAGAGAAGCAGACAATCAGGGCCCCTCTTCCAGATCAAAGCCTGTACAAGCCAGTAGCTAGGGGGAGCTAGGTGCTAGGAGATGCTTGTTTGGAGCTTTAAAAAGTTAATATTACGCTGTACCTCATGTATTATTTACCTAAGGATGACTGTTCTTATGCCTCAAAGTTACTGGAAGGCATTTATTCTCCAGGAGAAAGGCTGTGAAACCTGCCCAGGATCTTATTCAAAGAGGAAGTTGGGGCACAGATTATGCAAGGAAGGGAGTTGACAATAGAATTTGCAGAGGCAGTATTGACAAAGGAAAAGTCACTGTATGAATCCACAGGAACTGTGCAGTGGCTAATCATACAGACTGTGGCTCCAGATCACCTGGGTTCACATCCTACATTTATTAAGACTGACCTTGGGCATGTTGCTTAATTTCTGTCTCTCTTTCCTCATCTGTCAAAGGGAAATAAGAATAGCACTTACCTCATAGGGTTACTATAAAAGTTAAACTGGCTAATACATAACAAGCCCCTAGAACAGAGCCAGACACCATAACAAATGCTTTTAATATTGGTTATTATTGGTCCAGCTCTTTCAGTATCTGTTATGTAAGCACGTATGAGAGTCCCAAGGATGACCATTCCTGAGTTAATGGTAAGCCAAAAAGCAGGTTATCAAGTGGGTTTCTTCCCCTGTTGAACTAGGAAAGATTGATCTGTGCGCTGTAATCTAGAAGATGCAAACTTATTATCTTACTATTGACAGCTCTGCAGATTTCCCTTCTCTTTTGGAAAAAATGTGATTATGTGCAGCTGGCTTTGCAGACAATGGCATAACTCCTTAGCAGGCACTGAAAAATGCTGTTTTATTTTAAACAGGAAAAACTTCTAGTTTTCCCCAAAGCCTCTGCAATAGGGCTTAATGTTGAGAGAGGATTTCCTATGCACATCAGCAGGAGGCACTTTTCCTATGCAAATCTAGTAAAGTTGGCCTATGTGATTCTGTATTCAGCACGTTGTGCTCCAAAGTGAATGTTTAGTATCATTTGAAAAAGATGTCTGCTCTGTTTGTCGATTCACATAGTTTGTGAATCTCATTGTCAGCTAATAAAAAATCTTTTTCTGTTCCTTGCCAACGACCTCAATCTATACATTCACAACGGAAAATGAGTGAAAACCCAGATTTTTTTTTTCATTCCTTAGAAAGTGAGATGTCTGATGTTCAAAATCTGTCTAGTGGCTTCTAAGTTTCAAAGCAGAGTTCAAAACAAGAAATTTAAAGAGAATTTGACATTTAATTTGTATTTCATTGAGTCATGTCACTTGTTCTTAACTATGATCTAAATACGTAGCATTTAAAATTAACACCCCATTTTATACCACATGCAGTTGAGTTAAATAATAGCCACTTATGAACAAGAAGATCAAGGCTATATTCTTTAGTTTTGTGTTGCCAGTTTGTTTCTGTTTTGTATTTACTTCTCCTCTTGTCGTATAAATGATCTGAAGCATGGTTTTTCCAGGAGTTTAACAATCACTGAGGCTATATCAATATGATAACTTTTCTATAAGAATATGATCAACTTATAAATACAGAACAGATATCATCTTGCCAGTGTGGAACATGCAGTTGCACACTTAAATAACTGAAGGTGTATAGTTTGGATTTTTAATGTATTTTTATCTCTGTGACAAATGTTGAGCTTTGAAAAAATGTAACTGAGGTTATACCATGACTTGTTCATTCCACCGCCAATAGCCTTTGAAATGAAGATCCAGATTTAGTTTAGTTAGTTCTGTTTCCCCAAAACTCTTATCACTTCATTGGAAACCTGTGAAGGAGATTTTGCCCACATAGATTTATGTCCTAGCTGGGTTTGTGTTCTTTAATCAACGTTCAAAACAACCACTGATTTTGCCTGGATAGGTTTGTTTTGCCTAGATAGGTGTGCATTTTTCAGCCAACTTTCAATTGCAGTGACTGGACCACACTGCAGGGTTAATTTTCTGGCAGTTTCCTTCATATTTTGCCATGTACTTACTAGGAGGAGCAACTTGTCCAAAGTTCTTTTTGTGTCAGGAGAATGTTTGCTTACAGGAACAGGTTACATGGCTGTTTCTGTACATACTTATAAATAAATTGCTTGTATGTGTGTCACAATTTGGTCTGACTTGTTTTCACTTACATACAATCTGGAAGCAAGGTGGTAGGGAGGAGATGTATAGTCCTCTAACTGTAACTGTCAACCTTGGAAGGCCTTGCTCCGAATATAACAACTTTATTCTGCATCATTCATTATCCTTTCCAACTGGAGGAGAGTTTTTTCTCAACTGCATTATATTTTTCATTGAACAAACTCAAACCATGTAAACAATGTGAAAACATATTAATGACCTGTGTATGTAAAAGACTTCAAACAGGCTCTTGAGACATTTCTTAATCCAGAAATTATTCTTTATTACCCCGAGTCCAGAACCACAGGGATGGTTCCAGATGACCATAACAGAGAATTGTGAGGCATTGAAAACTGTCTTAAGTGATGTGCAGAAGGAACAGGGACAATCCATTGATTATTTAATTCTCAGTAATTTGCTTTCTTCCAGGGATAAACTTTGGAAGTTGATTTAAGTTTTCTTGTCTCTATTCTATTAGTCAGAAAGGCATTCTTAGTGTTTTATGTATTGCAATGCCCGTAGAAACAAGTTATTTATTTACAATTTATTTTTATCTTTTTTCCTTACTCTTTTTGTTAGTATACTTTAAGTTC